>NC_000006.12:40060000-40363030 GCF_000001405.40 Homo sapiens | reverse complement strand
GACTTCCAGTTCCTCAAGTCAGTGTGTCTACCTGGGCTCCCCTTTTCTGCACTGAGGCCTGGAAATCCACTCAAGGGGCTTAGCTGGTGAAATTGTAGAACTATCTCATTTGTCTTCCAGTTCTTCAGGATCACTGTCTTTCATGGTTTGATGTCCAGTATCTTAAAAATCATTGTTTTAAATGTTTCCTTCAGATGTTTTTGTTGTTTGAGGCTGGAGAGTGAAGTTAGTCTCTTTTCCTTTATCTTTGGAAGGGCATTTTAAATTTTTGCCTTTTGTTTCTACTTTTACTGCATTGTGATTAGATAATTCTGTTTATAATATTCCTACTATGGAACTTACTTATATTTCCTTTGTGATCTAATATAGGAGGAATTTCAATAAATTTTTCACTTCTGCTTGAGAAGGGAAAATATTCTTTATTAAAGGGTACAGCGTTTGATACATATTTATGAAATCTAATTTATCATTGACATTGGTTAAGTCTTCTCTATCCATATTTATTTTTTGTTCACATGACTTCTCTTGTCCTGAAAGTAATGTGTAAAACTATCTTATCATTATTGTTTCTGTCTATTTATCCTAGCATTGCTGTAATTTTTATTTTACATACAGATGGGTTTTGTATAATCTCTTACATAGATATTATTTAATAAATAATATATTTTATTGTAGGTCGTTGGTTTTTGCATTATAATGCTATTAATTTTCTTGTTTAATAGCATTTTGTTCTAAATTCTGCATTGGGTGATATTAGAGTAGCTACTCCTGCTTTAGAGTTATTCCCATTGAGCTAGCATGACTTTTCCCATCTTCTTCTTTACATTCTCTTTTTCATTAAAATTAAAGCCTTTGGATCACTTTGTTTTCAATGTTTCTCCTATATGCGGAATATGCCACAGTCTATTGCTTTGTAAGTTATTTTGAAAATCCATTTCTTTTAGTAGGCAACTTAAGCTCATTCTCATATACTGATATGACTATTATATTAGGTGTAAAGTTCCTGTGTCAATTTATCCTATAATTTTTCTATGTATTGTTATGTTTAGTGTGTTTCTTTCTTTATATGATATGTCTTCCTTGATCTTTTTAAAAGATTTCCCTTGAGATTTAAAAAAAATGTACGATTTTGCTCAGTAGTTACCTTTGCGTTGGTGTCTTTTAAAATATCTTTATTCATCTTTTTTCTTACTTAACCTTTTACTATGTGGATTGTTCATTCTACATGGTATAATTTGACATCTGCCTGTTTTCTATGCAACAATGATCTTATTCTACTTTCCTCTTTCTGTCTTTATTCTCAGCTCAAATTTTAAGTTGTATTCTTTCTACCTTGTTAGAACATACAATACTTATAAATTATTTTCCATCCTTGTCCCTGATTCTTATTTAAATCTTAGATCTGCAGTAAATATACCACATGCTCACCATCATTATTTTGCCAATGTTTCCGTTTAGCAGATTATCCAAGAAGGGTTCATGTGTACAAAGTTCTCTCATTCCTTGAATAAATCATTTGTTTTTCTATAGTCTTAATAATTGAATGATGGTTTTGCTGCAATAAAGCCCGTGGCTCACAGTTCATTTTCTTTTCTTTGATTACTTGAAAATAATGTTCCACTCTTGCCTTGCTTTGCAGGTTTTTCTTGAATATTGTGAGGCTTATATAATTTTCATACCTTTCTAGATATTATGGTTGTTGTGTGTGGAGGCCATAAGTATTGTTTTTTTTTCTCTCTTTAATAGTCTAATAGTTGTATAGGCTATGTCTCAGAATTAATTATTCTCAGTCAATTTTTCCAGGCACATTGGCCCTTCCATAAATTTAGGTTTCCTCTTATTTCTATAAAGAGTGCTTGTATTTCATTTAAAAAAATATTAGCTCTATTCCATGGTGCCTTTCACCTGTTAGAGACATCAATTTCTTAAACATGTATGAAGGAAGGGGATGTAGTAGAACAGTGGAGAAATGGCTTTTAAATAGGAATGTGGCTAGTTCATTTACCATAATGGTCATAATGGGGGAGACATGGAGGTGGATGTCTAAGGAAGGGCTCTTCTAATTGCTGTGGTTTCCTTAATGGTAGGGAAACATGTGCTAAGCTAACTCTCCAATCTCCCACCTGAGAAACAGGATGGAGATGAGTGCATTTGCCAATTTTAGATTCATGGCCTCAATGTGAATCACATATCAAAATTCATGAATGATGTCCTAGAAGGAGCTCAGAGAGCAATCAGTTCCTGATTCTTCTACTTAGTAGAAAACCCAGAGTTACTTCCTCCTGAAAACAGCATTAATGGGGAACATCAACTATGGAAGGTTCAGTTTCAAGGATAACCTTGGAGGAATCTGGAGGACTGTCCTGTGGGAGGTGGTCAAGGTCTGCTTTGTATTGCTTTAGGAGCGGTGAGAGAAAGACATAGGGACATGGATTTTGAGTGAGCATAGGAAAGAATGTCAGAGGACCGCAAAAGGCTGTTGTGTGAGGTAATGAAGTCTTTCTCCCAGGGAGTCTTATTTCTTCATTAAGTGGCTGGACATCATGATGTCAGGGGTGTTGGGTAGGAGATTCCTGGGTCAGCAGGAATTACCAGATGGTCTCCGTGCCAATGCCAAGTTGACCATTCACCTTCTCTCACTATCCAAGCTTACTCTGTCAAGAAATCTTGTCCATTCTACCTTCGACATATATTCAGAACCCAAGCCTTTCTAACTTCCTCCACCTCAATCACCCTGGATCAATAAACAATTTTCTCTCTCCTGAATTACTTTAATAGCCTTTTAGATGACTTTTCTGCTTCCTTCTGGCCCCACTCCCCTATCCCAATCTATTTTCAATAGCAGTCAGATGGATCCTGTTGAATTATAAATTAGATAATACCACCCTGCATCAAGCTCCACATTGATGCCCCATCTCACTCAGAGTAAAAGCCAAAGTCCTAATCACAGCCTACACGGTCCATGTGACCTGCTGCCTCTCCTGCCCATCTCCAATTTCATCCTCAACTGCATTCCTTGCCACCTGCAGTCCTGCTCACAGGCTCCTGGCTTTCCCTCACACCTGCCAGGAACACGCCCTCATCTCTTAGAGAGTGATGGCAATTTCCATTCCAGGAATGCCTCAGGTATTTGGAGAGGTCACTTTTTTTTTTTTACCTTCTCTTCAGATGTCATTACCTATTCAAAGAGGTCCTGCCTGTCCACCTTTATCAAAAAGCATTCCTATCCTTTTACCTTCCTGAATTTTTCACAATGGTACTTATTACCCACATATTATATATGATATTACTTGTTTATATTGTTACTGCCTTGCCTGACAGTAGTTTTGTCTGTTTTTTCATTGCTGTATACCCAGTGTCTAGAAGGGGCCTAGCACAGAATCAGTGCTCAAGAAATATTTGTTACATGAATGAATAAGTGAATAGGTGTGATTGTGTTTTTACAGGGATACGGGACAATGTGACAATAAGCCAGGGCTTGACTCCTTCCTTCTGGAGGGAGGAGAAGGACTTGATAGGGCTTTACCATTTTACTGTGTTCTGTTCCAGGTAAGATGAAGTAAACACATGGCAGCCTCTCTCTCCCACTGACGATACAACCTTGATAGAGGGCATGGTGGAGCTAATTGAATGATCCGAACAGTAAATACCAGCAAGTAGATGGGTGAAAACAGCCAGGATTCCAAGTACCACAAAACTGGTGTTGAGTTGTGCACACTTTTTCCTCTGGAATCTCTTGAGCAGAACTCAGCATGACCTGAAACCCAGGAGTGAGCCGCACAGTGCCGACAATGAGATGCAGAAGAAAACCTCTGGTTCTGGCTGAAGCAGTGGACAAGGAGACTCTTGAAACTCAGAGCCTGGGGGCACCCCTGATAGTGTTCTTTACTTTCTCTCCCTTCTCACATTCCAGCCACCAGAGAATGCAAGAGAGGAGTAGCAGTGGCAGTAAATGTGGCATCAACAACAACAACAAAAAGCAGGGACTAGGACTCTGAGGAAGGGAAGCCTATATTCTGGCCTCAGGGTGCTCTTTCTTCCTGCCTAGGGGTCATATACCACCTGTGGGCACCTCAGGACTCCTGACAACCTCACTTTTACCTGTTGCCTTTTTAGCCCAGGATCAGTAGGTATGGGGGTGCACATGCTCTTGAGGACACAGCAGCTGTCACATCAGGGAACCCGACTCCAGAACCCTCTGTAAATATCCCATGGCTTGGCCCTGCCCATCACCCCACCCAGGCCTCCTCAAATGAGGAGCTAAAGCTGGCCCATGGGGCCAAAGTGCAGAGGGTAGGGATAATGAGCCACTGGCCTTCTAGAACCTGGCATGGTCCCTGAGTCAGCCATGACACAGGCAGGGGAGGAGGGTGGGGCTGGGATAAAGCTGGATCTCAAGGGAGTTAGATTTGTTCAGCCTAGGGGAGGGGAGCAGAGGAGATGCTCTAAGATGTGGCTTTACCAAATGTTTCAAGGACACGGATGGACCAAGCAATGGCACCTGTGATGAAAGATTGAAGCCCAGGAGGTGGGGCTCCTGCTAATCTCACTTGACTATTGTAAGGCTCCACAAAAAGCAAGGTTCTTAGCAATGTAGATGGGGCTTTATGGGTAGGAAAGGGAGAAACTGGTATTTCTTTACGCAACTTCTGCTAAGCACCTCATATGTGCTATGATAACTAATCCTCACTAAGCCCATGACACAAAGATTCATGTTTTAGATGAACAAGCTAAGATATAAAAAAGTTAAACAAGAGACATCCAAGGTCACAGTCCTAGTAAGGGACAGGGCTGAGTAAGCCTTCAGTAAATATATTCTCCT
Organism: Homo sapiens; assembly: GCF_000001405.40. Lineage (NCBI taxonomy): Eukaryota > Metazoa > Chordata > Mammalia > Primates > Hominidae > Homo > Homo sapiens. The sequence continues at coordinate 40,358,208 of NC_000006.12, read as the reverse complement.
ACCCCAGTATAAAACCCAGAAAAGTCTTTAATGTCCCAAGTCACGGATCCTAACACATGGGCCATGAACTTTAGAACACAGAGCCCAGCAGCAATGTGAGGGAGACGTAGAAATCAAAACAACTCACATTTAGTAACTTGCTGAATGCTAGACAGTCTTCCCCATGTTGTGAGAAATGAAAGAACATAGCCCCATGACTTTGAGGTCTTTACAAGCCTCCCTGAAGAACTAGCTTCTCGAGCTGACAGACAGGCATGTTTTCACAAATTTACCAGGTACCTGTGACTCTGAGGAACACACCGCCTGGGCAAGGATGGATTGGCCAGAAAATCACTCAGTCCAAGGTAGTTCTTACAGCCAGAAGAATTCACGGGTGCTCTTAGTGGTTCTCAGACCTGCTTGTCTCATTTATTGAAGCTCAACTAATGCCTTGAAGGGGAAGAAATTAGCTTTCCATCCAGTTAGGAATGACTGTTGTGGCCTGGCGCAGTGGCTCACGCCTGTAATCCCAGCACTTTGGGAGGATGAGGCGGGAGGATCACGAGGTCAGGAGTTCAAGACCAGCCTGGCCAATATGGTGAAACCCCATCTCACTAAAAATACAAAAATTAGCTGGGCGTGGTGGCACGCGCCTGTCATCCCAGCTACTCAGGAGTCTGAGGGAGAAGAATCGCCTGAACCCGGAGGCGGAGGTTGCAGTTAGCAGAGATTGCGCCACTGCACTCCAGCCTGGGCAACAAAGCGAGACACCTTCAAAAAAAAAAAAAAGAATGACTGTTTTTTCTGAGGACCAAGGAGGCCTGAGGGAGCAAACTCCTTTGGAGTTTCGGGGATGTGGTTGTGTGAGCTTGTGGGGGAGGGCAAACAGTGTGGGCTATAGGGTGGTGGCCTGGGAAGAACAAGAAGGTCCTTCAGCAGCCTAGATAGGGGGAAGCTGCTTGTCTCTTCGTGAGTGAGGAAGGTGGGGTTTTATTCTATGACCTTAATTTGTAAAATTCCTTAATTTGTAAAATGGCATTGGAGAAATATCTAGCTCAGGGGATGGTATACTGATAAACTGTGAAGTGCTAAAGTAATTAAATGCATAACACAGACTTGGAGAAGTGGAAGTGCTAACGGCCTCCATTATATTAATTATATGCATCACTGAGCACATTGTAATCAATGGCAGCATATTAATGATAACATTGGGCATATTGGGTTCTAGAATCACTGAACTGGCACAGCAAGTATTTCAGAGGCCATCCAGCCTGGTCTTCCTTATCTGAGGTTAGAATTCTCTGTGAGATATTTGTGCTAAGGAGTACCAATATTTTCCTCAGTAATACTGGGCATGTTGAATATCAGAGTTCATCCAGGGCCTGGGAGAGTGGGAAATCCTGCCTGTCCCCCATGAGTCTTCCCCAGGTTGACCAGATCCACTCTTGCCCTCCTAGATCCCTGAGAACCGACAGATTTGGCATCCAGAGTGGGCTGTGGTCATCATTTGAAAGGAAAAACCAGCTATGAGTCAGGGCTTAGACTGGAGAAAATTTCTAAGGAGGTGGGGCCAGCTGCTTACTTCCCCCAGGCCCAGCAGGAAATTGAGCCTCACTGTCCCAAATGTGAACTGAAAGGCATCCAAGAGCCCTTGATATAACTTCAGACATAAACGACATAAGCACAGGGTCCCAATTCCCTGGGAGTCACCTCCCCACCCACATGAAGATGGCACTGCTGCCACAGTCATCTGTGACCCAAGAGTCATCCTTTCCACTATTCTTGGTACAATTACCAATAAACCACAGCAGGGAAACCATACCCCATAGCTCTCCCCAGCCTTGCCCAGTGTGCCAGTGGTGAAGAAGCCATTCCTTAGTGTTCTAGAACCCCCTCTGCAAAACATAATTATGCATAAGAAGATGGTCCCCACTCCCAGCAAATCACAGCTCTGCTCTAGGGAGCCTGCAGGGTAACAGGAGGCCATCGCTCCTCTAGGGGAGATGGGAGTCCCTCCCTTTTATTCTCATCCCGCTTCTCTCTCAGGTACAGTCCACCTGGTTGTAGTGGAAAGTAACAATAAACTCTTGTCTTAATCCACTTCACCCCCAAGTACAACTTCAAGCAGTAAGAAATACAATATAAAACCTTCATTCAAGAACCCTGTTCTCCCCACCCTGATGCAAGGGTGGCTCTGTTGGAACAAGAGTGGCTGCCCAGGCCCTTTGAACCATGGGAGAAGATGTTCTGGGGTCAACTTCAAGACAGGGCTGGCAGTACTGGGACACTTGGCTGAGAAACAGGGGGCCTGCCCAGGTAAAGAGCTTCCCCCCATGGACGTAAATGGAGGGTCACAGCTGAGCTTCAGGAAGGGAAGGAAAGGAAAAGAAGGAGCAAGGAGTATGGGGGCACACTTTCTCCTCATACTGGGATTCCAGCTCACATCCCAGTCCTTCCCAGTGAGCAGTCATGAGAACCTCACCCTGAGAAAGGAGGCAGCGATGGGGCTTTTCTCTAGGTGCCCTAGCTCTCCCTCTCCACTGAAGTTGGAGACTAGACACTGGTGGTGGAGGGGCAGAAACTTAGGCCCCAGGTCCTATGAGCAGATCCCTCTACAGGTACCTGGGGCTCAGATGGTATAAGACAGGAAGGAGGGAGCCTGGGTAGGGTCAGGTGGTGGCTCCCCACAATTAGAAAACATGGCTTTTCTGCATGCATTTCTTTGGATGGGTGAGGTGGTCTCCTGCCCTGTATTCTTGCTTGACCAATAATCACAGGCTTTGATTCTTGTGAAAGAACAAGAAAGTCAGGAGACATCTGGAACAAAGGCAGCAGCAGGAAGAGCAACACAGATGCAATATAGTGTCAGGTATAGCCCGGCTTACTGTCCCCAACTAGGCAGCAAGATCAATCAGCCTCCCTCACAGAAACCAGCAGAATGGGGCATTGTGATTTTGATGATTTTTTTATTGTATTGAGAACACTTCACTTGAGATCTCCTCCCTTAACAAGTTTTTAAGTGTACAATAAGCTATTGTTAACTACAACAATGTACAACAACATTGTACAGCAGATTTCTAGAATGTATTCACCTTGCATGACTGAAACTGTGTACCTATTGAATAACAACTCTCCATCTCCCCCTCCTCCCAGTCCCTGGCAACCACCATTCCACTCTCTGCTTCTGGGAGTTTGACTATTTTAGATACTCCATATAAGTGAAATCCAGCAATCCTACTCCTGGGTATTCATCCAAAAGAATTAAAATCAGGTTCTCAGACATGCACTTCCATGTTGATTGCATTATCCACAACAGCCAAGATGTGGAGGCAACCTTGGTGTTCATTAACGAAGGAGCGGTTAAAGAAAAGTGGAATATACATGTAACGGAGTAGAATTCAGCCTTAGCAAAGAAGGAAATCCTGCCATATGCAACAACATGGGAAGTGGTGAGGGCTTTCACTAGAGGTAGGGGTGGAGAAGGAAGCTTCTTAGGGTAGTTTAAGGAGGTAGGAAGCAACATCACAGTTTGGCCACATCTCCTTCCTGTAGGAAATACAAAATCCAAAGAGACACAAAGAGAAGAGAGAAAGAAAATATAGCAAACATTCTAATGCCATCTTTGCTACTGGACTTGTACACGTTTTACTGCCATTTCTCATTTCACCCTCAGAATAACCTCTGAAGAGGTCATTGTAGTTCCCATTTTACAGACAAGGTCTCTGGGCTGGTAGAAGGCCTGGGTAGGATGGTTATTCATGAGCTGAGAAGGAGAATCTCAGACCACCACAGTGGGTGCTCTCAGGACCATTCCAAGGCTTTCTGGCTAAGAGTCCAGGGGAACATCACCTGGGGCTAGGGAAGAGCTTTTGGAACCAAGAGCTCCAAAGGCTGGGATTGCCCAAGAGGACAAGGGGGAGGGGCATGTTGGGCACCTTGCAGTGTGGTGATTCCAGAGGCATGCACCCTGGCTTGCCAAATGTCTCAGAGGGCTTGGGCTCCACAGGCCCTCTGCTATGGAGAGCTTTTCTCAGCCCTTTCCACCTACTACATGATTCTAGGAATCTTCTTCTGTGGAAGGAGGAGCTTTGGGAATCTGCTGGGCTGCAGAGGTAGTCCCCATCCAGCTCTATGCCACTAGTGACAGCTCCAGAGTTTTGCTCTCACCAACACCCACATGCTTCTGCTCTATAAAGATATCATATTTACATATTGACCTTCTTGCCCCTCCTACTGTATGAACCACACTCACAAATGCACACACGAAGGCTTTGAGCAGCATTGAAATTGATCAAGCCTGAGTATCATAGAACAAGTGTCCTATCTGCTAGAGTTTGGCTGTACCTTGACCTCAGATATCTGCCATTCAGAATGGAATGCCCAGCTCTGGGCAGGCACTGGATCAGAACAACCATAAGCTTAGGCATCTGCTTCTCCCTCTTTCTCCACCTCCATGTCAAGGGCACCCCCTCACTACAAACTGGGCCTGGGGTGGTGGTATAAGGCATGGGGCAGGGAACTGGGAAGCTCCCTCCACCCCATCTGATTTCAGACCTGCCTCCTCAGTGCCCCATGTGTGACCCAGCTATATTTAGCAAGCTCAATTCAGTAACTAGAGCAACTGGTCTAGCGCCCTCCCCTTCCAAGGACTCTGAAGGGGCCAGTTTCTCACACCTTTTAATCATCTTCCATTTCTCCAGGCAACCAACACAAAAGGCCTGGACCAGGTGGTGGAGATGCTGGGGCTCCTACACAGAGGCTCTATTTTCTGTTTGCAGTCTTCCAGGCCAGGTAATTATGGATCTGTCCTCAGAGGAATTCTGTTTCTTAGCATCGGCTGCTAGAAAGCCCATTTATGTCAGTCTGGCCTCACCACTTCTATCGGTGTTACACTGCAGAGGACTGTATCACTGACTTGACATCTGCCTGTGGTCTAATGTGAATGCATTCCCATGCACACGCCAGCGTGCAGTGTGTGTGCATGTGAGTGTGTGTGCATGTTGGTTTGTGAATAGAGCACTCCTTGATCAGTCTTTATTGCATGCCCACTTTGTGCCAAGCCAAGGTGTTATAGATGAAAGTGCACAGTAGTGAAGGAGGGGGAAGAATCGCTGCACACATTGCAGTTTTCGTTGTGGTGGAATCAGTAAACCAACAGATAAGATCATTTGAGGTAGTGAGGAATGCTGATGGAATTACAGCAGATAGATGCCTAGTAAATGAAGGGTAGGTGAGGGTGGGGGTGACCACAGTCGCTACTTTAGATGGGATTGTCAGGCAAGGCCCCACTGAGGAGACAGGATGAGCTGGAGGTGGAGCCTTCCGGGCAGAGGAAACAGCAAAGTCAGAAGCCTTGTGGAGAATGGGCTTGGTGTGTTTGTAGCTGGAGAGAAGAGGGTGGGGGTGGTGGGGGAAGATTGGTAGGATCTGAGGTCAGAAATAGAGATGTCTGCAGGGCTCAGGGAGTCAGAACTCAATTCCCTCCTGTGTCACTTACTAGCTGTGTGACCTTGAGGGAGTTACCGAACCTCTCTGGGCCTCTGAGGGGTAATGATAGTACTTCCTTTAGAGAGCATTATGGCGATGATGGAATGTGTTCACATATGTAAAGGGCTTAGCACAATAGCTGGCATATACATCTGCTGTGGTTTTCTTTAAATAAGTATTTGCTATTTTGATCAGCCTTCTTGTTATTACAAGAAAGGAGCTTACATTTGAAGAAGAGTCCGTTTGTCTGCTGGAACAAGTTCTGGAAATTATCAGAGACCTGAATTTTACTCCCTGGTGTGTCTTCAAGTCCCTAGGTGTCCGTTCCTTTAAGGCGTTACCAAGACAATCCTTTGAGACCCTAGTTTAGTGTCCAGCACAGGAGTTGTCTCCTAAGGGTTGGGGGTGTTAATTAGTGGATGGTGTCCTTAACCAAAAAGAGTGAGTTCCAAACTCATCCAGAAGAGCAGTCTAGGAAGCTAAAGTTCAAATGACTCATCTGTTCACTTCCAGCAGGGAAAGAAGGGGAGTGAAGCAGGGAGAGGGAGGGAGGCATGGGGCTGGAAGAGACAGGACAGTGGGACTGTGCTGCCCAGAGCCTTTTCTCTTGGCTTTGGCCTTGTACAACTATATGGGGATGCCTGGTGAGGATGAAGGCTGGACGGCACAGGGTCTAGTAGGTGCTGGTTTGGGGCAGGCTCCTGCCTCATTTTTTTCATCAGTCATCAATGAAGAAGTCAGCTGAGATAATTGATAAGATCTTTCCTAGTTAACCCCACTCAAAACATCCATTGGAGGCTGAGCTGGTTAGTGAGTTAGGGGATAAAAGGAAAGAATTTGGAGATGAGGACCTTTTGAGGACAATACACCTTGAATTTTTGGATCGTGGTAGCCTTGAGGATAAAGTGTTCAGTTTCCCCTTTGCAAGCTGGAGGTGCGGAAGGAGATGGTATTTGTGGCCATCCAAGCTAGATTGCCATCAGACCCTTGAGTGTGTAGTCAGCAGACTTGGCGAGGATTTCCATCTGACATCCCTGCCCCTCTCCCCAACTACATGGAGAGAGGCACTGACAAGTTCTGCATATTTGCAAGCACACATCCATACCCTACAAGGCATGGGCTTCTGAAAATTTGCAGATAAATCACATTTTTGTAAATCAAATTCCATTTTCAATGCACTTTGGTTTCTTATTACTGAAAGAAGCCCTGTTGCAAATCCTTTTGCGAAGCAAATATCTCTTCCCCCATAAATATCTCCTTCATGTTTAGGCTCTTTTTTTTTTTTTAATTTTTTTGAGATGGAGTCTCGCTCTATCATCCAGGCTGGAGTGCAGTGGCGCGATCTCAGCTCACTACAACCTCCGCCTCCCGGGTTCAAGCGATTCTCCTGCCTTAGCCTCCCGAGTAGCTGGGACTATAGGTGCAAACCACCACCCCCAGCTAATTTTTGTATTTTTAGTAGAGACAGGGTTTCACCATGTTGGCTAAGACGGTCTCGATCTCTTGACCTCATGATTCACCCACCTCGGCCTCTCAAAGTGCTGGGATTACAGGAGTGAGCCACCGCGCCCAACCTATTTAGGCTCTTAAAGTATGGAAGCCCCTGTCTGTTCAACTGGGTGTGAGTATGTGTGTGTGAGAGAGAAAGGGCTTGTGTGTCAGTGTGTACATGTGTGTAAGTGTGAGAGTGTGTGTGTGAGAATGTGTGAGTGTGAGTGTATGGTCATTGTGAGAGTGTATGTGAATGTGTGTGAGAGAGAATGAGAGTGTGTCAGTATGCATGTATGTGTGGGAGTGTGTATCCATGGGTGTGTGTGTGTGTGTCAGTGTGTATGTGTGTGTGTCAGCATGTGTCAGTGCATATGCATATGTGTGTCAGTGTGTGTTTGTGTGCCTGTGTGTGTCAGTGTGTGCATCTGAGTGTGAGAGGGTGTGTGAGAAAGAATGTGTCAGTTGTGTGGTGTGTGTCAGTGTGTATGTATCAGTGTATGTGTATGTGTGAGGCTATGTGAATGTGAGCATGTGTCAGTGCATATTTGTGTATCAGCGTGTATGTGTGTCACTATGTGAGTGTGTATGTGTGTGTCAGTGCACGTGTGTCAATGTGCATGTGTTTGTGTTAGTGTGTCAGTGTATGTAAGTGAATGTGTGTATCTGTGTGTGTCAGTGAATATTTGTGTGTCAGTGTAGGAGTTTGTCAGTGTGTGTGTCAGTGTGTATATATGTATGTCACTTTACATGTGTGTCAGTGTATGTGTGGGTGTGCATCAATGTGTGTGGGCGTGTGTGTGTGTCTGGGTATGTGAGAGTGTGTCAGTGCATATGTATCAGTGTGCATGTGTATGCAAGAGCAATTGTCAGTGTGTCATGTGTATGAGTGTGTATGTGTGTGTCAGTGCATATGTGTGTAAGTGTGTCAGTGTGCATGTGTGAGTGTGCCAGTGTGTATGCAAGAGTGTGTCTGTGTGTATGTGTGAGAGTGAGTGTGTCAGTGTGTGTGTGTTGAATGTGTCTGTGCATGTGTGTGTGTCAGTGTGGGTACGAGAGTGGGTGTGTGTCAGTGTGTACATGTGAATGTGAGAGTGTGTGCATTTGCATTCACTCTGGCACATGAAAGGGTTTATGAATGCACGATGCTTTTCTCCTCTCCCGGCCTTGCTGTGATATGCTGCTGGAGTGAGACACTGTCCAAGCACAGGGCTGACCCGGTGTGGTTCAGCCCTCCATCTGGGCACGCCACCCTTTGTTCCTGGCCTCTGACTGCTGCTCCTTGTGGGAGTTGTCCCGGGGGCCACGTTAGAAGCAGGCACAGAGGAAACAGATTCGTTTCAGGAAAATGGAAATTGTGCCTGCCACTTGGATTGAGCCAGGGAAGGGGAGGCAGATGTGAGAATGTAGAAGGGGGTGACTGGGGATTCTCCCGGAATTCATTCATGAGATTGCATTCTACAATCAATTATTCATCAGAGAAGATCCAGGGAACCACTGTTGTTTGCTTTCTGCCTGTCTGAAAGATGAGGACTGCACCCTTAACAGCTGTCGATTTAACTGCTGGGAAGAGCGGCTTGACTTCCCCTGGAAAGGCACTGCCACCTGTCTCACCACCCACCCACTCACACCACTGAGCTCTGCGTGGGGAAGGGTCCCCTTCCATCTCCAGCCTTCTGCAGGCTGGTGCAGGAGCCAGCCAAGGAGCCTCTGGAAAGATTCCTTCATCACTTATTAATGGTCCCCGGTCTTGTCCCTGAAATAATTAGTCTTGGGATATTTTCCTGTCACGCAGTTAATTGCCATCTGTACTGCTTAACATGCCAGGGCACTGGGTAGCAATCTGGGGGCCTGTGGAGGGCTGTGGGGATGGGGCCTGAGTCATGGTGTTGGCTGCCACAGCCGGGGTGGGAGGGGGAGAGAGGGAGCTTTCAGCGGGGTGTGGGAGGTGCCGGGGCTCTGGGCAGCTTCATCCCTCAGTTCACAGTCAAAGTCTTAAGAACCAGCTTCTTCCCTGGGAGGAGGAGAGGGAGGGAGCTGAGGTCCTGGAAGAAAGCAAGGTTCTCACCACAACAGACCCCGACAGGATGCCTGGGAACCAGATTGTCTCAGGAACATCGGGATTCAGGATCTGAAGCCCTGTGTACTAGCCCTCTGTCTGGTTCCCTAGAAGCAGGGTTTGAGAGGAGATTCCAGCGTGTGGTTTGTTGAGTGAGTGCTTGCAGGAGAAGCTGGGAGGGATTGTGGGGCATGATGGAGCAGCAGAAGGGTCCAGGCAAAGATGCCAATTCATGGGAGGCCTAGCAGGGCCCAAACCCACAGGGGCTTTGGGGCGTGTACGGCACATGGAGTTTGTTATACCTGAAGACAAGAGGGTGGCTTTTCTGTCCCTACAGCAGTCAGACCTTAGCTAAAGGCTATTCCCAGGGGAGGGGCTATGGTAGAGGGCTTAACCTCCAAAGCGTCTCCCAGGGAAGTGGCTCCTGCTGGCTAAGGCAATGTGGAGGAGAAGGGTACAGTTATGAGCTATTAGCAGCCAACACTGTAGCAGCTTGGAGTGAGTCCCCAGCTGGTAAAGGACATCTGGGTGGGACACCAACAGCCTCTGATCCCCCCTTCCTAGCTGCTCTGAGGCTCTGTTTCCTTCCACGTCAAAGGGGGTTCAATGGCCTTCCCTTGCTCTATTGCAATGCAGAAGAGTAAAAAACTGAGAGGGTGTGGCAAGGATCTTGTAGTATCTTGTAACTGTAGTGTGCTGTGTAAATGCCAGCTAGTATCACTACACTTATTCCCATGCTGTTTAGTGGAAGAAATACCCAGATTTCACTTTACATGGAGCACAAACCACAGATGCTTGGCTGGATTTTTTAAGGCTTCTCTCCCCCATACCCCTCTCCCCTGGCCTGGGCTCCTTCCATTAGACAAATGTCCCTTTGACATGGCATTATTCTCTGGGATAACTTAGAAAGGACGTGGAGGGGATTAATTTTCAGTTGTGGGTCATGAGAGCTAGAGTGAGTCTCTTTCTTAGGTGCTCTTAGACTAGAGCAGGGGAGATGGGTAAGGGGACGGCCTGAGGGCCAAGCACAGGGGCCTCAGCAGGAGGGCCTCTTCCCATCCTCATCCATTTTGTAACCGCCCTCAACCCCCAGAGGGGACAATGAGTACAGAAGAAGGGCCCCTCCCCAACCCTGCTGAGCCCCTTTCTTATCCCCTGCCCCTTCCCCCAGCACACAGGAAAAAGGGGAGCTCCCACCAAAGGCAGCCCCTGTGGGCTGAGCAACGTTGATCCTGGCCACTCCCGAGAGGAGAGGAGAGGAAGTTGCTGGGGAGTCAGTGGAGGAGGCTGGAGGAGAGCTCTCCGCAGTGACAGGCCTGTGGGGAGGAGGGGAGGAGGGGAGGAGGGGGTTAGTGTCAGCAAGCCTCTGACTAGCTGAGGCTGAGAGTGCCAGGTCAGAACCACTGACCTGCTGGGCTGACCTGCTGTTTGTCAGGCCTTCAACAGAGGGAACACAGTGACACTAGGGTGGTGCTTTCTTCCTCAAGGAAAGGACTGTGGTGTTTGAGCCAGATCCTTGGCCTCCCCCACCCTCCCCCGTGTTGAGCCCTGTGTCCCTGGGCTTTGCTGTGCCTGGGTGTCCGAGGAAGACATTTTCCTGCCTGCCCTTTTCTGGTGGGGAAAGGTTTCCGGTCCACCCCTAGGACACAGCATACAGGCCTGGTCCTCTCTCAAACTGAGAAAATCCAGAAAATGACTGGGCTTGGGAAAAAATGCATTTTGGTTGTTAGTGGCCAGAATGTGGGATTATTTCTGGGGAAACAACTAGGTTTTACTTTACAGGGTGCAAGTGTGTGTGTGTGTGTGTGTGTGTGTGTGCGCGCCCATACACACAGCTGTCTATTGAGGACCAGGTCACACTGCACCCTCATCCCAGGAATCAGACCCCTGCCTAGAGCAGAGGGCCCTGGACACTCAGCAAGGACACATCTGATCCAGGACATCTTTGACCTCACCGCTGTTGGCCCAGCATAAGGCAGGAAGGAGAAGTGGGCTTGGCAGAGCCTCTGCCTTCAGGGTCTGGAGTCTAAGTTTACTCAAGGGAATCATGTGGGGGATCAGGTCTAAGGTGGTTTGGGTAAGGCAGACAGTGCAAAGCTCACCAAAATGGTCAAGGAAGGCTGCATGGAGGAGGTGAGGCTTGAAAGAAATGCAACATTTGAATTGGGAGGGAAGAAGAGAGAGTGTGTGTAAGGAGAATGTTTGCGTCAGCTCAAGTGTGGAGGCAGGAAGAAGAGAGGGCAGCCTGGCTGGGAGAAAATCTTTCCAGAATAAATGATGATGATGATGATGATGATGATGGTAATCATTATCATTATCAGAGCTAATACTAATTGACCATCTACTGTGCGCCAGGCACCATTCTCAGAGCTTTACAGATTAGCTTATTTAATCCTTACAATTCCACAGGTAGATACTATTATCATTTCCAATTTTACATGGTTTTTGTGTTGCTAAGAAGGAATACCTGAGACTGAGTAATTTATTAAAAAAAAAAAAGTTTAATCTGCTCACGGTTCTGCAGGCTACACAGGAAGCACGACCCAGTATCTGCTCCTGGTGAGGCCTCAGGGAGCTTTTACTCTTGGTGGAAGATGAAGCAGGAACAGGTGCGACACATGGTGAGGGAGGGGGCGAGAGAGAGAAGGGGGAGGTCCCACACACTTTTAAACAACCAGATCTCGCATGCACTCAGAGCGAGAACTCACTCATTACCACAAGAAGGGCACCAGGCCATTCATGAGAGATCCGTCCCCATGATCCAAACACCTCCCACCAGGCCCCACCGCCAACACTGGGGATCACATTTTGACATGAGATATGGAGGGGGCAAACATCCAAACCATAATTAATGGGCACAAGGTCACATAGCCAGTGAGTGGCCAAACCAGGATTTGAACCTGAACAGCCTGGCCCTGGAGCTTCTGCTGCTATCTGATAGACCTTTCTAGATAAGCTAGCAAACACTGAGCCCTTATTATGTGTCAGGCACCGTTCTGAGCCTTTTATTCATGCAGTCTTCATTATTAATTCCATTTTACAGATAAGAAAACTGAGACACAGAAAAGTCACACAAGATTATCGAGGTCAACACAGAGAACAGTGGAACCTGCACCTGACCCCAGGCAGGCGGAACCTTCATGACCACACCACACCACCACAGGGAACAGGCAGGGAAAACAATGGTAAGTGGAAGCCATGGACATTGTACTCAGGCCTGTGGACATGCCCCCAGGCATTGGGAACTCTGGTGGGTTTTGATCGCCAGCAGGGAGCAGGGACATGGGGAGGAGGCACACAGCCGGGCGGGTGCCAACAGCCACGGAGGAGCCATCTGAGGCTGGCGTTGGGATGCGGGGAGGGCTTGCCTCCTCTGTGGCTCCTGTGGCCTAGTTTCCTGGCGGCTGCCAGTTAGTGGGACCTGGCAAGCAGGTTATAAATATCCTGGACTGACAGCAAGGCCTTCACACTGACACTGTTGTGGATTAAGCTGAATGTGCAGCTCAAGGTCATCGGCATGGCTATAGCTTTGCTTTGGGAGAGGTCTAGTTGAGGCAGTGCTAAGGAGGGGACAGCAGAGAGGCTGGGGTCTGAGCCCCTAGGTCCAGCTCAGCACAGACAGTGGCTTTTCCTCTCGTGTGGCCTGAGTGCTTCACTTCTGCCCTTACCACGTCTCTCGCCCCAGCCTCCTCTGTCCTCCCCAAGCCTGCCCTCTGCGGGTTTTCCCAGCCCACTCAAGCCAGAAGTCAGTGGTTGGGGATGCGCTGGGCAGGCGGGCAGCTCCTGGCCTTTCCTGCCTTCTGCTTCAGTCACCCGTCCTCCCTCAGCACCTATCTCTGCCCACGTTTCCAGAGGAGAGTTGGACAGTGACTCTGGGTTGACTCAGCAAAGCTGCAGCTCCCTGAGGACTGTGTGTGTGTGTGTGTGTGTGTGTGTGTGTGTGTGTGTGTGTGTGTCCATGTCCACTCTGCTTATAAAGAAAGACACTTAGAAATCTCAGAACCTCACAGCTGGACAAGACCCCTAGGTGAATGTGCTCTGGGAATGTGGCTCAGAGACATTCTGTGTTTACAGCTAGAGCACAGGCATCTGAGTCCCAAACCAGCCTCCAGTGGAGCCAGCCTTTGGATTGGTTCCATCCCAGAAAAGCCCCAGGAAGGCCTGGGAACTATATGCTGGGGTTAGGAGGACCTCAGCTGAAGGAGCTGGGTGTGGGCTGGGGAATGGAGGGGGCTGGTCCTCCATCGGGCGAAGGGACAGAGGCTGTGTGGGGCGATGCAGCAGAGGCAGGAGTCAGCGCCAGCCATAGACTTGGGTGGGGCTACAGCAGGCCAGGACTGCGGGCCAGCTGGGGTCTGAGTGGGTTCTGGGCTGTGCTGGGTATTGTCTACCAGCACTTAGCATTGTTTCATACCCTTTATGTTCCCTCTGTATTACAGGGTCTAGCAGGACAAAAGTGACATTTCCCAGAGTTTCTTGCTGTTTGGATCTGGCTGCAGTTTCAGTTTTGCCAAGAAGAGGCATTTCCATGAGCTCTGGACAGTGGCAGAGAGGCAGAGGTGCTCCACTGCAGTGTGCTGGATGGTCCACGGGCTCCTGCCAATGTGAGGATTTGCAGCAACTGGTATATCCATGGTCTTGTCACCAGCTTCCTGAATTCGGGGCAGCTGGAGCCACACTAGTGGTCCTTCCTTGCAGGGGCAGCAGCTGTCTCCTGGTCTCAGAATCACAGCTGTGGGGATGCAACCTTAAGCCAAAAGCCTAGCGGTGGGTGGTCCTAAACTTCTTTTGTCTAGGCCCTCTGATCCCTCTGTAAGTCGCTATTTCCCTTATTAAATCTCTTTCTGCTGGATACTTTGGGTGTTTCTACTTTCTACACAGAATGCTGATTGACATATAGGACACGGCTGGGACAGGTGGATGCTGGGCTGAACAAAGGAGGGGCCTGGGCCTGATTCAGAGGCCAAGGAAGACTCTGACACTGGTGTCTGTGATGAGGATGTGATGTGGCTGAGGAAAAACTGCAAGCTTCAGGGTCAGAGGCTCTCGGGGTAGGCAGGGACAGACCATCAGCTGGGCTTCAGTGACCCGCTGTGGACGCTGGAGGGGAGCATTGCAGAAATCCCAGCAGGTCCTTTCAAAGGTGACCTAGATCTGCCCTCATGCAGAAACCAAGGGCTGCTCCCCTGCAGATAGTTGAAGGAGATGGGTAAACAAATCCAGGCCACAGCTCACCTAGAGCCTGGGGTCCAGCTGGGTCAGCCTGTGGGGCCAATTCTAGTACATGCAGGGGAGGACAGATGAGCAGCCCCTTTAAAGGAGGCCAGCTGGAAAAGTGCAGAGTGTCAAGAATTTCCTGGGGAAAGTGCCCAGGCTGCCTTGGCCCTGTGGGGTGCATCTCCACTATCTCCCAGCCCCCAGAGCAGTTCACCCTGAAAAGAGGAGATGCTGCAGCAACCCAGAGGGGCTCTGAGGTGAGGGCCCTGATCTTGGTCCTGGCATGCCTGCCCAGCTGAGCCCTGCACCCAAGAGAAAGGAGAGGCTGAGGCTGCTGCAAAGGTGCCAAGTTCCTGCCGGACCTACATCTGAGCACCACACATTCCCCCTACAGAAAGATTAAAATAAAAGAGACTGTCTGCTGCTCAATGACTGGGGGTAATGGAATTAGGCGTGAACTGTGCTGTACCTGGCTCTTAGCTCCTGACTGCATCCAATTGGCAGAGGCATCATTTGCTGAGTATTGCTGCCTGCCCAGTGACAAACAGGCACTACCCCATTTAATCTTAAGAGGAATTATCATCATCCCACTGGTCTAAATGAGGAAACTGAAACTCAGAGAGGTTGAGGAAGTTGCCAGCCATCACAGAGCTAGTTAGTGGAGGAGCTGGGATTTGAACTCAGTCTGCCTAGTTTGGAGCCACAGGTCCAACCACTGAGTGTACTGCCAAAAGGAGCAGGGTGCCTTCTGGGCCCCCTTCTTGAGAGTCTGGGAGCCCAAGTCAGCACCACCTCTGACCTTCCTTCAGCCCCCCACCCAACCTCTCCTCCCCAGCTTCCTCCCCAGTCACCCTTCTGACCTGCGCCTGGCAGATGAAGAGTTAACGTAGAAACAGAGGGCTTTGCTCTCCTCTTCTGGCCTGGCTTGATGGGTGCTGGGTGTTTTTTAATCCTTCTTTCCTTTATTTCAGTTTAAGCTGGTAATTGTCATGCTGCTCCCGTATCATCCACTGACATTTAAGTCCCAGCTCTTTCTAAATAAGGAGCGGATTGGCCTCAGCTTGCGCCATGGGGAGGGGTAGTGTCAGGCCTTCCTGGCAGTGTGAGGGGCACCATCCCTGGCTCTTGGACTTCCTTGAATCAATGAGGAAAGGAAAGTCTCCCAGCTGTGGCATTTCTCACAGGTTTTAGAGACTCAGAGCCGCCCTGGAATTATCTGAAAGGGAAGTGTGGCTACCCTGGTTCTGATTAACCCTCAGCTCAGAGTTTCACCCTTCCAGCCCACTTTTGTCTTGGAGGTGGCAAACTGGGGACCCATAACCAAATGTTTTGTTTTGCCAACGTACTGTTTAACAATTCCGAATACACTGTTCTCGAATTCTTTCCAGTCCTCATCACTCCCTATGGTTCTAGCTTGCTAACTTGCGAATAATGCCATCTCCAAACTTCTTTCTTATACGTGCAAGTGGTCCTAGGAAAGGTAGACCCTACGAATCACACCTCGTGGGAACTAATTTATTTACAGCCACCCTCACAGGACTCTAGCTGACTGAGGCTCTCGGGGGTTGGGGGTGGGCGATGGTGATTTTGGACTACAGCAGGGCAGCAGGAAGGGGAGGTGGGACCTAGGCAAGGAGAGGTGGGAGATTCTTGGCCAAGGTCACCAGTTTTCCAGGCTGGCTTCCATGGGACAGCTGCCAGCCACCACTTTTTAAGCATCCACCATAAGCCCAGAATTGTACTGGATGATTCGGACACATCATCTAAACCCATTCTCCGAGGTGGGGCTATTATCCTGAATAAGAAAAACAAACTCTTTCTTTCTCAACACCAACTGCACCAATACTTCTGGCCACCAAATATGTAGGGAGTGTTTTTCACCACACCAAGTAATTCTCTAATTTTCAGTGAACAATGATTTGGTGTCCTGCAATTTAACTCCATTCTGACGCTAACTTCCTAGAGTTAGTGCAGACTTCACAGCTTAAAAGGCTCAGTCCCACAAGACTGCCCCCACTCCAGACTCCAATCACAAGTCCAGGCTGCCATCTGTGCTTCTGACCAAATGGCTATAAATCAGAGGTTCCTGAGACCCTCTCCTCATGTTCAGTGATTTGCTAGAACAGCTCACAGAACTCAGGAAAGCAGCTTACTTATTTCACCACCAGTTTATTATAAAAGGACACAACTCAGGAACAGCCAGAAGGAAGAGATGCACAGGGCAAGGTATGTGGGTGGGGTGGGGCACACATGCTCCCAGCACCTCGATGTGTTCACAACCTGGAAGCTCTCCAAACCTCATCTTTTTGGGTGTTTTGCTCCATTATGTGGGCATGATTGATCACCTCATTGGCCATTGGTGATTAAATCAATCTCCAGCCCTTCTCCCCTTCTGGGGAGTGAGGCTGAACATTTCAACCCTCTGATCATGTGGTTGGTTCCCCTGGCAACCAGTCCCCCAATCTCCAGGCTATCCAGGAGCCCCCAGACACCAGTCATTTCATTATCATACAAAAAGACATATCACTTCTGAAGATCCCATGGGTTTTAGGAGCTGCATGCCAAGAAACTAGGGATAAGACCTGTATATATATATATATTTCTACTATATCTCAATATCATATATCTTCACATCACAGATGGGAAAACTGGGCTCAGAGAGGTGCAGTCGCTTGCCCAAGTCCTCACAGTGGACGAGAGGCCACAGGGGTCTTGCAGATACCCAGAGTCACTATGCAGCATTGCGGTGGTGTGTTATCTTTGCATGGTATCGTCTCTTTCACTAATTTATCAAACATAGATTTATGGAATGTTGGCTCCTTGCCAGGATGCAGGCTGGATAGAGACCCTGCCCCTGACCCATTCCCTGGCTGGCAAGGGAAGCAAGACAAGCAAGCAGGAAACTTTCTGCCCAAAAAGGGGGATGCTGGAGTATCCGCCCCACCACCACCACCAGCACCAAAAACCACCACTACCATTTCCTGAGGGCTCGCCATGCACCAGGCTGTCAGGAGGCTTTGCAGGTATTAACCCTCTTGACAGCCCGACCAAGTAGGCACTGTCACAGTTCTGCATTGTAGACAGGCACTAAATGAGTCTCAGAGAGGTTAAATAATATGTCCAGTGCTAGACAGTTTCTACCTAATAGGGAGGAATGAAGTGCTACAGGAACATGAGAGACGGAGCGGCTGCCTAGGGAATCCCATTCACTGCTTACAGCAAGCCCACAGATGACAAGCATTACGTGGGACCAGGAGCAGGTAAGTGACTTGCCCAAGGCCCTTCAGCTAGTAGATAGTGGAGGTGGTTTCAACCCAGGTTCTCTATTTCTGAGACTTTGTTCATCCCTTTACCTGTGCTGCCCTGGAAAGACTCACCAGCTGTTGGAGAGCAGGTGAAGTGAAAGGCTTTAAAAAGGAGGCTCCTTAGAAATTCTCAGCTCTGCTCTCATAACTTGGTTTATGAAGCACTGGGCCTGCTGACTCCAGTGGGTTGAAGAGGGCTTTGCTGGCAGCCTCTGTCCCGGCTTGAGATGTGTGGCCCGTCTCTGACTGACACCGCCTAAGCCTCTCAATCTCTAAGAGTGATTCCATCTCATGGATGAGAGCCTCCGACATCTGTACCTGTCAGGCGACAAATCCAGACACACACTCCCTGTCTGGTTAGATATGCATCAGGCCCGATTAGGCCCGTGAACCTGCCTGCTGTGTGTGGATCCCTTTAGCCAAAAGCCACAAAGATAATTGAATTCGGGTGCAATTCTCACCAGGAGGTTGCCTGGGCATGTGTGGGGAAGGGTCTAGAGTAGGGGGCTGTGGGTGGTGGTGCGGGGGAGGTGGGCCCCACCTCTGTGATGCTGGGGTGGAACAAATGACTGACAGCCCAGCCCAGGACAAGGCAAGGGGGTCGCCTTACCCTCAAACCCCCATTCCCCAACAGGTGCTTGAAATTTCAGCACGAGTATTTTTCACTTCTAGGAAGT
The DNA here is from genome assembly GCF_000001405.40 of Homo sapiens. Lineage (NCBI taxonomy): Eukaryota > Metazoa > Chordata > Mammalia > Primates > Hominidae > Homo > Homo sapiens. The sequence goes on along the minus strand of NC_000006.12, from coordinate 40,339,996 downwards.
GTTTTTGTCTTTATGGCCTTGGCAGGATGGGAACACAGGCAGCGGGTGAACAGAAATACCCTCGGTGAGCAGGTGGGTCGGAACATCTGCACAGCCAGGCTGCCCTGCCTCACGCCTTCAGATCCAATTTCATTTCCTCACTTTGCATCCCTTTTTAATCAGCAGACACACCTGGAAAGGGCGTTCCTGCTGTCCCCCCAGCTCCGTTAGCCCTCCTCCAGCAGTTCTGCACAGTTCCCTGGCAAAAGGTGGGCTGAAGGTGGGAAAATGCCAAGGGTATATCTCACCTGCTTACCAACGGGGCTCTGCTGTGCCTGGATTCAGCCACCTCATCCTCAATGCCTGCCTTCACCCTGCCTGGATACAGAAGCCCCCAGCTCCCCACAAGGGAGACAACATGCCCTCCATGGCAGCTGCCAGTGATATAGACACCTCCACATCCACCACCATTAATGCAGTCCTACAGGCAGGTGCCCCTCACTGCCTAGAGAACACCAGCAAGCTTTCTGGCCACTCTGAGTCCTGCCTCTTGGAGTGAGAAACCAGAGACTCATCTTTCCCAGTGTCTCTTGTAGCTGTGACGAGGGCATGGACATGGAGTCTGCCAATGGGACCCACCAGTAGAGGCTTCAGCCTGAGACAGGCAAGCAGTGGCCAATGCCATGCAGTATCTATTTCCTGGTAAAGGCAGGGGCAGAGGCATCTGGCTTTGGAGGCAGCAGAGATGGAGGCACCAGGATCCAGGACCCTGTATCAGCAGTGAGAGCTCTGAGAATTGTGCCAGACCATGGCAGCCCTGAGGTCTGTAGGAGAAGAGGCTGGGGTTGGTTTGGGCGTTATTCCTGACTGGGCAGCTGCTCCCAAAGTCTGAGTCTGTCTCCCACAAAGATTTAATATCTTCATTTTCTGCTTAAGCTAGCCAGAGTAGATTTGCAAACACCCTGACTGGTATAGCACTCCCTGAAGTAAGCATGGGGTCTTTGTCAATAGCTAAGGGGTGTTTGTGAGTTAGTGTGGTTGTATATGTGTGCACACACAGAGGTAAATGAGAGAAGACTCCTGCCCTCAGGGAGCTTACAAGCTTCTAAAAGGTAACGGTAATAAAGATGATGAAAATAATAATAACAATAACAATCATGAAACTGTATCTCAATTAGAAGGAAGAGTGGGCAGAGCAGGAGGTGGTAGATGGACATGACTTATCATCAACAAGAAAGAACTCAGCAGAACCCTGCCCCAGGCCACCTGCAGGGTTCCAGTAGGGAAATGAAAAGGAGGAGAAGTGAGCATGGCAGAGATGCAGCCACGAGAGGGACAGAAGACAGTCAGGTCTGCCGCCTGCTCTTCCCGTCCTGAGTCAGGTCTGGACCCTGCAGTGGACACAGCCACTCCTGCTGCCTGCAGAGCAACCCTCCCAGGTTCTCCTGCACCTGGCCAGCCTCCTGAGCAGGGAACAGAGCAGATGGCCAGCAGACTGCCCCAACACAGGAATCTAGGACTCAGGGCCCAGGACACTCAGGAAACTCGGTTGCCATTCTCCGCGATGCTCAGACAGCCACTGTCAGTCAGTCTCCCCAAGGGCCTCCCACCTAAGCACCATGCCTGTCCTCATGTGCTCTGCCAGCTCTGAAACACTCTGCCTCTCTCTACCCTTGCCACCCCCACCTCCACCGTTCCCCTCTTCTGTCTCTCTCTTCCTTCACCTCCCTCTCTCCCACGTCCCCTGCATTTATCCCATGTCAGCATCCTGGACCCTTCTTCCCCTAGTTTCTTCCCTCTCTGCCGGTGTCTTTCCCCTTCTCAGCCACTTCTCTGCCACCTACTGTCCTCTCCATTTCCACACCAAAACCTCATCTCCAGCCCTCCCCAGCAATGCCTTTCCCAGAGCTCCTGCCTGGTCACACCTCTCGCCTCCCTCTCTTGTCCTCCAGCTCCATGGACTCTAGAACTGCCAGCAGCTTGTCTCTGGCACCCAGTTCCCCTTGCAGTCACCATCCACAGTCCTCTGAGGATATATCCAATCTCTTCCATGTCCTCAAGCACAGCACAGGATGGACACTAAGAGGGAAGGAAGAGATGGGGACAGTGGAGACTGGGATAATCAATTTCGGGCCTCCAAGAGCCAGAACACAGGGCTCTTCTCCTCTAAGACAGGGTGCAGGGGACTCCAGCAGAGCCAGGAGAGTGCTAAGATGGCCCATGGGAAAAGCCTCTGGCTTTGTGTGCAGGGGTTGTGGTGGGGGGATGGGGGTGTCTGCCTCTCTTTTCATTTCTCTGTTCTCTGCCTCCATCTCTGCGTTTCTCTAATTCCACTTCTTGGTCTCTTTGTGTCTCCAGCTCTGTGATGGTAAGGTGGGAGTTGGAATAACTTCTCAGCATTAACCATGGCTTCTGTGTGGGGGACGTTACCTTAATTGAGTCTCAGCTTGTTCACAGCCACTCGGCTGCCATAAATAATGGATGTCCAAATGGACTGTAAACTGGAAAGGCTGAGCCATGTCACACAATGCAATGGCCCCTGGCTTCAGCCTTCTGCAGGGCGCCTAGCCTCTCTCTTAATAATGCATGGTCCACACCCACCACAGCCAGACACCCAGCGATTCCCAATGAGAAGCTTGTTATGCTGTGCTGCAGGAAGGAATCAGGAACTTGCCCACTCTCTGATCCTCTCAGGGGAGGGCAGCAAGAGCCACACAGAGGTGTCAAGGCCTCAAGTCTTGTGAGAAAATGAACCTACCTACGATGTCACTGCACATGAAAATGACCTGCATCCTCCCTCCTGTGGGTACCGGCAGATGGTCTTTTGGTTTCTGGCTTTAATCCTGGGGTACAAATCCTGTAGCCGTCTGCTCACCAGATCCCTGAAGACTGCACCGTTCTCTGTGTATAGAGCAAGCTGCTGGTTAGAGGATCTGAAGCTACTTAATGCACTTGCGCTGTTTGCAGAACCTCCCTCTGTTTGTAGAGCCTGCCAATGCAGAAGGAGGGCTGTTGGCAGACTCTGAAGCTGTTGGCTACTTCTGCCCCCAAGACTGACTCACAGTCAATGCCCTTGCTCATACATGTAGGGCTTCCCTTGGTCCCATATCTTAGCTCCCACTTGGTGCCCCCATCCTTCTGGTTGCTCTGCCTGCCCCAGGGTCTTCAGCTCTGACTCACTGACCTCCCATGCCAGAGGTATTCCCCACCCACTATCCCCCAAGTCACATCTGTGTTCACAAATGCCTTCTCATCATGGATCCTGAAAATTAGCCTAGGACCTAGAGGTGTCTAGGGTGGGGGTGTAAGGATGCTCCTGGAAGGACCCCGTGCTGCTCAACAATGCCTACTGGTTGATGTCCTCAGTGCCAGGGGTTTGCTTTTAAAGCTCCAAACTCAAGACATTAATAAGATTCAGTGTCCATTTTATTCTAACACATTCTTGTTGGTTTTGTTCTGAATGCCTGTGGGGTGGATGATTGGAAGCAAGCTGTGGTTGTTTAGTGGTTTTTAACTTTAATAGCTTTGGTAATGTAGCTAAAGTCTGTTCAACTTCTGTTGCTACTGTTACCCAAATGCTTCAGGCAAATCATGACCAGGTCATCTGATTATTTCTCTAACAGGCCAGGCTTAAAGCTTGCAGATAGTTGGAATATTGTAGGGCCTTTGTTGTGGGGGGTGGGGGGTTGGCAGGGGATGGCCCCTCTGTGGCTAGGGCCAAGACTGATTACAAAGCTGTGCCTCCCCATAGGATGCCCTTCCTTAGTTTCTTTTTAGAAAACTCATTTTGTCATAGACAGGCTTGAAATGGCCAATGACGCTATTAATTACAACTGGCAGATAACAAGGCATTTTCACAAACATTGTATGGGATGTTTGTGAAACAGGCAAGAAAAAACAACTTCAGAAATGTTCAGTGACTTCTCCACAGGGAAGACTTCAAGTCTACTGACTCCAAATTCAATGTTCCCTGTGTAGTTCTATACTAGGAGTTCTTAACCAATCTTCTAAAGAAAACTTCAGCTTCTGCAGAAGTTTCTGTTAACTATTAGAATTTATTTGCAAAATACCGCATTGCAGATGTGTGTACACTTCCTCCCGGGGAGAGGGTCTACTGCTTTCCCAAGATGCTCAAAAGGGGCGCAGCGGAGTCAGAGACCACCGTGCACGTGCGGGGGAGTCAGAGACCACTGTGCACATGCAGAGGAGTCAGAGACCACCGTGAGCATGAGGGGAGTCAGAGACCACCGTGCGTGTGCAGGGGAGTCAGAGACCACTGCGCATGGTATGCCTTGTCCCCCACACCCAGATCCATGAAACCAGTGCCCTCTGATGCTCATTCACTTCATTCAACGAATGTCTATTGAGTGTCATGAAGTGCCAGGCACTGTCTCAGGCCCTGGGGAAACAGATGAGCAGCATAGACATGGTTCTTGCCCTCATGTAGTTTTCAATCTAGTTGAGGAAGAGATAGGCGAGATTTCACTTAAAGTAAATGGAAAGGGAAGTGTTGGGTTGTGAGAAGTGCTATGAGGGAAATAAATGGGGGAGCCACTGAAATTTCTGCAGCTGGGTCTGGTATGGGAGTGGCGAGTAAGGATGCACCACTATTTTGTCATCCTGAAATATTGGTGAGTCTGGAATGCTCTTTAATTTGGGGCTCACTCACTCAGTTATTTAAGAGAGACCTTTCCACTCCTGGCATCTACAGCCTGAAAACTCTGCTCTTCTTGTCCCTTTGAGGAAGGGTAATGTCCATTTTCAATCCTTACAATTTCTTTCACAGTGTCATGTTGTGAGCATAAAGACATTTTTGCTGAAGCAAGCCAGAACCCCTCCTCCTGCCCATCTGCCACCTCTGCCCCTCAGCCCAGTACCCCATCCCCCTACTCACCAGCTCCATGCTTTAGAAAGCTCCAGCAGGCTGGCCCATTTCCCCTTCACAGCTGAGCATGTAACCAAAATTGGCTGTTGTAATGGCAAACTAAATGATGCCCTAATACCCAGATCAATCTTCCTGTGAAATAACTCATTATTCAGGCTCCAATTGCAGGGAATGGAATTAAAACCAGAACAGTTCAACAAGGAACTGCAGCGGCAGATAGTGTTTGGGAGGTGCCAGGTGGGATACAGGAGAAAGGCATGGAGAAGGAGGGGGCTAGGCTTTGGGGAGGGGCCATCAGTTGAAGACAACTCCCCTTTCCTTGAGAGGAGAGGAGGCCAGAATGGGGCTACACATCTGCAGGAAAACAGGCAGAGCCAGCAACAAGCTACAGGGTTCCAATCGGAATCACTTTGTTCTTGTCAAAACACAAGGCTCTGAGCAGACAGCAAGCCGCAATGACAAGAGCCCTGGCCAACACTCCCCAGGAAGAGGCTTTGTTCTCAGAGAATGCCCTCGGTCCTCTAAAGATATTTCCACAGAGAACAATAAAAATGGCCTTTATGCACACAGGAGTGAGAGGAGGGAGAAAGGCCGCTGACTCCCCAGGGGTGGTGGAAGGGTCACAGGCAAGACTAACAGTGCCAAAGACCTCCTCTGGGGACCCCAGGCATGTGGAGGGTGGGGCAGGGGTAGAGCAGGTCAAAAGGAGCTGCAGAAAAACAAGTAGTGTTGTCTGAGTAGCTCTCCTCTTCCAATAGCATTCATTCATTCATTCATTCATTTATCTAACAAGCATTCAGTGGTCTCCTACTATGTTTCTGCCACTGCCTCTGTGAATGCCGTAATGTAAAGAGCATTGGGCCAAGAGTGGGAAAGCCCAGGTTCTAATCCTAGCTCTGGGACAAGTTGGCCACATGACCGTGAAGCAGCCTTCTTGGTACTTTGGACCTTGGCATCTTCATCTGAAAAGTGAGCAGACTGGAATAGAACAGGTAGTGAAGCTCCCATCCAGCCCTGATGCTTCAGTGTCCTCAAAGCTGAGCCATGGGAGGCCTCCCAGGAGGACTGAGCCTGGAGGCAAATTTGGAGCAGAATAGGAGCGTGCTCTGGAGATGGGGCAGCCAGGGAAAGGGGCGCACATGTCAGTGTGAAGCCCCGAAGAGAGTGGGGAAAATGGTTGAAAGAAAGAGTAAGAGGGAGTATAATAATTAGAGAGAGAGGTGGTGGAGGGAAAGACAGACAGAGAGAGTGTCAGACAAAGAGAGGGAAGAAGGGAGAGAGGGAGATGGGAGAGAGAATGGAAGATGCTCCTCAGAAGAGGAAAGAATTCAGCTCTGTCTGGCTCTATTCAGCACGTTCTTATTGGGTATCTACTATGTGCTAGGTACCAGTCTTAAGTATTGAGGAACAAAGACTAATATGCTCCCTGCTATCAAGGAACTTATGACCATATTATAACATGAAAAACAAGCAAAACTTTAAAATGTCAACCATCTACTGCAAGGGGATCTCGATCTAGAAGATAGTAATTCTGGAAAATAGTAATAGCTAACACCCCATGCCCTTATTATTTCAATCTTCGCAGCAACCCTATAAGGTGGGTATAATTATCACCTCTTTTATCGGTGAGGAAACTGAGGCATGGGGGGGCAAGGCCACAGAGTCCATCAGTGATGGGGTTAGGATTCAATCCGGAGCAGCCTGGTTTCAAAGCCTGAGCTTAACCATTGCTCTCTCCCTACAGGGTGGGAAGCAGGGTATGGAAAAATGGAAGCCACCCTCCTGCAGCCTGAGATGGGGTAGAGGAAGCTCACCTCTTACTAGGTAGCTTTGCCCCACAAAGAGCTGATTCCTTCCCTTGCATCTGCTTTGTATGATAATAAGAAGTCTGTTGCTTTATAAATACATGCACCTCACAAGAGAAGGAGAAAGGAACAGAGCTCTGTGGGGACAAGCTCCAATTCTCACAGAGAGCGCCAGACCATGGCAAGATTGGAAGATGTGGCACGTCTTCCCTCATGTTGTCCCAAGCTCTCTCTAAGTGGTAATGGAGTGGTGGTTGGAGTAAAAAAATTCTGGTATCGAATCCTGAATTTGCCACTTATTAGCTCTGGGGCTATGGGCTAATGACTAATTATTTCCAAAACGCAGTCTTCCCATCTGTACTGCAAGCAGGTTGAATTAAGTCCACTCATTCTTCACTCTGTGTCCTAGACTGCACTTCCCTCCTCTGCAGCTCTTCTGTCCTTCATTTCTATTAGGTGCTACATTCTTAAATCTTGTATCAGAAACTGGTTCAGGCAGTGAGCTTGGCAAACAAGCAGCTTCCATCATGGAGATCAAGAAAGCAGTAAATGGCTGTGTCTTCATCAGTTAGGAACTAATTTGGCTACCTATATCTGAAAGACACACAACAAAAGTAGCTAAAACAAGATAGAAGCTTATTTCTATTGTAAAAGAAATTCAGAGATGAGCCAACCACTCAGAAAGATGAATCCTTGGTGTCAGGGACCTGGCTTCTTCTGTCTTGTGCCTCTCCTAGACCCAGTATGTGGCTTCCACCTCATGGTTCAAAATGGCTGCTAGAGTTCCAGTCTTTAAATCTACATTTCAGCTAATAAGTAACAGAAAATAAATTAAGAAAGTTGTGCCTTCTCTTGTTTAGGAAGGCTTCACAGAAGTCTCACACAACACTTCCACTTAGCTGTCAGTGGCTAGAACCTAGTCATATGAACACACCTAGCTACAAGAGAGGCTGGGTAATGTAGTTTTATATGTAAACTGGGTTTCAAGCCTGGTGCTCAGTTGAGGGTTTTGTTGATACAAAATAGAGGAGGAATGGGTATTTTGTAGACACTTAGCAGTCTGAGATCCAGGACAATGGAAATGATCACCCAGGAGGTTTATCGTCAGGAGGTGGTGCAGCATTCAGGGATTGGAGTCCAAGGTTCTAGACTTATCTAGACTGCAAGAAGTTGAAGATGTGGTCAATGCCACAAGGCAGGAGCTCCAAGAAGGAAGTACGACAGCTGTGCTACCCCCACCCCACTCCAGGCCCTTCCAACTTCTTGTGTCCTGGGCAGTAGCAGCCCTATCTAGGAGCCAGGCAGCTCATCACACCAGGCACGTGGCTGGGAGAAAGGCAGGTGGTGAGCAAATTGAAATTGTCAGGTGCTTAGACCAAGGACAGAAAAGCCTGGACTCCTCCTTCTCAGGAGGTGAAGCTCACTCTCAGCCCGGGGGTGGGTCCACATAGATGGCAGGGCTGGGCCACTCTTGGGGAGCAGGAGGGGGAGGGTCTCTGAACTGGCTAATAGGAAGCCCCCTCTGCAATAGCAATGGTATTCTAAACAGGAGAATAAAGCTTTGGAAGCAAAACAAAGCTATTCCACTGAATAAATGTTCTCTGCATTAAAGCAGCCAGAATAGCGATGAATTAAACATCAGGTCTGAATGAAAGGAAAATGCCGTGATTTATAATTGCTTCAGGCAGGAGGCAGCCTGGGAGAGAGGCTGAAGCTTCATCAGGGACCCAGTTTCCCCTGCAGAGCTGCAGAAGCACTGAGAGGAGATGCTGGCTGCCTTCAGGGTGGAGAGGACTGCTATAGAGTCTTCCAGAAAAGAGGGCATCCTAGAGAGATGAAAGGAACATGCTCCAGAAGTCAGGAGGCCTGGCTACTAGCCTCCATTCTGCATGACCTTGATTAAGTCACCGGGTGTCTCTAGGCTCCTTTCCTGTTCTTCCGGTGGGGATAGTAACACCTGCCTCATCTCACTTGGTTCTTGGAGAATAAAGAGACATAATAGATGATAAAGGGTTTTGCAGATATAATAAGCTGCTATTACTTCTTGGCCTTGGCATCACCACAAAAGCAGTGGCGAGGTTCCTGTTGAGCTCTGGCAGCTTCTCCAAGGTGACCAGTCTTTAGGAAGGGGGAAGACGGTGGGGGAGAAAAGCAAGATGTGTTGGCAAGCTCTACTTAGAAATGCCACCTTGGAGATACCTGTCAAAACTGCTCCATGCCAGATGGGTGCATCTACTTGCAGGGCAGTGTGCTGTGGTGGTTAAGATCCTGGAGGACCTGAGTTTAAGCCCCAGATCACCCTCTGGTTAGCATGTGACCTCAGGCAAATTAAGCAAATTTTCTGCACCTCAGTTTCTTCATCTGTAAAAGCAGGATAATCATAATACCTCAACTCATAGCATCCTTGTAAGGATTAAATGAGTTCATATAAGTAAGACACTTGCAATGTTGCTTGGCACATAGAAACTTACATGTAACTGCTAGCTCTTATTAAGTTTCTAATACCAAATTCATCAACTAAACTTCTGGAAAGAAGCCATGGGCTGGCTTTATAGGAACCAGAATACTGCCTAACCCCAGCTACTCATACTTTACTATGCATAGGACTCCCCCAGGGATCTTGTTAAAATGCTGATTCTGATTCAGTGGGTCTGGCCTGTGGGCTGAGATTTTGCATTTCTAACCAGCTCCCCAGGGATGCCAGGGCTGCTACTCCTGAGACCACACATTGAGGATCAAGAGGTGAAGGGATGCTACTGGCTGAATTTCGTGGCACTTGCCTTCACCAGCCCGGATATTTGGCTATTTCAGGAGGCTGGTGGGTCAGCGGCCCTGTGCTGCTTCATTCCGCCCCCACCTCCCACCCCCAGGGAGCTGCTACCCAGAGCTTCCTTCCTGGGGAAAAGGAATGATCTGCATACAAGAGGGATGAGCCTGGATTTACCACCCAACAGGCTCTGACAATCTGTCTTGCTAGGATATTCCTGATCTATTAGAAATGACACAGAAATCCATTCCTAAAAATTCCTAGCAGCTGAGGACAGTGAGAAGGCTGCTGGGAGAAAAAGCAGTGAGTGGGTGGGTGTAGCTCCCCACTGGCTGCCCCAGATCTTGACAGGCTGGGCTGGTAAGTCTGTCCCTCCTGAGCTGTGTGGTTGGGGAAGCTTACCTTCCCTGAGGAAGCCTGGCTTCCTCAGCAATAAGTGGGAATCACAAGAAGCCCCACTTTATAGATCAGTATGCATGCATGTGAACAGTTCAAGACTGACTGTTAAGTTGAAGAAAGCAAATTGCAGCAAAGCATAATTTCATTTTTTAAAAATGTACAATCATATTTGCAAACCCATGGGAAAGTCTAGAAAAATACATATCAAACTGTTAAGAGTAGTTACCTTGGGGAGAGAGAGGTGGGATTATAAGATACTTTTACTTTCAATATTGTGAATATTGTGAATTTCTATATTGTTTGATTTTTAAAATAATGAGTATTTATTACTTTTGTAATTGGAAAGCCTCCATTAAAAAAAAATCTGCTTCAAATGGCTAGTGTCAGCCTTCTGGACCACATGGGGAGAGAGGGATTTCCATACGGTCCCTTCTAAGCAGCACAGGCCACAGGGGCTGGGGGCAGAAGCCCTGGCTGAGGGGCTTAGCTCTGCCACGCAGTCCTGCGCAGGTTCCTCCATCTTCCTGAGCCCCTGGTTTCTCATCAGCAAAATGGGAATAATAACAACCTGAATCAGGAGGTCACCATCCAGGGAACACCATGAGGACTGAGTGATAGCACCTTCGCCCAAGCCCGGACACTCCGCTCCTCCCCAGAGAAAAGGAGGAGGGCAGGGCTGCAGGAGGGCCTGGGAACTCTGCTAGGCTTCTTAGGGTAGCACTGAAAGCTCCCACAGTTGGGCATTCCTCAGACCAGGAAAGGAGAGGAACAGAACCTGGTGCCTGGAATATGACAAAGTCAACTTACCCTATGTTCCACTCTAAATCTTTCATGCCTCCCAACCTCTGCTCATGCTGATCCCACTCCCGGGCTTGCTGTTCCTGCCTCCTGATTTGCCCTTGTCTCCCTCACCTGCTGCTTCCTACTCACCTTTCAGGAATCCTCTAGGAATCTTCCCTGAGCCCCTGGTGAAGTTGGGGGCAGGGAGCCCCTCTTGGCTGTTACATCAGCAGGCTGCATTTCTCTACCCTCCTGGGCTCACCTACTGCACAGTAATTACCTGTCTCCTCTTTGAGACTAAGAAGTGGGCAGGTAGGGGTCTTATTCACCTTTGAATCCCCAGCAGCTGGCAGAGTGCCAGGCACTTATTTTTACCTACCTTTTCCCTTGTAAACCTTTTGACATAAACCTCTTAGATTATCCTGGGATTTCCTAGTTGGCTCCTTTCTGCCAAGTGCGATCTGGCAGGACTATAAGGAAGGCAGAGGTAGGAGTGGGCTGGAGAGCTGGGGTGGCAGTGAGGGCATGGTGCCCTCTTGCGGCCAGGTGCAGGGGTGGCTGCAGCATCCTTACGGAAGAAAGGGAGGAGAGGACAGGTGGGCCGGTGAGCTAGATAAGATAGAGGAGGGTCTCTAGGAACAAGTAGAGGAGTGGGGAGATCACTGCATTGGCAGTTTCCCCAGCACAGCTAGGAGTGGTCCTTCTTCCATAGATCCCAGTGAGGGGCTGTGGCTTAGCTTAAAAGCATGAGAAAAGTTGGAGGAAGCCCAGAGACTGCTCCCTTGTGGAGAGGAGGACGCCACTTGGAGGTGCGTCAGGGAAATGCTTAGGCAGGAGGATGGACGCAGAGGTCCTAGAGGTGTGTGACCTGGGAGAGGGACATTGGTGCAAGGCTCCTGCTCACACATTGATGGAAGCCTGAGAATCGAGAGGCCCTCCAGCGAGGGAAACCAGACCGGCTTTCTCCGGCAGGGAACGCATACTTGGAAGCCTCTTGATCCTCCTCTCTGCTCCAGCCCTTACCGTGAGTAGGTCTTCAGCACACTGGATACCATTTTGTGCTTTGAGATGTTGGTGAGGGACCTGGAGGGGGCTCAGGCATCCTCTGGGGTATACACATCTGTTTCCAGGTGACATCTCTAGGACATCACACCCCGTTCACAGTACCTCCTCTATCTGCCCCCAGAACCCCACTCTTCCTGTGGTTTCAGAGATTAACTGGCGGAAGGGGCAGGTGAGAATGTAGGAAGTGGGGAAATCTAGGGAAGGTGGGTGGATGAAGCCAGCCAGCTAGGAAAGTGCTGACCCCAAAGGAGCCCCCCATGAGAGGCCCCCCTCAGCAGCCCTGCCTCCCACACCAGCCCTCTACCCTTAGCTCTCTCTAAAACAACAGAAAATCTTGCCTGGCTCCTCTCACCACCCAGCCCAAGAGAGGGAAAGCTTTCTTTTCTCTTTTCCTTCCTGCCCCTTCCCCATTTCTGGCCCCATCACCCCTTTCCAGGCCTCTATCCTTCTGTGTTCATCCTGACCTCTTCCCTGGCCTCGTGGCTCTCACTTTGAGAGTCAAACATGAGCTGGTTGGAGGAACACTGGGTCAGACATCCAGGGACCTGGGTATGCTGCTGATTTCACCACTGATGTTCTAATTTCTGAAAGCTCCCCAGAGCTCAGTGTCTTCACTTGCAAAGGGTTGGGAGGTTGGATTGGATAATCTGCCACAATCCTTTTAGTTCTGACATCCTGGGATGCATTAGGCTCCGTCAATCCTTGGCGACCCCTTTCCTAAAGCTGATCCCAGGGTCATAGTTAGAATGCATCAACTGCCTTAACTGATGTGAGACATTTCCTAGGGATATAGCCATATGGGAGATAACCTAGAGGAAATGTGAAAAGTATCCAATTCCTGAAACATCACTGTTTCCTCATGCCATGTGAGGAATCCCCACCCACAGAAGTCATCTGCTCCAGCCCCTGCATCAGGCCCAGAAACCAGAGCAGACAGACCCTGCTCACACTCTTTCCTTGCTTGTCATATGACCCAGGGACAGTATCAGATAGTTCCTGCCTTTACAGCCCTCTAGGACTTCACATTTCCAGTCATCCTCATGCCTGGCCCCTTGTGGGACAAGGGAGGGGTCTACCAGGGCCTCCTGAGCAGGGGGGCAGCCAAGGGAAGTACTTAGTTCACCAGAAGCCTTCATCAAGTTTCACTTCCTGGAGTCTAACTTAAACCTTTCTTGCTGCTGTATAAATCAATGTCCCCCAGTTCTGGCTTCCCCACCCTCCTCAAACTAAAGAGCTGCTCATTTGCATACAGCTGCCTCTCCCAGACCCATTTAACTCCCACCTCTCCTGGACTTTTCCTACAGGTTCTATTTTTTTCAACCTTTCATCATTTCTCCTATTGGCTCTGGCTGTGCTCCAGAGCTTCCAAATCCTTCTTAAATGTGACAGCTAAAATTAGATGCCGGGAGAAGGCCAAGTGCAGTGGGATGATCACACCCTGCCTGGCATGTGCCGATTCCTCCTTCCTGGGTCCTGTCCCAGCATGGAAGAGGCTGGTCCTTCCCTAAGGATGTTATTAGACTCCCAGTCCCCTATGATCCTGGGTCCCGTTGGGTTTCTCCTCACCTCCCCCTGGATTGATGAGGCTTGTGTTGAATTTCTACAAGCCTTGCCTTGTATTTCACCCATCCTGAATGGATCATTTTTCTAATCTGTCAAGGTTTCCCTGAATTCTATTTCCGCCCTCTTGGACTGGGTGTTTTCCTTCTGGTGCTCCAGGATAAACCATGATCTCATTCTAAGATGTTCTTAGCTGGTCCTGGGTTATTCATTAGTTCACTCACTTGTTCATTTAGTCAACAACTATTTACTCAGTTTTTCTTTTGTGCCAGCTACTGTGCCAGGCTTGGGGATGCCTCCATGGAGATTGCAGCCTTAAACTGGACAAGGGCCACTCAGGGGCCTGTGGAAGAATATAAGAGGGGTCTCACTCTGTTTCTGGGAGAAATCATTATAGCATATAGCAACTGTGTTTTGGTAATACCAGGCTATGATGTGTTTTTATTGTTGTTGTTGTTGTTTGTGTGTTTTTAAAATTAACCTCTGAATCTTGGTATCTTAATACAATAAAAATTTACTTTTTGCACATGTAAAGTCCAGTGTAGGATGTCTGATTCTCCAAGGCAGCTGTCCTCTCCTTGAGGATCCCTTCTGTCCACTGATGTCATGTCAACATGAGTGGGCTTCAGCTTACTGTAGCAGGAAAAGGAGAACTTGGAGAACTCACACCTGGTTTTAAGTGCCTTGGACCAGAGGGGATCCACTGCCCACAGCCCATTGGCCAGAACGGGTCACATGGATGGGTTAACTTCACCTCAAGGGAGGCTGGGAGATATAACCTTGCCACGTGCTCAGACAGAGGAAATGGGGAGGTGAACACAGAGCATTGTCTCTGCCATAGCAACTCAAGTGGCTGGATCCCAGAGAGAAAAGGTCGGGAGTGGCCATTACCTCCAAGATATAGGTTTAAGAACATGGTAGGAGGGGTTCCCAGAAGGTGAAGAAGATGAAAAGAAATGTGGGAACAGGGTGAAAGAGGTGGAGAGGAAGCAGAGGCGCTGTTACCCACAACCCCTCCCTCGCTTCACACTGACTGATTCCAGCAGCCAGGGACCACACCTTTTTCCTCAGCCACCTGTCTGCAAAGCAGCTCTTGGTCCTACAGAGGAGGGCTGGGACAGAAAGCCAGAGAGATCCTACCCAGGATGGGCAGTCAGGGTAAAATCCTTGGCTGCATCCCTAGCCAGGTCCCAAACCAGGTCCCCAACCAGGTCCCTAACCAGGCTGCGGGATCCTGAAGAAGTTGCTTCACAATCTCAGTACACAGTGGTCTGGAAATTCCCTGGTATTGGTCTCCTGCCTGTTTGTCCTCAAGGCCCTTCCTCGAAACATACAACCACCCACCCTCCTCTGCAACTCCAGACTCTATGCCTGTTGGGTTCTGTTTCCCTTGGGGGAGTTTAGGGTTTGGGGGAGAAGCTGCAGGTGTCTTTCCTGCTCTCCTTTCTGGGGAGGCTCCTCTGGCAGTGGCCTCAGCTCCTGACCTGTAGGCTGGCATGGTTCCAGCTCTCATGGGTGGCCCTGGCTCCCAGGCACTGTCAACACCACTCCCCTGCCACCAGCCCTCGAGCTGGCAGGAGCTTCTTGAGGTTGCTGATTTTGAAGTTTCTTCACTGTCCCACTTGGCTCTTGGCCCCTCCAACACCTATAACCAGGTCACTGCATTACCTTCCTTCTGTCATGTCCTGCCATTAACTTGATTTCTGTTTTCCTGTTTAGACCCTGACTGCTGTACCATCTACATGGCAAGACCCTGGTGGGGGAGAGGGAAGGAACAAGAGGAGAGAGAGTGGATGCTAACTGAGGCAGAGAATATGAAAAACAGAAATCAGATACCATCGGTGGTCTCCTTCCTACCCAGCCTTTGTGATCTCCACCACCTGCACTCACCTTCCAAAGGGCTGTGTCCTCCACATCGGCCCTTGGCCATGGAGGGCAATAAACATGCATCAGGGCAAGATCTAGCTGCTGCCCTCCTGGGTGGGTCCCAAGGCAAATGGTAAGATAGGCAGAGTTGAGCCCTCCAAGTGAGAACAGAATTTTTCTAGAACTTCCCGCAGGCAAGGCCTGTGTTGCCTCATCCATTCATAACCCCTGTGCTGGGGAAGCTTTGGGGGAGATGTTTTGGAACAGGTAGGGCTTCGCTGCATCACAAAAATCACCCCCAGGAAGGCGACCAGCTTCTCAGCCAACTCGGTGGACTAAAGCTGCACATCCATCCAAGCCCAGCTTATGGCGGCCCCAGCAGCACAGGCAGCAGACAGCCTGAGTTCTCTGTATGCAGAAGAGCAGCTCTGAGGTGGGGCAATAAATAAAATCAGAAACCGTAAATAAACCTGCTGGCCTCACACAGGGTGAACAAGCAGCCCCCTGGGGAGCTGGGCTCTGCTTCCAAGGAGGTGATTAAATTCCAAACCACCCCAGCAACTTCCATTGGAAAGTCAGGGCCGGGACTCTGGGCTGGGGGAGAGGGATACAATCATAAAATATTAGAAAACTGAGATCTTAGAGTGAGGATCAAAACTTTAAAATTGTAAGGGATCTTCTCAGTGGCTCTCAACCCTGACTGTGCATTACAATCACCAGAGGTGATTTGTTTAAACATAGCAATGCCAGACACCACCCCTCCCAGTCCCTGCAGAAATTCACTCCTTAGGCTGGATGGGGGCTGAGCACCTCAGATGATTACAAAATATTCCCCAGGCCAGACGCTCTAAGCTCTGCCGCTAGGGAACTCAGGGGTTCCCAGAGCAAGGTCAAGGGTTTCCTCCACTAAAATTGAATCATGCAGCTCTTTTTTTCAGTGCACAAAAGAAATCAAGTTAATGAATAGAATGTTCTGTATTTAAAGTCCTCCCCCTATAAATTTTTCTCTCCTTTTGGCACCTGCTGCTGCATGCTTGCCAGTATATTGGTGAAAAAACAATAGGAACAGAAAATCTCAGAGGCCACTGATCATGTCTGCTTTGATGGCTTTTTTTTAATTAAAGGTAACATTTCTAGGCAATATAAGCTTTGGATAACTAAATCAGATAGCAGTCCCCTCGAATCCTCTTTAGAGCAAAGTGGGTTAGGTGTAAATAAATAGGATTCCATCTTTTGCTGAACCTCAACTTCTAGGTGGTACAGCTCCACCAGGGGTCAAGATCACAACTCCCAGAACTAGCCTGTTGAGGGGTGAATGTCAACTCTACTGCAAATGAGACACCTGGCCTTGGGTAAGCTAACTAGCGTCTCTGGGCCTCAGCTTCCTCATATAAGGAACAGGGATAAGACATAGTCCTCACCTCATGTGGCTGTTGTAAGTACTAAATAAGTCTGTATATTTAAAGCTCTTTCAGCAGCACCTGGCAGTAATGCTATTTAGCTGAACACATTTGAGACTCCGTGGGAGTGTGGGACAGCAGAGTTAGTACCTTCAGAGAGGATGCTTTAGTCAATAAATTCGGTTTTCTTCCATTACTTTTTAATCACCCATTAACACATGGATCATTCTCATTTTTAAAATCCAAACGATATAGCAGATTAGAGTATTAAAAAGTAACAATTCTTCAGTAGTGACATCCCACCCTGATCCTGCTTCTTCCTGGGGGTGGGTAACCACTGTTCCCCTAGTGGTATATACCTCTTGCTGAAGCTTTTCCTGGTATGTTTACAGTCCTGGGAACACACAGGAGACTAAGACATATCCTGTTTTCTAGGGACTTACATTCTGGAAGGACAGACAGACAAGAAAACAAAGCACAAGAGAGAGTGGGGACTGGTAGGAAGAGGCATCTAATAAGAGGAAGCACATGCAATTTCTGACTTTACCTGTGAGGAAGGTGGCAGAGGGATTCTGGTGCCAAGTCAGGAGCTAGACCAGTGGTTCTCAAAGTGTGGTCCTCGGACCAGCAGCAGCTGCACCTGGAAGCTTTGCTAGAAATGAAATTCTCAGGCCCACCTGGAACTCTAAGTCAGAAGCTCTAGAATGGTGGGGAGGGGGTGGGGGAGCAGCTTGAGTTTTGTCAAGCCCTCCAGTGGATTCTGATAGACCCTGAAGCTTGAGAACCACAGTCCTAGAAGAACTATTGCCCTCTAAAATCATTTCCTCAGACTCCCTGTCCTCCTGCCTGTAAATCGAGATGGAGGGACCCGGCCGGAGCGGCTGTGGAGCTGCCCAGGGGAGACGTGCTGAAGGCTGTGAGCGCGGTGCAGAGCCAGCTGAGTGGAGCACTGAAAGGCACAGGGCAGCCCAATGGGTGAGGGGGAGGGGAGGAGTCATTGTACCCATTTTCCCTCCGGGCCTGACCTTATCCTGGGAGACTTGTCTCAGCCTCTTCCCTTTGCTTAAGGAAACTGCCGCTGCAGACTGCTTAACTGATACCTCTGGGGGACTTTGCAAAGTGCACACACCATCCATTATGAATGAGCCCATTTCTTGTGCAGATCAGGTGGGAGTCGGGACAGATTAGCCCTGGTAATGGAGTTAAAGTCAAGCTATTTGTTTGCAAGATTATTCGGAAGTCAGAGTCCCTTCCTGTAGCTCTGTCTGTTGGGAACGGAGCGGGGGATGTTTCCTTGGTTAAAAACATGTGTTGTGTGCGTGCCTGCCTGGGTTCATTCATGCGAGTACATGTGTATTTTTGCATAGACATTTTTAGGAGAGAAAGAGGAATACAAATGTCTTGTTCCAGAGCCTGAGACCCTGACTTGGTACAGTCATGGCTGGGACCCTTCAGCCTCCCCGCTTCCATCCCTGCCCAACCCAGGACCCAGTTCTGGCCCTGCCCCCAGCCTGATGGGCAGTGAGTAGGAAGTTCTGCTACTTTCTCAATATGAACTAACAGTTTCTTCTTTCAAAGGTCACCTATTCCTGGATTCCCAAATGTTACAATCACAAAACGACCATCATCTCCCATTAAGACAACTTGGATCCTTCAAAGTCACCCACCGGCGGCGGCGGGCGTGGGGATGGGGGTTGAATCGCTAGAAAGGTAGTGCAGTGAGAGCTGGAGTGCTTACCTTTGTCCCCACAGTCACCTTCCCTTGAGGGTCTCCCAGTAATTACCATGGGACAGTTAGCTAAGACCTTGCAGGAAACTCAGGGATATAATAGGAAGAAAAGAAATACAGAGAATCTCATGCAACTGGCCCATTTGGTTCACAAGGCTCTCCTCCTCTGGGGTGGTCTGGCCCCTTTCCATCCCCACTCCCTGCCTGCCTCGTGGTGTGGGCACCACTTTGATTCCTACTGCAGAGAACTCCTGCATGGGCAAGAGCCCTTTTGTGACTGAGACCCAGGAGGACAAGACCTGGAGATAGACTGATGTTACTTCTGGCTGTCTAGGAACTGCCTTCAGCATTCCAGGTCTCTAACCAAGGACTCTACTCTTCTAGGTATGACTGAAAAGGATGTAAGGACATTCTCTTTAGGAGAAACCTTACTCCTTCCCCTTGAGGATGGAGGGTGTGGTCCCAACAGGCACTAACGCCTCCAATCATATCCCAGTAAACCTAAATCGACTCCCAAGATTTATCTGTATCTCTGTTTACTTATAAACAGAGAATCAAGGGCCATTACCCTGGAGCTATGCCCACACCCCTGTTTGGTCCCAGATAGTGAACACTGACCTTTACCAGGCTTCTAACACTTTCCTCTACTTTGAACCTATGCCCAGAGATGTATCTGGTCCTGCCCTCCTCCCTCCCTCTCTTCCCTTCTCCCCTGCTGGTGGCTGGGTCTTTTTCCCTGTCCTGGGCCCACAGTCTCCCTTCCCAACTGAGGTGAAATATCCTATACCTCAGCTGTGATAGGAGAAGCTGCACTGCAGGTTTCCAGAAAGACTTGTGAGAATCTATAGCAAAAATGGGCCTCAGCTCATACAGCATAGAGCCCAGGAGTGGGCTTCAGATGCCAGCAGCAAGGCAGGCCCCAAGGAGGATGGTCCGAGGGCCCAGACTCATGCTGCTTCTTCCTGGGAGATCCAAGGTTTCAGGTAAGAACATGCTGTTCCCCACTGGGGAAGGTATCCCTGCCTTTGTTTAAAATCCTCTATGGCTCCCATGCCTACTGTGGATAAAGTCCAGACAGCTCAGTCCAGTCACATGTCCTTTAGGACCTTGCCCCTCCCTGGACACCGGGTCTGTCCATTTCCAAGTCCTCCCCCATGACCCTTGGCTGGTCCCACACTACCCTCTGCCTGGTGACCTATGGCCTATCTGGCAAGATGCAGCTCAAGTGTGACCTCCTCGGGGACCCCCTCTCTGAGTGCCCCACCCAGAGGGCTTCCTTACTTTCTCCTCTGTGTTCTCCCAGCCCTACATTTTCCCTATTTCTCCCACAGGACTTCTCACACCTTCGGTAATGATTTGTCTAAGAGCCAAACTCCCACGGCGGGCTGTGGTCCCCCAGGGTGGGTGGGGGGATTCCTGCACATCTTTGTCTCCCCAGTGCCCACACAGTGGAGGTCACATGGGAGATGCCAACTGGACAAGGAACTGCATGAGGCTCAGCTTGAGCCCTAGCTAGGAAAGCTCACAGAGCTCAGAGGACTGTGGATTCCCCAGGGATGCAGCACTCTACAATGACAGCCATCTTCTCCTCCGAGCAGGACCCACTTTCATCACCAGAATGCCTTTTTCCTCCCAAAATGCTAAAACAGAAACTGTGGGGGAAGGAGGCACGTGGAAGCTCACTAGATGACTTTCTTCATTGTCTGTAAGCCAGGTGTCCCTGGAGGGTCAGGGCCCACTCTCTACTCTTCCCACCTGCCAGATGGCTCCTTTGGAATTGGCAAGTCTAATTTTATAGCCAGAAGGAGGCTGCAAGGATGGAAAACTCCTGCCTTGGGGACTTTAATCCCCTTGTATCTTGCAGGATCAGGCTCCTTCCCCATAGAGCAGGGCAGATCCGTGGCCATCTTCAGGCATGGGCAGAAGAGGCTGTTGCCTACAGTGTGATTGAAGGATGGAGGCTGTTTCAAAGAGTGCCAACACCCTCCATTTCCCTTGAATCCATCTCTCCCCACTGACTATAATGCTGTTCCAAGGCCTGTCATTAGCACTTCACTCTTTGGTACCTGGATATGAATAGACTGTAGAATTCAGACGTCCCTGAGAGAGATAACAACTTAAGTAATTATCAATAAATTCTTCATGGAAAGTTACATTAACAGATGATGAGAACTGTCTTGGCTTAAGCTGCCATAAGAAAATACCATAGACTGAGTGGTTTGAACACCAGGGATTTATTTTACCACTGTTCTGGAGGTTGGAAATCTGAGATCAGGATGTCAACATGGTCAGAGTTTAGCAAGGGGTCTCTTCCTGGCTTGCAGTTGAAGTCTTCTTCCTATGTGCTCACAAAGTAGAGAGAGAGAGAGAGAGTTCTGGTGTCTTTTCCTCTTCTCATAAGGGCACTAATCCCATCATGAGGACCCCACCCTCATGACATCATCTAAATCTAATTTCCCTAAGGTCCTATCTCCAAATACCATCACAATGGGGGTTATGGCTTCTGCATATGAATTTTGGAAGGGGAGCACAATTCAGTCCAACTCAAGGACAATGCCCTGCAAGAACAAAGGGATTTACCTAAGGCTCCTGACCACAATAACAGGGCAGGTTCCTTATTTGTGCATAGTGCATCATATCCTGAAAACAGGGCCATGTGTATGGTTGTTCAGGTTGTGTGCTGCACAACCCTAGTGGTTACCAGTCACATAAGAGATGTTGTAGATTTGAAAGTTTAATATGGCCATTTTATGGCAGGTGGCTCTAATGTGTCTTATTCTAGAGAAATCAGGACATTAGGATAACTAGTCAATGGATGGCAATGAAATGTCCTGAGGAAGGGTTTCTTTTTTCTCATCTACACAAAGGCAATGTATAAGCTAGATGGGCTCTTCTGTAAAGTCTCCTTTTGAAATTCTATCTCAAGATAACTCTGTGATTAGGTATTCTGGGTCCATTTTACTGGTGAGAAGATAGATATGGGCAGGATCAAGGTAATTCGGTAGATAAGGAAGGAACTAGCGACCTGCGAAGCAAGTGCAAAACAGAGCCCTTTCCTACTGTGTTTTGGCCACTGTAGACGTGGGTCCTGTGTCTGGTTCCATCACCTTCCATGAAGATGTTCCTACTGATGGTGCTGTGCCAGGCATCCACTCCCCAGCTCAGTGCCCCTGGGAGCTTTGTTTCCTTCTGGCCACACAAGAGCCACCTGGCTCGGGAGGAAGGTGTGCTGAAAGCGGCCATCCCCAGCCCCAACTTATCCTGATGGTGGAGCTCAGAAAAGGAGGAAGTCCCTTTGGAACCTGGGGATTTCCCTTGTTGGAATCTGGGAGGTGGAGTAAGGGGAGAGGAGAGCCCCCAGAGTGGTCTCTCAGTTAAGGTCTAGCTAAAGCACCCGTGCAGAGATACGCGGAGAAATGAATGGGAGCCTCTACCTCAAACCTCAGGTAGGGGAATCCTCGGGTTCTCTTTGGAAAACAGAAATTAATTAATAAAGAATAGCATAGACTTGAAGGGCTTAGAACTTTTGTCTATCAAACTTGTGAATGAATTTTTTTAATTGAGGTATGATATACATAAAGTATACGGAACATAAATGTACAACTTGATGAATTCTTATCTGTGTAGAGACCTGCAAAATCACCACCCCTATCAAGATATCTAGTTTTTGAGCCTCCCAGGCTTCCTGATGCTCCTTTCCAGTCTCTACCCACCCCAGAGATAACCACTAGTCTGGTCCCCGTCACCAACATTAGCTTTCCCTCTTCTTGAACTTCATATAAGTGAGTGTACATAGTATGTTCTTTTTTGTGCCTGGCTTCTTTTACTCAACAAAATATCTGTGAGATTCATCCATGCTGTTGCAGGTAAAAATAGTCCATTCTTTTTTTTTTTTTTTTTTTTTTGAGATGGAATTTCGCTTTTGTCTCCCAGGCTGGAGTGCAATGGCATGACCTTGGCTCACTGCAACCTCTGTCTCCCAGGTTCAAGCAATTCTCCTGCCTCAGCCTCCCGAGTAGCTGGGATTACAGGCACACACCAGCACACTTGTTATTGTTTGAGACAGGGTCTCGCTCTGTGACCCAGGTTGGAGTGCAGTGGCATAGTCTCAGCTTACTGCAGCCTCAAGCTCCCAGAGTCAAGCAATTCTCTCATCTCAGCCTCCCGAGTAGCTGGAACTACATGCAAGCACCATCACACTCAGCTAATTTTTGTATTTTTAGTAGAGACAGGGTTTTGCCATGTTGGCCAGGCATGGTCTCGAACTCCTGACCTCAGGTGATCCACCCACCTCTGCCTCCCAAAATAGTGTGTTCTTTTTCCTTGCTGTGTGGTATTCCATGTATGAATATGCCACAAATTATTTATTCATTCTATCGTGGATAGATATTGACTTGTTTCCAGTCTGGGGCCATTAGGAATAAAGTTGGTGTGAACATTCTCATGCATGTTTTTCCATGGCCATAAGCCATCATTTCTTTAGAGTAAATACACAGCAGTGGAGTTGCTGACGCTCAGAAATGGTTTAACAGTGTGGTTAGATTATCTATAGAGCTGAGCTGATACGGAGTGGTCAGGAAGGCTTATTTCAAGTGCCCACTCCAACACTGTGTAACCTTGGGTAACTCACTTTCCCTTTCTGAGCCTTAGTATTCTTCACTAGTAAAATGGGTCTAAGAATCTATCTCTTGGCTGTGTGTGGTGGCTTGTGCCTGTAATAACAGCACTTTGGGAGGGCAAGTCAGGTGGATCACTTGAACCTAGGAGTTTGAGACCAGACTGGCAAACATGGCAAAACTCTGTCTGTACTAAAAATACAAAAGTTAGCTGGGTGTGATGGTGCTTGCATGTAGTTTCCAGCTACTTGGGAGGCTGAGGCGGGAGAATTGCTTGAGTCCAGGAGCTTGAGGCTGCAGTAAGCTGAGATTGTGCCACTGCACTCCAACCTGGGTCACAGAGCGAGACTCTGTGTCAAACAACAACAAAAAAGATTAATATCTCTCAGGTGATCAACAGGGGAGACAAGCCTTGTTGAGTGCCTTCGACAGTACCTGGCACACTTAAGAAAACGATAGTCCCTGTCTACTTTCCTTCTCCATTCATATTTCACTTGACCAAGCCCAGCCTCTCCTCAAGAAAAGGGTGGCTTAAAATCTATATCTGTGCTCATCACCCATAAGCTGGTGAGGCTCTGTAGGTGAGGAACCTCATGGTGAGGACCTTCAAAGCTGTCCCTGTGCTAGAACAATCAGCCCTCTGTGGTGGACGTGCATGGTTCATTCTGCCCAGAACAGTATTCCTCATCTTCCTAAATGCACGTGGTTCTGATGAGAGCTGCTAACCACTGGTGCCCCACCCCTGTTCCATACCCCAACTCCAGCCACAGTGATCAGCCCAGGATGGCTCACATGATGCAGGCCTGGCGAATTAGACCCTTTCCCTAGAATTTTCAAGCATGAGCTCAGAAGAGAGAGCCCTCTTCTGCCTGGCCAGAAAGTTTCCAGACGGATGTGTGTTCAGAACTGGTCATTGATCAGTTTCTCAACAACTCCGACCCGTCTACCTACAATGTGGAGAAAAATGGTGAGATGAGACTTCACACAGGGAAAAGCTGGGAAGTAGAGGAGAGAGAGGGAAAGAGGCAAAGCTTCTGACAGTTGTGTCTGTGGCTCCCGGTATTCTTTGCTGGCCTTCATCGTTATTTGGTTTCACGAGACAGTAAATCTCTCATTCTATTTAAGCTACCTTGAGTTAGATTTCTGTCAGCTGCTCCCATGACAGTTCTGACAAATATATCCTATACGGAGGGTTTAAACCAAAGCCCTCGCAGGTATTCTCCTCGCCTTTCTCAAGCTACAGGTGTAACAGCTCTCTGCTTATGAAGTAGAGGCCAGGGGTCACATATTAGGCACACAGCAGGTGTGCACCCAGCCCTGTTGTGGGCTCTGGGTGTATGGAAGGCAGGTGCATGGCCTGGGCACTGACCTTGAGCTTTGCTGCATCCGTGTACAATTTCTTATAACTGCTTTCTGATTTATGCTTCCTTCCTTGGCATGGTATTGATGAATGGAAGATTTGAAAGATTCTCTACAGCCATCTATTAACATGCCCTCAGGTAATTCAGGAAAGAAATGGTGTTCTGTTTTCAAGTGATTGAACTCCAGCCACATTTTATTTTCGGTAGCATGCCCAGATACCTAAGCAGCCACTCTGGCCTGAGCTTGGAAGTGGATGTGTTGGATGCAGGGAGATCAGCCCTGCTTGACTGCTGCCTTCCTAGGTGGTCCCTGAAAACTATAAAATTGTGTTACTAGCAGTTTTAATCCAGGGCAGGTGAGGAGCGCGAGAGGGAGTCAGACACATTGACTCTGACGCTAAGGCCCAAATAGGATTGAGGAAGGAGGGTTCTGTTCATTCCTGCTCTGGTCACCAAGGGACACCCTAATGGATGATTAGACCAGCTGCCTGGCATGGCTCCTGTGAGAGGGCTGCCCGGACACCAGCTGTTATGGATTACATCACTTGGCTCCAATTATTTGCTTCTCCTGGTACTCATGCCCTTTGCTGTGTAACTTTGCCACCATTATGTCACCTGGTGGGGTGATATACTCCATCTCTCGACTCTGGGTTTGCCATGTGACTGGCTTTGGCCAAGGAGATATTTGTGGGTAAAATACAACTGAGGCTTGAAAAGGTGCTTTCTTGAACCACTGACCTTGCCATGAGAATATGCCCAGTACAGCCTGTTGGTGGATGAGAGAACATGGAGCAGAGCCAAGTTTCTCAGTCCCGCTGGCCAAGGGTAGCTTGCAGCAGCCGATTGCTAGCCCACCTCCAGGCTCCAGGCATATGAGCAAACCTGGCTGGGATCAGAAGAACCATACAGCTAAGCCTCACCTAAATCACTGACCTACTGTGTAAATGTTCATGGTTTAAAGCCACTGAGTTTTGGGATGGTTTCTTAGATAGCATTATTGTGACAATAGATAGCAAATACAACAGCTCTAATGTAGAGATTGTCAAACCACACATTTGCAAACTAACCAGGTAGAAAAGAATGCTGAACTACTGAGAAAGCTGAGTTCATTATTTCCAGGAAACAGATTTTTGGAGAATTGCTTCTTAAGGCCTACAATAACTTAAGGTAGATGTTAAGCCATTTTCAGGTTGAGGAACATACTTACTTTAAGAAAAAAGATAAAATAAACTTGTAATTTGCTTATGGAGATAGCACTGAGAGTTACTAAATGGTTTAGAAAGAACTTTAGTTGTTAGTCATATGGAATATTTTTCTTGCCAACAGGTACAAACCCAGGCACAATTTTTCTTTTTTTATGAAAATTTTTTTGTTTCCTTTCATTTATTTACCTCCCTCTTTGAACACAGGTGCCCACTCTTTTAAGGCTGCTTGGGGTACCTCGCATAAAAAAGAAGGTAGTTAAGAAAACTAACTTAGGTTAAAATGTGGCAAACTTTTACACATTGGAACACTGGAACCAGAGTAGAATATAGAGCAAATGCTTCTTACAAAATCGTTTTGTTTTTTTCTTTTTTCTTTTCGATAAGGTCTAATTCTGTTGCCCAGGCTGGAATGCAATGGCACAATCATAGCTCTCTGCAGCCTAGAACTCCTGAGCTCAAGTGATCCTCCCACCCCAGCCTCCCAAGTAGCTAGGGCTACAGGCACATGCCATCATGCTTAGCTAGCTACTTTTTAAAATTTTTTGTAGAGATGGGGTCCTAAAATACTTGCAATAGTAAAGGAAAGGAAAAGTGGGCTTCAGGGGAACTGGAAAAAAATCTATGCTGGCCATGGTGGCATGTCCTTAAAGATTCATATTTAATCTAATAAACCCATGTGAAATTTGCCAGTGATTCTGCCTTGATGATGTCACCAGGAGCCTTGCAGAAGCAAACACAAATCTTTTCTGAGGAATATACTCTAAAGGCAGATCTCAAAGAATTTTCACAGATAAAATGCTGACAGGGCACAAGCTCACAGTTTAAAATCCCCAAACCCACAGGGAAACAAGCCACCATGAGTAAGAG
This sequence comes from Homo sapiens, assembly GCF_000001405.40. Classification (NCBI taxonomy): domain Eukaryota; kingdom Metazoa; phylum Chordata; class Mammalia; order Primates; family Hominidae; genus Homo; species Homo sapiens. The sequence continues at coordinate 40,313,712 of NC_000006.12, read as the reverse complement.
TAACAAAAAATGTTTAAAAAATAGGAAGCATTGTAATAGTTTGTTACCCAGCATATTAGGGTTATTTAGAGAAACAAAACCAAAAGGATATATATAGATATACAAGAGGAGATTTATTATGAGAATTGACTGATGTGATTGTGGAGGCCAAGGAGCCCTACAAAGACGTCTGCAAGCTGGAGAACCAGGAAGGAGGTAATGTAATTTACTACAAGGCTGAAGAACTCAGGATGGGGTGGGATGGGGAGGACGGGTGTTAGTCCTTGAGTCTAAAGAAGCAGAACCAGGAGCTCCAATGTCCATGAGCAGAAGATGGATGTCTCAGCTCATGAAGCAGGGGTAGCCTGGGGGGAGTTTGCCTTTCCTCCACCTTTTTGTTCTATTTTGGGCCTTCAATGGATTAAATGATGCCCCTGCAAAATGGTGAGGGCAGATCTTCTTTACTCCGTCTATAGATTCAAGGGCTAATCTATTCTGGAAACACCCTCACAGACACAGAAAGAAAGAATGTTTACCCGCTATCTGGGCAGCCCTTAACCCAGTCAAGTTGATGCATAAATTTAACCATCACACCGAAAGTAGTATGAAAGTAGTATGTTTTATATGTTTTAAAATTAAAAGGGGACTCAAAGTGTGTCAGATCTATGAAAAACAATAAAAATGGACTGGATAATTTGCAAAAGAACTAACTATAAGTTTTATAACAAAAAATAATTGATGTAATACACTCAATGAAAAGGAGAAATAATAGCTTTCTTGGTGAAGCAAAAATATGTGAGCTGGAAGATAGCTTGGAATTGGCCCCACTGCCTAGGAAACTGGTCCCTGGAATTCAGAGTCAGTCTGGAGGCTGAGTGTTGCTGGGAGGATGGCTGGCAGCTGGGCCCAGGCCAGCAGCGCCTTGTGACATGCAGGGAGATGGGCAGATGGAAAAGCACCAGCCATTCTTCTTTCTGTATCAGCGAGGGGCAGGTATTGTGGGGACAGAGAAGTTGGGAGAGGTCTGGCCTGGCAGATAGAGCCCAGCAATAAAATAAGGGTATGTCAGAGAAGATGACCCAGAATCACACCAGCAGACACAGCTGGTGTTCTGCTTATCTACTGCTATGTGAGAAGCCACCCCAAATCATAGGGGCTTAAAACAACAATAATCATTTATTTTGTTCAGGAATCTGCAGTTTGGGCAGGAGTTGGTGGGGACAGCTTGCCTCTGCTTTACATAGCATTAGCTGAGTGACTCAACTTGGGGCTGGAAGATCACGTTCAAAGTGACTCACTTGACTGCCAAGTCATTGCTGGCTGTCAGCTTGGAACTTGATGGGCCCTCAGTTTATCTCCACATGGGTCTCTCCAAAGGCTAACTGGGCTTCCTCACAACATAGCGGCCAAGTTCCCAAAGAGAAAGGCAGGAGTGCATGACACTTGTATTAGCGTCAGAAGCTACATTTTGTCACTCTGGCTACATTTTCTGGGAAAGGCAGTCACAAAGATCTGTCCAGATTCAGAGAGGGAGTGTGAACGTTCTAAAGATCTTGCTGTACCATCTTTGGAAAACACAATTTGCTAAAGGTGATGCCAATCCAGGATCAAGTGATGGTTGGAGACCTAGATAAGTAGTCAATCAAGCTGTCATCCCTGAGCTGGGAATCAGTGGCAGAATTACAGTCCCTACTCAGGGGAGCTGACGAAGAGCAAGGCCAAGGCTGAAAGTCGGGTTTTTAGCAGATGGTATAACACAGTGGTCAAGACCAGAGACTCAGGGCCAGAGAGCCTGTGTTTGAATCCTGGCTTCACCAATTAATAGTTTATAATCTTGGGCAAGAAACTTAAAACTCTCTTTGCCTCAGTTACCCCATCTATTAAATGCGATAACAACCATACCTATCCTATAGAGTTATTGTAAGAATTTGGCAAGTTACTATAGGTAAAGAGCTCAGAACAATGCCTGGCTTGTGGCAAGGGCTGTGGGAGGGTAAACTAATATTGTTAATAGGCTCCTAATCCTTTCCTATGAAATAACCTAATAAGGGACCAAGTTGCCAAATGGTGTATCAGAGCTCAGAAGCGAGACAACCTTCCAGTCGTGGGAACTGGTACACACAGTCTAACCCCTCCAAAGCCTGCCTACCTCCCATCATCATGGATCCTGGCACCAACATTAGGGCAGGCGGAGCCCCTCCCTGGGGTGGGAGGGGGTCTGAAGAGAGAAAGGAGGTAGGGCCTGACCAGGAATCCTTGTTGAAATGAGGGCGGTGTCCTTGGAGCAGAGTGATTTGCCACACAGCTCTGGCCTGGAGGTCCTGCCAGGCTTAGAGGCAATACCAAGTCCAAACACTATAAAATTATCTGCGATGTTGTTTGAGCAGTAAAAGTGGTGAAGAGACCTGAGGCTACTTAGATACAGAACAACTGTTTTCTCCTTAATGAGCCACCATACACAGCGTTTAATTAAAACTGCAGGAGCATCCTGAGAACTTGGACCGAGGAGCGTGGAAGTTATGGTGGCAGTCATCGTGTGTCAGGGCTGGGGTGACTCCCTGAGACTGGACACAGTCACATCCTCCTCCCTGAACTCCTTTCATGTAGATCCCATGTCTACTACCATGTCTCCTGGTTCCCGGTGAACTGTCTTAATCCTTTTCCCTCTCGCCATCATTCAAGAGCACCCGGTGAATAGTCACACTCCACTAGCTTCAAATATTTACGGGCAACATAGAAAAATTACTTTAGTTTCCTGAGCCTCAGCTTCCCCATCTGGAAAGTGAGGATAAGGATTCCTTCTTCATGGAGCTGTTGCGGAGATCAAATAAGATACACGCAGGAGTGGCCTGACTTTCACCCACTTACACCCCTGGCATTCCTGACCAGAAGGATTGAAACCAATCTTGATGCACTGATCTTGATTCCTGACCAGAAGGATTGAAATCGATCTTGATCCGCTGATCTTGACTCCTGACCAGGAGGATTGAAACAAATCTTGATCCACTGATCTTGACTCCTGACCAGGAGGATTGAAACCAATCTGGATCCACTGATCTTGATTCCTGACCAGAAGGATTGAAACCAATCTTGATGCACTGATCTTGATTCCTGACCAGAAGGATTGAAATCGATCTTGATCCGCTGATCTTGACTCCTGACCAGGAGAATTGAAACAAATCTTGATCCACTGATCTTGATTCCTGACCAGGAGGATTGAAACCGATCTTGATCCACTGATCTTAATTCCTGACCAGGAGGATTGAAACCGATTTTGCATTTGTTATCCAAGCCATGTCCTGTGAGATGCTCCTTGGATAAGTGGTTCCAAATTCAGATAGGTTTGGGAAATGTTGTGCCCTGCATATACCCCTCCCCACTGGGGGCTGCCATGCACATGGTCATTTTAAAGAGTCTAAGAAGTCCTGATAGAAAAAATTCTGCTTTGCTGAACCCAGTGTTTTCTGAAATTTCTCACCATGGAAACTTTATTTTATGTGTATTTTTCTTTATTTGTTTCACCCATTAGCATCATTGGGACCATCTCTGGAAAACACAGGGGTGGCATAAATCACATGTGCAAAGTTGTGCCATCTCTCTGAACTCATTTCTCATCTAAAAATGAGGATAATCAATGCCCACCTTGCAGGGTGCCATGAAGATCAGAGGTAGTGAACACAAAACACCCAGCCCAGGGCCTGGCAATCAGTGGGAGGGCAACATGCATGGACACTGGGATGAGGCAGGGAGGACGCAGATGCAAGGAATGACACCATGGGATGCAGATGCTAAAGGCGAGGACCAAGGGCAGGGTCTTGACCACCAAGGGCAAGACCACCACAGGCCGGTGGGGGCCAAACCAGCAGATTTGAGACCTGGAGTCTGATATAGTTTGGATGTGTGTCCCCTCCAAATCTCATGTTGAAAAGTGATGGGACCTAGTGGGAGGTGTTTGGGTCATAGGGGAGGATCCATTATGAATGGCTTGGTGTCATCCTTGCAGTAATGAATGAGTTCCCACTTTATTAGTTCACTCCAAGAGCTGGTTGTCAAAAGGAGGCTGGCACCTCCTCCCCTCTGTCTTGCTCCCTCTCTCTCCATGTGACACACCTGCTCCTCCTTTGCCTTCTGCCATGAGTAAAAGCTTCCTGAGACCTCACCAGAAGCTGAGCAGATGCCTGTGCCATTCTTGTACAGCCTGCAGAACCATGAGCTAAATAAATCTCCTTTATTTATAAATTACCAAGCTTCAGGTGTTCCTTTAGTAATGCAAAACAGACTAACACAGGGTCCTTACATCTCCCAGACGAGCATGGGGATTGTTCCCAGTATTACAGGCAAACTCAGTCTGCGGGAGAGGGATCTGTGGCCTTGCCAGGAGCTGGGAGGACTGCTGGGCACAGGGAGAGATTGAGGAGTCATTTACCAACCCCTTCACTTCACAAATATTTATTGAACACTTGCTAACTGTGAGGTAATCCTAGCTACACAGGATACATCAGTGAAAAAAAACACAGCTCCTGCTTTCCTGGAGCTTACACGAACAACAAATAAGCAAACTAATAATATTTTAGATGATAAGTGCTACAAAAAATAAGGCAGGGTTAAGGAGAGTGGTGGTGCTATTTTACACAGGGTGGTCAGGGAAAAGCCCTTTTGAGGAGGTGATGTGAGCAGAAAGTGGCAAGAGGTAAGTGATTACACTCATGACCCATCATCATTATCATCACATCATCACCATTATCATCACATCATCACCATCACCATCATCATCAAACCTCCTCCATCATCCCTTGGAGTAAGTGCCTCTCAGGACAGGCTTTCCCAGGGTGTAGTTCCAACAATGACCACGAGGTGGAGGAGTGACTCTAACCCCGTCCAGGGGCTGGGCGTTGGTTGACTATCTCAAGCCCCCAGCCCTAGATCCTGTCAAGGTTGAGAGTCGTCTCAGGCCATCTGCAGCCATAGGAATCCCATGTAGTTGGGTTGCCAGCTTGACTGTGTGCGGGGGCTTTGGCTCTTTGCCACCAGTGAGGTGCGAGGAAGGGGAGGGAGAGCCACAAGGAACATCTGGAGAAGCCGAGCCAGGGAAGGGCACACAGCCCCCTGCACAGGGTCCAGGGGTCCTGGGGCTGCGGTGGGCGTGGCCACCAAGAGAGCGGCTCCAGGCCAGGCTTGTTCTGTCGGTGACTGAAGGGTCTTTAAGGCATTCTTCTGCCTTCAGCTACGGGAAGCAGGTGAGGAAGCAGAATTGGAGAAGGAGTGAGGGGGTTGAATAGCCAGGCTGGAGTGAGGAACAGCCTATCTTCGTGTGTTTTACGCCTTGCTGGCACTCCTATAAATTTGTCTTAATGTTGGGAGAGGGCAGCTGTGAGCCTGCTGCCTGCCCCCTCTGGAGAGAAGGGGACCCTCTCGGGCTGCCGCCCCTGTTATCCCCTGGAAGCTGGCTACAGGACCAGCGTCCAGGAGATAACAGCCCAGACCCCCTGTTTGGGGTCTTTTCTGAAAAGGGCCAAGCCTGGCTTGCTCTGCTTCGCAGCCTCATCTTGAAGATTGATTATCTTCCCTGGCTCCTTCCAGCAAGGCGGAATGGTGGGGTTTCTAATTTCGCTGGCGTTTTGCTCCTTGATATCATGTGAACAGATGCTGTAAGGTTTTCTCTGAAGACTCTTAGGTAGGGAGGGAGGGAGAGCCTCCTGGTGAGGTTCTTTGACTCTGTCCGGGAGGAGGAAATCCATTTCTCATTGCTCTGTGATTTCACACTAATCTGCGAATGCATGCACTGATGACTTAGGGTGTGGTTCTACCCCTGCCCCGACTTTCCTCTTCTGCAAATGGGGTGAATAATGCTTACCTTGTGGAGTCATCTGCATGACTCAGTAGCTTAGCACTTGTAACACAGCACCTGGGACCAAATCAGGGCTCTATAAATCGTAACTACTTTCATGTGTAGGAAGTGCAGGTCCTTCTTCATACGTCTATAATATTGTGTATTCCACAGAACAATCCCATTTGGTGCCTTTCTTTTTTCTTATTTTATTAATTTTTTTCACGTAAAATATCTGAAAACAATCTTCATCACAACAGAGCCAAGCACTGTATCAATACTGGAAGGAAAATAGGAATGTCTCACCCCCTCATAAACACACAGACACACACACACACACACACCCTAGAGTTAACTACTGGTATAAGTTTGGTATTTATCTTTCCAGACTTTTGTTTCACCAATACAGTTCTTGGGGCTGTAAAGCTTAGTTCCATGTCAGTGAGCATTAGGTGGAGATAACCCTCTGAAGAAGCTTATTGGGGAGTGTGTAGACACAACTCTTTCTCTTGGCACCACTTAGTTCCATATCAACCTCAATGTGTGAATTGCAAATGAGCTTTACTTTAAAAGGCCCTCAAAGTGGCTTGGCAACACTTTATAAAACATTGGTATTAATTCCTAGAAGGTCAAAGAGGCGTACGTGTGTGATTCTCTAACTCACTTTTCTACTGAATGACTGTGGCCTCCATTCCCAGTTCGGATTAGGGGATGTGGCTGCAGAGCCACTGAACATGATTTGCTTCCTGCCAAACAGAGAGGATGTGCTGGCTGCATGCAGGTGGAGTCAACCCCGAGTGCTGGGTTTTGAGCTCTGTGTGAGCAGGGAAGAAAGTGCCCTGTAAACTCTAGGGACTAGAGTCCTGGCCACAGAATCACAGAAGTGGGCCCTCCATCCCCTCTCCACTTGCCACCTTCACTTTCCTCAAGCCTCCCAGGGGCTGGAAGCACAGCACATGCTGAGCATGCCCTGTTGAGCGTCTGTAGGGCGTTCTTCACCAGGCTGCATGACTCATGTACACTCTCTCACACGTCTCTCATGTGCATCTCATGCCAGCTTGAGGAGGTGGGTACCATGATTAATATTCGCCTTTCATGGATGGAGAAACCGAGCTTGGAGAAGCAATGTGTTTACCCAGGAACTTACAGCTAAAATGCAGCAGTACTGGGACAGGAGCCTGCTTGGTTGAAATCCCAGTTTCAACAGTGGGACTTGTTCTTGTCCTCTGTTTTCTTTTACTTCTTCAGTTGATCCTTTTATTTTTTCATCCATAAGTAATATGTCAGTATATACTGATTATATGTAAAATAAAAATGCCACTCCTCTTCAACTCCCATTGGTCCAACCCTCTCTGCTTAAGTGACCACCATTATTTGTTGAGTGTATCCTTCCAGATCTTTTCTGTACACATAGAAATACACACAGAGTTGCTATTTTAAAAATATAAAAGGAATCACACTATACAAATACTTCTGCGACTTTTTTCTTAACAATGTGTTTCTTTCCAGATTCATATATCTGGACCTATTTCCTTTTTTAAATGGCTGCACAGTGTTCCATAGTATGCCCATACCATGATTTCACTAGAACCTTATTGATGTTTGATTTACTCAATGTAAACTAAAATAATAGTACCTGCCACATAGGATTATTGTTAAACAAGATGATGCATGGAAATTGCTTAGAATTAAGCCTGACATATAGTAAGTGCACATGCACACACATACATGCACACACATCATATACCTATTGGCTTTCATAATCTTTATCAACATCATCATCAATATTATTGATAGATGTTAATATTGTTCCCAGTTTTTTCCATTCTAAACAATGCTAGTGTGAAGATTTTTCTGCTGATATTTTGTATGTATGTGTGTTTGTCTATGAAATAGATTCCTGGAATGCTGGGGGACAGGAGGTTGAAGGGTGGGAGGAGAGAAGAGAGAGGTCAAGGTGTTCTTTTCCTGCTCCAGCCCCATGCCTCTGGTATTGGCATTGTTCTAAAACTACAGCTCCCATGGGGTGGCCCCTCTTTCAACTTCTACCTCTTTAGCCCCTTCTGCCTCTTTAGCCATAGGAGAGGTAACAGCTTCCTGCTGCTGCCAGCCTTGGGCACTTCATCATCCCTTGCCTATTCCTTTAACTCTGTGCATTTCTTTACAAGCTGATGCTTTATTTAATTGCCATCATTTGAACCATCAGGGTGTAAATTCTGTGTTCTGCCTGGGTCTTGGCTGAAACATTAGCCTTTTTATTTTTCTATAAATTGCCTGTTCATATTCTTCACTTATTTTCTATAGACTTGCCTTTATAATTATTTATAAAAACCCTACATTACAAATGTCAATATTTTGTTAAATATAGTATAAATGTTTTATCTGAGTCTTTATCTGCATGCAGCTTTATCTGCGTGCAGCTTCTCTTCTCTCAGCTTGACTTCAGCGTCTTTTCACTGTCCTTTGCTGGAGCCTCCACCTTGGCCCTTCCTCCAATGCTGGGTGCAGTTCCGAGACCCTCTATTCTTCCCTACCTGTACCTTCCTTTGATTCAATGATTTTAACAACCCCCTACCTGCTGCTGCTCCCCAAATTTATATCTCTAGCCCTGGCTTCTTCAGTGGTCTCCAGATTCCAATATAGAACCATCCACTTGCCATCATTGCTTGGATGTCCAATGACATCTCAGACTTAGCATGTCCCAAAGCAGAAATCTTGATTTCCCCACCCTAGACCTGTACTTCTCCTTGTCCTCCCAGTCTCTATATGGCATTGCCTTCCACCCATTGCTCAAGTCCCCCAAACTAGGAGTCATTCCACTTTTTCCTTGTCCTTCACATTTCACATCCAAATGAAAAATAAATCATGTTGGCTCCAATTCAAAAGATAACTCAAATCTGTTCTCATATCTACATCTCCACAGCCTCTGCCCCACTCCACACTGCCACCATTGCTTGTGTGACCGATTGTAGCAGCTTCCTAACTAGCTTCCTGCCTCTTCTCTTATGCATCCAGGATGAGGTTTGGTTTTACCATGAATTGTATCAGTCATTCTCCTGCTAAAATGCCCCAGTGACTACCCATCAAACTTAAAATGGTGCCTGTTTTATCAGAGTTCATGAGCCTCACTCCATGTCCAACCCCCTGTCCTTGGAGTCAGCCATTGGCCTTCACTCCATTCCCCGGCCATGCTGACCCATGACCCTGCTGCAGAGTATGGCACCTGCTGTCTCCTTCGTGCCTGAGATGTCGTGCCCTGGGTCATGCCATGGCTGCATCCTTCTTGTCACTCCGTCTTAGGCCAAAGCCTCCCTCATCAGTACAGTATTCCTGTTCACCTGATCTAGACGACATGTCTCTCATGCTTGCTACCATATCACACTCTTAGTTTCTTCAAAGTAATGATCACTACCAGAAATTACATTGTTCATTGTTGTGTGGGGAGGCTGAGGGCCTGGATTCTGGAGCCCAAGCACCTGGGTACAAATCTCAGCTTCGCTATTTGTGGCTATGGGACCTCCAGTGACCTATCTGGTCTGTCTGTGTCCTACTTTCCACATTTGTGAGATGGGGATGATGTCAATCAGGGGTCGGCACACAATGGCCCATGAGCCAAATCCAGCCCGATGCCTGTTTTGTTCTACCCTCAAGTTAAGAAAGGTTTTTACATTTTTAATTGGTTGGAAAATCAAAAGAAAAATACTTTGTGACACATGAAAATTAAATTTCATGGTGCCCATAAAGTTTTACTGGGGCACAGCCATGCCCGTTCATTTACGTTTTGTCTACAGCTGCTTTCACACTGCAATGGCGGAGGTGAGCAGTGGTGACAGAGATTATATGGCCCACAAAGCCTAAAATATGCACTATCTGGTTCTTTACAGAAAATGTTTGCTGACCTCTGATAGAAAAACCTGTCATCTACAGCTGATATAAGTGGATAAATCTATGTAGAGTTCTTAGAACAGTGCCTGATATATATGCATGTAGAGATATATAGATGGATAGAGATATATGTGCATATCAGCAACATGCACTGTTGTTACTTAATATCTGCCTCCCCTTTACCGCCCACCCGCTAGCACATTCTAGGATGATGGAAAGGCTCTCTATCTGTACGGTCCAGTGCACTAGCCACTTGTGCCTATCAAGCCCTCGAAATGTGATTAACGTGACCGAGGAACTGCATTTGTAATTATAGTTATTATAATTAATTTTAATTGAATTTAAAATGCCACATGTGGCTAGTGGCTATCATATTGGACAGGGCCCTGAGAACATCCATGCTTGGCATATGGTAAGAGCTCAATTAATGGCAGCTACACTCATTTCCTCCCTCTTCCCCTTCTCCCAGCCTCTGTTCTCCCTCTCCTCTCTCCTCTCATGGCCCTGGGCTTTTTCTTTCCTCTTTGCATCACTTTCTGTTTCGGGATCACCCCTCCTTTCCCTGCTTCTGTCCCCATCCCTACCCCACCCCCACCTAGCAGGCCCCTTACTCAGTGCCTTTTGACATCCACACCTCATCCTCAGCCGACTTAGCTGTCACTGTAAATCAGCCCCAATCATTCGCCATCTGGTCCCAGCCCTTAGCACAGAGCAGAGGGAGCCAGGTGGATTATGGCTGGAGGTGGGTGGGGTAACCAGGCCCCTGGGGTGGCAGCCAGAGATGCTCCATAATTTCCAAGGCTGGCATGGCACTCATGCTGCGCCTGATGCCAGTAGTTTGTGCCAGGCCTGAATGGACTGCCAGTCACAGAGAAGCCTGGGCCTGGAGGGTGGAGAGTGGCCCCAGGCCTGGCTGCAGGTGCTGCAAGTGGGCGGCAGATGGATGGTGTGGAGGCGGCAAGGAGAGGGCTGCTGGGTAGCGTCTCCCTCCCGGGAGCATGATGTTAGGGACTTAGGGCCTCATTACCATCACTGCGGCTGTGCAGCCTTCATCAGCTACAGGAGAGGCATTAGGGCAGCCTTCTTGAAGAGTGAAGTTCCCATCTAGCCACAGCCTGTGCTAGGCCACTTTGCAGCCACCAGCCCTCCCCTCACACAGAGCTCATTGGCAACAGGGTACCAATGCTGCCAAAATCCTTGGGGACAGGCCTGAGGCCATAGCAGGAAGGTGCCAGGTTAGACATGAGCGAGGGGAGACAAGGGTATAGAGCTCAGACAGGACATCTGAATAAATTGTGATAAATGAATGAATGAATGAGTACTAAGCCATCCCAATTTTTTTTTTTTTTTGAGAAAGCAATTATAACAACTAAGGAAACTCGCATTTCAGACTTAGCTTGGCCTCTCACAACTAGCTGTGAGTTGCTGGATGAGTGACAGTCCTTTATCTGGAAAATGAAGGGATTGGTTGTATTGGGGGTTCTTAACTGGAGACAGGAGGTGTTTAGAAATGTATGGGGGCACTTTTGTTTGTCATAGTGACTAGGAGGTATGATGGGCATTGAGTGGGTGGGACCAGGGATGCCAACATACTGCAAAGGGCTATTGTCCCACACAAGGAAATTCATTCCAACCAATGCTGATAGCACCCCATTGGGATGGTCCCTTCTAATTCCTCCAGCTGGGACAGTCCTTGTGTCTGTGGTAATCACTGTTGGAGCTCCACTCGCATGCCCCTGGTCTCACCATTGTAGCCACTCTCAGGTTAACTCTCCTTGGGCACTGCCTGCATGTCTGTGCCTGGGGCCTTTTTCTGGCAATTGAATCCTGTTCTGCCTGCCATGTGGCATCCAGAACACTGGGGGATTACAGCCCCTGGGCGCAGCCCTCAACCAACAGCTGATGGAGTTGGTGTATAAGTGCCCCAGCTCCCTGTTGCTTCAGGGTCCACTCTGAGGCATGTCCCACATGGTCTTCCAAAGGCCTGCAGTGGGACTGAGCCACAGTTGCTCACAGTGGAACCTAGGATAGGACTCCAGTGCGGAAGATTCCTGCCCTTCCTTGCCTTGCTTCCCACCTCCCCCATCTTCACTCAAATCCTTGACTCAGAGTCAGTTTTTCAGGGAGTTCAGACTAAGATGGTGACCATGAATGACAGCTGGGCCATCTGGTAAGACTGGGAAGATGTGCCTCTTCCTGCCTGGGGAAATTGGAGAGGCACTGAATGACAGGTAGGCACTGTGAACCTAACCAAATTGGGATGGGTGGAGGCTAGGTCAGGACATGCAGACAGCAGGAACTCCTGGCTGCTGACTTCCCAGTGTCCCACACAGACACAGGGCAGCTGCGGGAGCCTTGGATTCCATTTCTCTCCTTGGCACCCTTCTGCAGGCCCATCACCCAGTGAAATTGCCCACTGGCCAGGAGAGGGAAACAAACACATCAAAATACATCATTCTCATTATGCATGGCACTCAGCACTGATGAAATCAGATAATGCCTGCTTCACCTGCAAGAGAGACTTCTTTCAAAGGAGAGATTAGTGGAGGGAATAAAATGGGAAAGCTCCTGATTGTTTTCCATCCCTCTTCATCCATCTGGTCTCAGCGGAGAAGCCCAACATTCACCCTAAACGGTCCCAAAGACCAGGGCCACTCAGGCCAGCCATGAGTTAGGAACAACAAAGAATGTGTAGTGTGAGCAGGGGCAGAAGTCAGCTCCTCTACAAAGGAAAAAGAAAATGAGGCTATGTCTGTGTGGCAGACTGCTGGCTGCCCACTGCCCATCCCTCACCCCACTGTCCTCATTCTGCCCTCTTCCTTAGATATGCTGCTTTATGACTATTCTGGCCAATACATTGTAGTGGAAGTTCACTGGAGTGTTCCTGGAGACAGCTTTGGCTGACCTGATAAAGGTGCTCCCCTGCCCCCACCTCCACCATGCTTCCACCTTCTTTCTGCTGGAAGTGTATATATGATGGCTGGAACTGCAGCAGCCATGCTGCACTCACAAGGGAAAGACTAACAATCTCAGATTTTGGTATTGACATCCTTGAACCTCTGCCAGCAGCTGCCTATTTCTATATTTCTTCTTATAGGAGAAAAATAAGCCTCTCTTTTGTGGGCAGTGGAGTTGGGTATTCTGATGGTTGCTGCTGAGCACAGTCCTTGCTGGCTGTGCTTTCTTGTTCTGTTACGACTGCATTGTGAATCTGACACTCATGTGCCCTACCTCACAGCCTCTCAGCCGAACCTTTCATTGTGGCCATTGCTGCAGAATCAGCCACATGCGGTGTCCTCTCACAGCACCCTGCCTCAGCAGCACCACTTCTCTCTACACCTCGGCAGTGACTGCCCCCAGGAAGCTGCACAGCCAGCTATACAGACATAGGCACAACGCCAGAGGTGCGAGGATGTCAGCACCCCAATGGCAGGGGGCAACCATTGCCCAATGGTGGCCAGAAACCGAAGGATAAATGGTCCCCTCTTTCCCCTCTGGAGTGGACCCTTCTGAAGCCCTCAGCAAGCCCATCATGTGATGGAACCTGCACTGCTCACAGCAGAACCCAGCTTGGTAGGGCACGCTTGTGCTGGCTTACTCTCCTTCCTACTTCATTCTTCCAGCCCCTATTTCTGTCCCCTCCCAAAATATACTATCTGCATCTAAAATGGTGTTTCAGACTTTTCAGACTTTTGGTGGGGAACCCAGACTAGGACAGCTTAGGTTTCTGGGTGACCTTGGACAGCCTGCTCACTGTCTCTGGGCTTCAGTCTTCCCTCCTGCACAGTAGGTAGACATTGGACCACATGCTATCTGCGGTCCTTCCCTTGTCATCCCTGTGCCCTATACTTGCCTCTCTATGTCAGTGTGTCAGCTCCACTGCAGGATCCCCTGGGGCAGGGTCCACACCTGCCTCAGCCTGTCTGGGAGACCCAGTCCCAGATCACACATACAGTCAGTGGAGGAGGGAAGAGAACAGTCAGAAGAAAGCGTTAATTACTAAGTGAAGCAAGCAAGCAAACCTCAGGCTGGAAGCTAAATCATGTGAAGGGAGAGAGGATGGAGGTTGCCAGGCAGGCGCTGAGCCCATTAAATGGGAATGGTCCGGAGTGGAGTGCCAGCCAGGGCAGGGATCAAGCACACAGCAGGGTGTTAATTAGCTGCTGTGGCTTTGGTCACAGGTCACTGAGAGCAGAAAATGCTCAGTCCTGCCAGGGCATTGCAGAGGGAGCGAGGGTGAGGGCAGGGAGAGCTGAAGACGGTTGAGGCCTGGCATAGGCTGGAGGCACAGGGCAGGCCACTGTGGCTGGTACTGAGCTCTCCGATCCTCTGAAAGCCACCCCTGTCTCCCAAGCCCTGCCCAGAGAAAAGTCAACAAGCCTTCCCTGAGCCCACCTGTGCCAGGCTATGCAACAGAGGGGACGCAGCCCCTGACCTCATGGAGGGTACTATCTAATGTGGAAAGAGCTTCTAGGTAGGAAAAGCAGGAGGCCTGGTGAGCACTCATAAGGGATGGAGCTACAAGAAAGGTTTCCAGGAAGAAGTGTCTTCTTTGTTGAAACCTGGGAGAAGTGGTCCAGTAAAACCATATGGGGATGCTGGAGAGAGGGAAGGGCATGCCAGGACAGGAAAGCTTATGCAAAGGCCAGGAGGCAAGAGAGAGTATGGCAGGTTTGGGAGCTGCAAGTCATCCTGGAAAACTCTCCCTCAGCCAATTGCAGAAGCCACTGCTCCCTGGGGCATCTACCTCTGGAGGGCTCCCCCTATGGCCATGGCTCCCACCTTGCCTGAGGCCTCCAGGGTACCAGATTTGAGCAGCACAGGGAGTGGCCCAAGTAGGTGCTTAGATCCTGGGCCTCCAGTTTAGGATTCCATTCAAGATGAGACCAAAAGGGAGGCTCTCAGGTTAACTTTCTTTTTTTTTTTTTTTTTTTTTTTTTGAGATGGAGTCTCACTCTGTCACCCAGGCTGGAGTGCAGTGGTGCGATCTTGGCTCACTGCAAGCACTGCTTCCCAGGTTCACGCCATTCTCCTGCCTCAGCCTCCCGAGTAGCTGGGACTACAGGCACCTGCCACCATGCCCGGCTAATTTTTTTTTTTTTTTGTATTTTTAGTAGAGACAGGGTTTCACTGTATTAGTCAGGGTGGTCTCAATCTCCTGACCTCGTGATCTGCCCGCCTCAGCCTCCCAAAGTGCTGGGATTACAGGTGTGAGCCACCGCACCCAGCCTTTAGGTTACCTTTCCACAGGTCAAGTGGCAATGAAGGTATGTCATTCATTCATTCAACAAACACTAAACACCTACTGTATGACAGCCTCCTTGCTGGGTGCAAGAGACACAAAGATAAATAAGCCTTGTCAGGTCCTTGCCCTCCCTGAGTCCCCAGCAATAAGAAGATAGACATATATACAGATAATTACAGAAAACCCAAGATAAATAACAGTCACTGACGAAACACAGAAGGTTATTACTACTTCATATTAATCAATTTCAGAAGTAGGCAGCCTGCGGCTGGTATGGCAGCTCAATACTCATCTGAGACCCATGTGCCTATCTTGTTTCTCCACCTTCCTCAGCACATAGCTTCTACTGTGTGATCCAAGATGGATGCTGGAGCACCAGCCATCTCATCCACATTCCAGCCAGCAAAATGAGAAATGAAGGAAATGAGAAAGAAAAGGACATTCTTCTCTTTAAAGACACTTCCTAAGTGTCCTTAACACTTTTCTAACTTTAGCTTATGTCCTATTGGCTAGAATTTAGTCAGAGGACCACACCCACCTGCAAGATAGAATGGGATTATAGACTTTATTTCAGGAGTTCATGAGCCCAGTTAAAAATTGAGGGATACTTTCACCAAGGAAGATGGAAGAAAGAGAGATTGAGGACATCTAGCAGTCTCTGCCACAAATCAGAACACTTCATGGCCAAGGATGGCAGAATCCTGAGCTAGGAATTTCCATTACTGCATTTGTTTTGGGCCAAGGGGGCTCTGTTAGATGGCCTCCATCACAGAATCTCAGATTCTTGTTAGGGACTAGAAGACTGGGTCCTTAAAGGGATGACATCTCAAAGCTGACTCCCTTGACCGATCTTTCTCCCTTTTTCCTTCTCAACTGATACTTCTCAAAAAAACTTTTGCATTCCCAATTCCACTTTAGCTTCTACTTCCCAGAGAGTACAACCAGCTGGGGGTTGGGGTGGGAGGCAGCCGACGCTGTAGGTCCTTCATTGTTGTATTAGTCTGTTCTCAGACTGCTAATAAAGACATACCTGAGACTGGGTAATTTATAAAGGAAAGAGGTTTAATGACTCACAGTTCCACATGACTGGGGAGGCCTTATAATCATGGCAGAATGCAAAGATACGTCTTACATGGCAGCAAGCAAGAGAACATGTACAGGGGAACTGCCCTTTATAAACTCATCAGATCTCATGAGACCTATTCACTATCACAAGGACAGCACAGGAAGAACCCGCCCCCATGATTCAATTACTTCCCACCGGGTTCCTCCCATGACACGTGAGAATTATAGGAGCTATAATTCAAGATGAGATTTGGGTGGGGACACAGAGCCACACCATGTTGTTCTATCCCTGGCCCCTCCCAAATCTCAAGTTCTCACATTTCAAAAGCAATTATGCCTTCCCAGCAGTCCCCCAAAGTCTTAACTCATTTCAGGATTAACTCAAAAGTCCACAGTCCAAAGTCTCATCTGAGACAAGGCAAGTTCCTTCTGAATATGAGCCTGTAAAATCAAAAGCAAGTTAGTTACTTCCTAGATACAATGGGGATGCAGACATTGAGTAAATACACCCATTCCCAATGGGAGCAATTGGCCAAAATGAAGGGGCTACAGACCCCATGCAAGTCCCAAATCCAGTGGAGCAGTCAAATCTTAAAGTTCCAAAATGATCTCCTTTGACTCCATGTCTCACATCCAGGTCACGCTGATGCTCCCACGGCTTTGGGCAGCTCCACCTCTGTGGATTTGCAGGGTACAGCCCCCCCACCCCCAGCCCACCCCGGCTGCTTTCATGGGCTGGTGTTGAGTGTCTGCGGCTTTTCCAGGTGCACGATGTAAGCTGTCGGTGGATCTAACATTCTAGGGTCTGGAGGACAGTGACCCTCTTCTCACAGCTCCACTAGGCAGTGCCCCAGTGGGGACTCAGTGTGGGGGCTTCCACCCCACATTTCCCTTCTACACTGCCTTGGTGGAAGCTCTCCATGAGGGTTCTGCCCTGGCTGCCAACTTTTGCCTGGACATCCACGCATTTCCACATATCCTCTGAAATCTAAGTGGAGGTTCCCAAACCTTAATTCTTGACTTCTGTGCATCCTCAGGCTCAACATCAGATGTAAGCTGTCAAGGCTTGGGACTTGCATCCTTTGAAGCCACAGCCTGAGCTTTACCTGGGCCCCTTTTAGCCACAGCTGGAGTGGCTGGGATGCAGGGTACCAAGTCCCTAGGCTGCACACAGCAGGGGGGCCCAGGACTCAGCCCAGGAAACCACTTTTCCCTCCTAGGCCTCTGAGCCTGGGGCCCGTGATGGAAGGGACTGCCGTGAAGGTCTCTGACATGGCCTGGAGACATTTTCCCCATTGTCTTGCTGATTAATATTGGCTCCTCATTACTTATTAAAATTTCTGCAGCTGGCCTGAATTTATCCCCAGAAAATGGGTTTCTCTTTTCCATGGCATTGTCAGGCTGCAGATTTTCCAAATTTTTATGCTGTTCTTCCTCTTGAACAGTTTGCCACTTCGAAATTTCTTCTGCCAGATACCCTAAATCATCTTTTTTAAGTTCAAAGTTCCACAGATCTCTAGGGTGGGGCAAAATGCCACCAGTTTCTTTGTGTGGCAAGAGTGACCTTTACTCCAGTTCCTAATGAGTTCCTCATCTCCACCTGAGACCACCTCAGCCTGGACTTTATTGTTCATATCACTGTTAGCATTTTGGTCAAAGCCATTCAACAAACCTCTAGGAAGTTGCAAACTTTCCCACATCTTCCTATCTTCTTCTGAGCCCTTCAAACTGTTCCAGCCTCTGCCTGTTACCCAGTTCCAAAGTTGCTTCCACATTTTGGGTATCTTTACAGCAGCACTGCTCTCTACTGGTACCAATTTACTGTATTAGTCTGTTCTCACACTGCTGATAAAGACATACCTGAGACTGGGTAATTTATAAAGGAAAGAGGTTTAATGACTCAAAGTTCCACATGGCTGGGGAGGCCTCACAGTCATGGCAGGAGGCCAAGGAGTAGCAAAGGCATGTCTTATATGGCAGCAGGCCAGAGAGTGGGTGCAGGAGCTCCACCCTTTATAAAGCCATCAGATCTCATAAGACTTTTTCACTATCATGAGAACAGAATGGGAAAAACCCACCCCCATGATTTAATTACCTCCCACCAGGTCCCTCCCACAACACGTGGGGATTATGAGAGTCACAATTCAATATAGGATTTGGGTGGGGACACAGCCAAACCATATCAATTGTATAATCTCCTCATCTCTGCCCCTCCCTTCAGTCCCTGCTTCAACCAGCCTTGTGCAGATGCAACCCAACAGAACTCACCTCTGCCTGTGCCCTGCCTCTCTCACTTCCTGCCCAGGGTTTCTCTGATACCAATTCATTCCCATTGGTACCTGTTTCATGCTCAGGCACCTGTAACCAGGAAGTGCAGGTCACCCGTGGCCAATAGGAGGTGACAGCCAAGGGGTAACTTTTTCTCCCTTTCATCCCCTTGGGCACATGGTGCTGAGACATATTACACAAAGCTCCAGAGAGGTCCCAGAGAGATCACACACCAGTTGCCTGCAGGAATGGCCAATCTGATAATGCAAGCTTGGATGGGCTTTCCTGCCTTCCCTGTTTAGTTTTCCTTCTACTCCCCTCCTGTTCCCTGAGATCACTTCCCAGCTAAATGCCACCAGGAGGTAGCCTCTGTTTCAGACTCTACTTATAGGGCAACTCCAGACCAGGATGTGTAGGAGGCTTTTCTCTCTTTCTGTTTTATTTCCCCTCACAGATAAGAAACTATCCTAGGAGCACTTGACTGAGCTCAGAAAACCCAGCTTCAGGTCTGATTCTGCTGCTTCTCAGCTATGAGCCCTTGGGCTCAGCCTCTCTGTGCTCCATTTGTCTCCTCTGTAAGTTGGGAGTAGGTATGCTTACTTGGGCCCTTCTGGGGCCCGTTACTGGGGAACCCTGAGGATGGGGCTGTTTCTCCCCTCAGACTGGGGCTCCTAGAGGATGGAGCTGTGTCTCCCTCAGACTGGGCCCTCTCTTACGTGTGCACCTTCAGGGACACCACCCTCATGGTGTCCCATATGAATGATGCCCCTTGGAGTCAAGCAACATGTGACCCTGGGTACACCACAGAGGGTTAAATGAGTAGCTAGGTGCCTCTACCATGCAGCTTGGTATACAGTAGAAGCTCAATGGAGTTTAATTCACTTCCTTCTGCCATCAGTTTGGGGACCTCCTGAGACTAAGGGATCTGTCTTTCTCATCAGACTGAAAGCTTGTTGAGAGCAAGGGCTGTGTCACCTCTATCAGATGGAGAGTGTTCTGAGAGCAGGAGCAGTGTCCTTCTGCCATCAAGCTGGGAGCTCCACCATCACCCTGTGAACTGCTCAGAGCAGGAATCACCTCTGCCTCTTACAGGAGGCTTGCTGAGACCAGAAGCTTTCTTTCCTGTATCAAACTGGGGCTTCCCGAGGACGGGACTGTCTGCTCTCAGACTGGGGCTCCCTAAGGACAGGGCTGTGTCTCCCTCAGACTGGGACCACCCAAGGCCGGGGCTGTGTCTCCCCTCAGACTGGGGCTCCCTGAGTAAGGGGTATGATTCCCCTCAGACTGGGGATCCCTGAGGATGGGACTGCGTCTCCCTTCAGACTGGGGCTCCCTGAGTACAGGTGTTGTGAACTTCTCTATTCCTGTCTCCAGCAGGTGTCCCATTCTGGCTCCCGACCCGCCTGGCCATGCTGCAGTCCCTTTCTGCCCTGGATGATCACACCGCCGTCTTCCTGTTCAGCACGCCTCTCTCCTGGCATCTGCCTCCCACTGCTGTGGCTGAATCAGGGCCTGCTCCTCCCTGCTTGCTTTGCTCTCCCCACCAATGCCTGTGTGTATTAGGATGAACATGTTGTATTATGCTAACTGCTGGCTTACCCTTTGGTGATTAAAAGGAACATCACACTGCAGGCAGAGTAATCCTAATTACAAGGTAGAAACCACTGCTTTTTTACTAAGAGACAAACGGGGACGTTTTATATCTTTTCCAAGTGCAACGGAGGATGTGCAAAGCTGTCACAGGCTTCTAGGGAGCTGGGGTGGGTGGGGCTTCCCTGAGGACTGTGTCAGGAGACCTCTGGTCTCTCCATCCCCCGTAGGCTGACAGAGTAGCCTGGGGAGGAGAATGACCTTTGCAGGAGGGAAATGAAATCCCTCTGCAGGTCAGGTTCATTAACAAATATCACTGATCCACAACTACAACCCTTCTCCCTGGGAAAGCACAGAGGCTTCAGCAGGAACAGCATCAGGCTGGGGACAGGAACATGGGGGAGCTCACAGAGCCCCAGCCACTGCAGCCACCCTGCCCACCCCTCCCAAGGGCTCACTCCTGCAGGTCAGACTGTCCCCCACAATCCAAGGACCCCACCTATCATCAGAGATGCAAGAGCCTTCTGGGACCCAGAGTTCATGCCCTGGGGTTTTCCATGACTCAGTGCTACTATCTGTGTTCATTTGCTCTTTCCCTCTCTCACTTCCTTCCTCCCCTCCCTCCTTTCATCAATTATCATGCACCAACTTTGTGACAGTGCTTAGCTCTGGGGAAATCACAGTGAAGAAGGATAGACAGGATCCGAACCTCATGGGACTTTTATTCTAATAGAGGAGACAGCTATTAAATGATTACACAGAATATCAGTCAGTGTGATTATGGTGGGTGTTACAAGGAAAAAGGACAGGATGCTTTACCTCATCTGAGGTTAAACTCTTATGCCAACAAGCTAGAAGTTACTATGTACCTGGAGTTGTTTCCATTCATCCATTCATTCACTACTTCCTCAGCACCTGCAATTTGCCAAGTACTGTCACCTGCATGGCGAGGCAGCCAACAGAATCCTTGCCTCAAGGGGCTCACATTCTAGACCAGAAGACAGACAACGGACACATTTAAACAGTAAGTGGTTAGGCTCACACTCAGCCAGGCATTGTGCTGTTTCATATGCTTTACAGACATTATTCCTTATAACAATTGTGGGAAACATTATTATATTCAACCTACAGGTGAGGAAACCGTAACCTCCAGGAGAGCAAAAACAGTTTTTGGAATCTCTGTGTTGCCCAGAGTGGTTAGAATAAAGAAAATATTAAATTCTGGTAGTTGAGAAAGAAGAGTGACCCTTCCTGGGGGCAGCCAGTCACCACTACCGTGCTGGTTCCATGTCCACCTTCTCTGGCGGCACTGCTCCCTAAGGCAAGGCCTGACACACCATTGCTGAGCAGATGAAGGAGGAAAGCACCGCGGGACCGCACAGCTTCCTAAGCCCACATGCATTTCCAGGCTCGACAGAGGCACATTTCTTTCCTTGATAGCGACAGTTTCCCGAGGCCTTCAGGGGAAATCATTTTCTATGTAATGATTTCATTTTACATATGTCTATTGACTTTTCTTCATGTTCCATTGGCAATTTTCAATACCTAACCTGCAGAACAGCCCAGTTACACCAATTCCAAGAAAACAAGGACATACATATTCAGACATATTCATCGCCATCACCTCCCTGCTCCCCAAGCAGGGGTGCCGCTGTAGCCTGTCAGGGCTCAACCTCTGAGGCAAGCATCTCTTTACAGGTGAGGTATTTGGGCCCTTCCTTCTCCTGCCTCCACACCCTGCCTTGTGGCAGTTCCTTGTTCTCAAGTCCCCCAGTCAGGCAGGATGGACATAAGACTTAACTCACCGATGTCTGTTGTACTGCTCAAAGCCAGGGGTGGGTAAGGGGCCAGGCAAGTGAAGCCATCCAGTCAGGTGAGGTCTTTGTCTCATCTTTGAACTTAAATCATGCACATTCAGGCCTGACAACATGTGTTCTGTGTTGGGATTGAGGATATGCATGAAATGAGTCTACAGGGGCTGATCTGCATGCCCAGGGACAAGGGGTAGAGGGGACATCACCACTTGTTCCAGGTATTTCAGATCTTTCATTGCTTACCACTCTGGGTCTAGTTGTTTTGATTTCTAAGCCAGAAGTGAGGATCTCTGTTCTCTTCTGTCATTTAGGAGGTTGGGGTTTCCATACTGAACACTGCCAGAGCCTCACCCATATCTCCTCAGTTGCACACCAGCCAACTTCAAATGCCTCCTTGCACCTGAGTGGTTTTTTTGTTTATTTTTATTATCTATATATTTTTTGAGGGCTTTCCTTGTCCTCTAAATCCTTCATTGCCTGTTCATGGCAGGCTGGAATTGCTGAGGAACTATCAGCCCAAGAGCAGCTCTCAACCCGTGATTGATGGGGCTTGGTGTAGAAATACCCCAGCTCTCTCACCCCTAAGAGGCATATAAAACCAAGGTGCATGCTCTGCCCTGGCTCCTAGTCCTGGCAAGCAGGATTAAGCTCTAGTTGTCAATCTGTTTTCTAATGCACCCTGTATTGGCTTCATTCTTTTCTCTATCCCACTTCCCCTCTCCCTTTCCCGTGTTTCCCGAGATCCCCCAAATAAGCTACTGGTGCTCAAGTCCTTAACTCAGACCTCTTAAGATTGAAGACAGGGGCATCATTGTTAAATGTGTAGATTCAAATTCTATTTGTGCCTCTTAGACCTTGGACTGCTTACTTAAGCTCTCTTTGTTTCAGTGTCTTCACTTGTAAAATGGGTATAAAGACAGGCATTACCCCATAGAGTCATTATGAAGACTAATGAGTGACTACATGGAAAGCCTTACAATAGCACCTGGCACGTGGTGAATGCTCAAATGTTATTAAC
The DNA here is from genome assembly GCF_000001405.40 of Homo sapiens. Classification (NCBI taxonomy): domain Eukaryota; kingdom Metazoa; phylum Chordata; class Mammalia; order Primates; family Hominidae; genus Homo; species Homo sapiens. Next base: position 40,291,021 of record NC_000006.12, on the reverse strand, counting down.
CATGAGCCCTGCTACAGTTTCAGGGGCATTTTCAGCCTCCACCCTATGTGTGCTATTAACTGTTCCTGGACAGGCTGTGGCAAGTATTTACTGAATTGAATTCTTGTCCTGGCTCTGACCCAGGGATTCCTGACCCTGGCTCTTCATCCATCCTGGCAGCATGTTTTATCACTGAATGTGCATCCCTAGACCCTGGTGCCCGGTTTCCAGCCTAGGCTGGCACCTGCCCCATAATGAGCTGCTTTTTGTTGTTGTTTAAATCAATGATTGTTGCTAGGCAGGGTCTCCTGAGACAATTTTCAGGAGACTCTGCGCTCTAAAGAAACCTGTCCAAGCCAGGGGTGACATCTTCATATCACACACAGCCTACTCTCTGGCTTCTTTTCGTTTCACCCTGGGCATAGGTACCAATAAGAGGCCCAGGGCAGCCTCCCTTAAGACTGCAATTTCTAATTAGCCTTTGCTCTGTGAAAAGAGTAAACTTCTACAAGAATGTTAGTCTCTAACAAAAACAATTAATCTTGCTGGGGTTGGTGATGGGGCCAGTGGAGCCTCTCAGTCCTCCTTGATGAAGGCAGCACAATAGAAAAAAAGGACTGGAAGGAAGTGGACCAGGAATCCAATCCCAGTCTGTTACTAACTCCGTCAGTGACTTCGGAAAAGGTCCATCCTCTCTCTGGGCCTTGATGTCCTCATTGATGAAATTAGGACCTTTTTTTTGAGACAGGGTCTCGTTCTGTCACCCAGGCTGGTATACAGTCATGTGATCACAGCTCACTGCATCCTGAACTTCCTGGACTCAAGCAATCCTCGTACCTCAGCCTCCCAAGTAGCTGGGACCACAGGTGCACACCACCATGCTGGGCTAATTGTTTATTTTAATTTTTGGTAGAGACAGAGGTCTCTCTATGTTGCTCAGGCTGGTCTCAAGCTCCTGGGCTAAAGTGATTAGTCTACTTGAGCTCTCATAACAAATTTGCCAGAGACTGGGTGGCTTAAATGGTAGACATTAATTTTCTAACAGTTCTGTTCCTTGGATTTCCTGTCTCGGCCTCCCAAAGTGTTGGGATGACAGGCACAAGCCACCACACCCAGCCAACGTGAGAGTTTCAACAGCCATTCCCTTCTCTGATTCCAGGGAGAACTCATCAAAGATTGCAGCACGGGGAACAGATATTTACTACCTGCTATGTGCTAGAGCATTTTCTCCAATGAACTAATTCTGCACTATGACCCTGTTATATGATGATTAACTCCTGTTTTATAGATGGAGACATCAAATTTTGGAGAAATCACATAACTTGCGTAATGTCACAGAGTTGGCAATGATGGAGCTGGGGAGTCAGCCTTTCCATTGTAATAGGCTTTCTCCCCTGTTACCACTGGCCAGGTGGGAAGAGAATCTTTATTCTCTCCTGGAAACTCCCTCAAGGGGTCCCTAAGAATGAACATGGGTAGCAGGAAGAAGTGTGCATGTTTGTGTAAGTGTGCACACATAAGTGTGTTTGTACATGTGCATGCACGTTTGTGTGTGCATTTGTGATTGTGTGTGCATGCATGACCGTGTTTGTATACATGCACATGAACATGTGTGAGTGTGCCTATTTACATGTGTGTTTATGTGTATGTACCTGTTTGTGTCTGCTTATGTGGGTCAAGATGTGTGTGTGTGTGTGTATGCACATGTGTGGTATCTGATCAATGTTTAGTTCTCTGAGACTAACTTGACAGCAGGCATCCCATGTCTGACTCTCCTCTTGTTTTTCCTTTCTTTCTTCCCCTACTCCTTCCTTCCAGTTTATGGGCAGGACCACCTGAATTGGTTTTCTTTTGCAAGGAAAACAAAGCCTGCTTTTACCTGCTGGAAGATCCATAACAATTAACCAGATCTGCCAGGGGAAAGAAAAACCTGGGACCCGCTGAGATGGCTTTAGCAAAGGCAGGATGTTCTCCAGAGGTGGGCACTGGTTAAAAATTCAGAAGGAGCATTGGCATGTGATATGAGGCGCAGTCTTTTGCTAAAGAGATTTAATGGCCCACAATTCAATTTGAACTGAAAGAATCCCCCCAATGACTCCTTATAAAGTCTTCCTGAGCCCTGAATCGATATCTATGGGGCTGGTGAGGAGCAACTATCGATTAGCTGTCTCTGCCAATGAGCATTACAAGCCAAGGAGGTTGGAGGGGCGCCTTGTGCACCATTACACGAGCAGCACCTAATAAAATTGGTACCTATTGACTGGCTGCAGTGCCATGTAGGCCAGGAAAAAGGGTGGCCAATGCAGGGCCTGATCACTAATCAAATTCCCTGGGAACCCATTAGAACAAATGAATTGAGTCCTCTCTCCTACCTGTGGACATATAATAGGGGACCCCGAAGCCATATTTCCAATAATTTCAAGCCAGAAGATCCTGAGGGTAAAGCCAGAGTTTCATTGTGTTCTAACCAGTTTAGATCACAAAAGAAAACAGAGAAATTACTGCATTACCAACCACAATTTGCTTATGGCACTTATTTGACCTCAGCTGTCCAAGAATATGACAAGGATTCTAGTATAAGAAAAAATGGCTTCTGGGCATTTACAAAGTCCTCATGATAATGTCTATGCATTAAAATCCTAAAAAAGTCTATTTAAGGAAGAACAATTCAGACTGTCACTCAGAACCTATTAACTCTTGCTTTATATACAATACTAGTGAACTTGATTTTTCTGGTCTGACATAACACTTTAGTACTAGTAAATAATGGGTAAGATTGAAGTAGGTAAGGGATGGCTCTGCTAATGGTAGCAACCCTGTCAGCAGCAAGAGGTAATAACTGGCAGAGCTAAGGCAAAGAAACTGTAAAACGAGGGTGAGAGGGCACTGAAATTTGGAACTTTTTCAGGCAAGGGCAAACAGTTTTAGGCTCTTGGGTCTCTGTATTAGTCTACTTGGGTGCCATAACAAAGTGCCAGAGACTGGTTGGCTTAAACAATAGACATTTATTTTCTTACAGTTCTGGTTCTTGGAAGTCCAGAAGCTAGCAGAGTTGATGTATTAGTCAGGGTTCCTTAGAGGGACATAACTAATAGGATAGATGTATATATAAAGGGGAATTTATTAAGGAGTAATAGGTCCCACAATAGGCCATCTGCAAACTGAGGAGCAAGGAAGCCAGTCCAAGTCCCAAAGCTGAAGAACTTGGAGTCTGATGTTCGAGGGCAGGAAGCATCCAGCACAGGAGAAAGATGTAGCCTGGGAGGCTAAGCCAGTCTGGTCTTTTCATATTCTTCTGCCTGCATTTATTCTGGCAATGCTGGTAGCTGATTAGATTGTGCCCAGACAGATTAAGGGTGGGTCTGCCTTTCCAGTCCACTGAGTCATATGTTAATCTCCTTTGGCAACACCCTCACAGACGCATCAGGAACAATACTTTTCATCCTTTAATCCAATCAAGTTGACACTCAGTGTTAATCATCACAGTTGGTTTCTGGCAAGGGACCTCTTCCTAGCTTGCAGACATTGACCTCTCACCCTATCGGCCTCTCTTCTGTGCATACACATTACACGTGCACACACACACCTGAGCTCTGGTATCTTCCTCTCTTATAAGGGCATCAGTCCTATCAGATTAGGGTCCCATCCTTATGATCTCACTTAACTATCTCCTTAAAGGCCCAAATACAGTCACATTGGGGGTTAGGGCTGCAACATACGATTTTAAGGGGACACAACTCAGGTCCATAACAGCCCCCAAGGTGTGCAGTGCCCAGCATGATACAACAATTCCTGCTTATGAAGTGTTATCAAGAGCAGTTTTAAAATCATGTGTAGTTCTGGTTAAGATGGTAGAGAAATAGGAGATGCATTTTATAAAGATTTCCCTTCAAAAAGAAGAGATGATTTGCCAAAACCCTGGTTTTTAAGGGAGAAATCTCCAATTACTTAAAAAGAGTGTCGCTCTTATGGAACAGTTCTAACTATCTCCATCAGGATCCTGACAGCTGTTAAGAGATGTCACCCTCCAATGAGGATCATCTGAGGAGAGTTTAATAAAGGGGTTATTTACAAAGGTGGAGGTGGATTGGGAAACCACAAGAGGGGGCTGCTGTAGTCCAGGCTGATGGGGGTGGGTTGGAACACCCCTCAGCCTGAAGCCCGGGTCCCTAAGACTCTGAGACAGAGTAGAGGGTTACTAGAAAAGAACTGGAATCTTAGATCTAGGAAGACAGCCGACCTGCAGACCACAGGGAGCCCTCAGAAAGATGGGAAAGTAACTCACTTCACTCCTTCCCACCAATCTCTTTCAGGGGTTCCCTATGTGCTAAATCAACCAGAAGTCAGACATCGAGGGAGTCCTTGGATTGAGGGCATGGTTCCAGCCTGCTGGGGCAGACGACAGGTTGGAGAAGGGTGGTAATACACAGGGGACACTGAACAGAAGTTGTCCCGTTGCCTTAGCTTTTACAAGGTGCAGCTGGCTGTGTGACAGGTGACCTTGTCTAGCCACTGTGAGCTGAGTGAAGGTACTGGGAGTAGTCAGCTCCTCTCCTCAACCCCCTCCTCCCAGCTCTTGCCCTGTTTGATTCTCTTACGTTCCCCACAGCAGAGGACAGCTCACCTGAAGTGTTTCCCCAGCTCCAACCCTCTGTGTCCCGCCATCAAACACACAGACGCACGCCCACATCTTCAAAAAGAAGAGAAGCCCGCTTCACACCAAAAGGTGTTTCAGAATAGAGCCTCATCATTGATTCAAGCCCCGCCCAACCTAAGAGACTCCTGAGCTGCTGCTGCCACCGGTGCTGAAAAGAACAGAAGCGGCTTCCCCACACCTGCACGGGCTGATTTGCACCAAACCGCTCTAATTAGCACATTCCATGCTCTGATTAGGCTTCCAGGGGAAGCATGCCAAATGCCATTAATTATGGATGTGATCTTAAATTATTCACTTGAAATGTTTTTTTCCTTGATATGCCCCTTTCATTTCCCACTAACTTTTTGTCACATCCAAGAATAGATCCAATTAAGCCTCAAGAAGCGGAAGTTGGTTATGTTAAAGAAAAGATAAACTGAAAATGAATCACTTTTTTTTTCGTCCCAGTCATGGTGTTGGTGGAAAATCTGGAAGCGACCAGAAAAGAAAAAGGGATATGGTGTTCATCCCTACCTCTTCTTTCTGTGGATCTTGGTGCGTTTTGGCTCGTCAATGCCACCTTGATCATTTCTGATGGGACCCTGGATGGTGATTTATTGGGCTGGCTCCCCAGAAGCAGATCCTGAGCTGAGAATTCATGTGCAAATGACTTATTCAGAAAGCTGGAAAGGGGTGGAGGAACCAGGACAGCAAAGGAGAGAAAGCCAGGTGAGGCATGAGTTTAGACACTATCCCAACCTCAATCTGATCCTGCCAGGAATTCAGGGGTTCAGTTTACACCTCAGCATTTGCCAGGCAAAGGAGTTGGGCTTTCAGACTCTGGCACTAGACAGTCACTGTTTGCAGACTGCTGGAAGAGGTGTAAATTCCCAGGCATCTTCCTACTGACTGCAAGTGTGGAACAAGGAGTTCCAGGAACCCACAGGCAGGTCGTTAATGAGATTTCCAGGTGTGGGTCATTAGAAACAGAGTAGAAGCTGGAGGCTAAGTACACAGAACTACTAGAGAGATCCAAAGGGATCTGAGTCAAGGAACCATAGTCTCCATTAAAGGGGGCTTAGCGGGGTCACAGGCGGCAGAATAAAAAGTAGAGATCAATTTCTTTTCAAGCCCCCAAAGATCAGCACGCCTGTCCTATGGTCTGCCACTCAGATGCTCTAAGCATCCCTGGGGACCCAGCACTGTGTCCTGTGCTGTGGTGGAGACAGAGACAAATCCTGCTGTACTTTCACTCTAGTGCCAGAAACTAGCCTACATCAATGGGAATAAAAATTTGAGGATGTTGAGTTAAATACAGAGCTGTGAGGCTGAGATGTAATTGCTAGAAGAGTTCATAGATGTGAAGAGTTTCCTGGGAGACTCAGAACTTGAGCTGGATGCAAGAAGATGGGAAGGATAATGAAGAATTTCTTACTTACATGTAGTATTTCATACCGTACAGAAAATACTCTCCCATCTATTTTCTCATTTGTGCTTTGAAACAAGACCCTCAGGTGATATGATATCCCCATTCTTATAAATGAGAAAAATTGAGACTCAGAAAGGTTATGGCACAGACTTGTCCAAGTTGCCCAAGTACTTTATGATGAAGCCGTGCCTTGAGTTCACATCTTTTGATTCTAAGGCCTGTGTCCTTTCCACTATGCCATGTTATCTCCCCAGTGCATAGAACCTAGCAGAGCAGAAAGGAGAAGGAAGGGCGCTCTTGGTGGGGAAAACATCAGCAAAGTCTTGGAGGCTGAAATGCACATGTGAAGACTTTGAGGAAACTGACATGGTGTGATGAATATTTCTCTTGCGGCAGAGTTGGAGGTAAGTTGATTCCACCCCCTTGACCTGCCCCTACCCTGTCACAAAGGAATAAAATAGTTCCCCCGTAGAAGGAATCCAGGCCTTGAAGCAAACTCCAAGTGGTAGTGGCTGCCCATTCAGGCCTTTGTAGAGTAGGCAGAGTAGAGCAAGCCCAGGGAGGAGGCCTAGAGGGCCTATGGCCAAGCCCTGTAGGGGAAACAAGCAGGAGGCTGAGGTCAGAGGTGTATACGGAACAGGAGGACACTGCTGGTCAGAGACCAGGCCAGTGAAGCCTGCTACATGTGTTCCAAATAAGCCAGAGCCCAAGAGCAGGAATTTGCAGCCAGAGGTCCAGGGACAGTGCCGCTCCCAAGGCAGGGGCTATTTCCTGTCCCCTTGCAGCTTCAGAGTGGCATTGGGTAGAGGTGAGCTGTCAGTTCGGTTCAACAGACATTTATGAAGCATCTACTGCATACCAGACACTGGCCTAGCCATGAGGATTCAGAGAGGAGAGAATGAGTGCAGGTCCTCCCTTCAGGGTAGTGCACCCCATTTCCCAAGACAAGACACATACTTTGAGACTGTGGCATTTTAAAATCTGTCTGCATAATAGTTAATATTCTTCCCTTCATAAATTCCTTGAATGAGCCTAATTCCCTTGAATGTGGGCTGGACCTAGAGATTTTTTTGTAGTCCAGAGAAAGTGTGGTGGGTGTGACCATGTGTGACTTCCCAAGCTGGGTCATAAGGACATTACTGCTTCCATCTTCTTGTCTCTTGAATTGATCACGGTGGGGGAAGTCAGATAGTATGTTGTGAGGACACCCATGCCACCTTGGAAGAAGGTGACATGAGGGAGAACTGTGGCATCCCACCAATAGCCAGCATCAAGTGGCCAGCCATGTGAGGGAGCCACCTTGGAAAGGGCTCCTCCAGCCCAGATCAAACCTCAGGTGATCCACCCCTGCCCCACATCTCAACTGCAACCTCAGGACAGACCCCAAGCTAGAACCATCCAGCTAAGCTGCATCCAAAAGCCTGATCCAAAAACCAAGAGAGAAAATATTGATTGTTGTTTTCAGCCACTGAGTTTTAGAGTGATTCATTACACAGCAATAAATAACAAATACAATGGTGGTACGGAATACCAGCACCCCAGCGAAAATGGCCCTTCTTGGTTCCACCTAAGGCACATATTAGCACAATGTCACAATAAAAATAACAGAAAACTTGGCTCTAAAAGCTTTTGAAAATAATGGGCAGCTTTGCTAAAGGTTTTCTGGAGGTGAAAGGAATGAAGTGGGAATTACATTTCACAGCAGAGAGCAAAACTTCTTTAACATCCTTTTTACCCTCCTCTTCCTTCCAGAAAATGCTCTCCAGATGTGTCTGTTGTTTCCAGAACTTCCAGCCCAGCTGGTCTCTGTGGTCTCCCTAATGCTTCTACTGCTGCAGCTGTCCCAATGTCCTTTCCCAACCTGTCACCCAAGACCAGTACCACAGAGGTAACTCCCTAAGCAGCACAAACCCCTTGGAAGGTGGGGACGGCTGTGATCCTTTCCTAAGTTGGTCCTTGTCACAGCAATGAGAGCAGCAGTGGACAAACGGACAAGGTTAGTGAATGTTTCAGAGGAGAGTGTGTTTGGCCACTGAGGGCCACAGGAGTTTCCCAGAGGGACTAGCATGAAAGCTGAAATGTGAAATACTCCAGGAGGAGGGGAGAGTGTTCTACAGGTTGTACAAAGTCACTACCATGTAAGGGAGGGTGGCTTGAGGGAAAATGGTGCACAGTGGCTCCTGTACCTGAAGAGGAAACTCCAGCATTCGGGGGGCTCTGGCCAATCTGCCTGGCTTTGGAATTCTCAGAGCAACTTGAGCTCACCCTGACCCTGAATTGTACTTCCACAAAGAGCACAAACAGCTCTTTGAGGTTTCAGCTTGGTTGCTAATTAGTGGTGAAGTCTTTGCCAGCAAGCTCACCTCTCCGGGCTTCAGTTTATTCCCTTGTAATATAGGAGGGTATATAGGGGCATGGCTTTCAAACTGTAATTAACTTAAAAACTCCTGAAGAACTAGGCAAATGCTAATTCCTGGATCAACCCACCAGAAATTTGGGCCCTAAGAGCCAAGGCAAGGCCTGGAAATCTGAATTTTAATAAAGAAACCAGGTGCTTCTGCTGCAGGTGGCCCTCACATTTTACTAGCTCCTTAACTGTCTTGATGCTAGAATCGCCTGGGAAGTTATAAAGAGCATAGCTTCTGGAGCCTTCCCTGGAGACTCTGGTCAGTGAGCCAGCCTAGGGCTGTGGTTCTCAAAGTGTAGCCCCAGGAGCAGCAGCAGCAGCACTGGGGATTTGTGGGGCTATGCCCACACTAGACCTGCTGAATCTGAACCCCAGGGTTAACAAGCCCTCCAGGCAATTCTGATGCACGCTAAAGTAAGAGAACCTCTGGCTCAGAGTTTGTGTTGTTTAACAATTATGCAGGTGATTCTCAGCATCTTGAGGGGTTGGGAAACCTTGCAAGTATCAAGCATGCTCCCAGCTGCCGGTGCCTGAGGTTCTAGGAAGGCCTGGATTGTCCTCAACTTGCCTCTGAGCCTCCCCAGGAAAAGGTGTCTGGGAAACAGCCAGGATATCCTTTTTATAAGCAAGCAACATTCAGAAGAGCCGGGGACCAGGTGACTAAAATTTCTCATCCCAGCCTCACAACTTACAAACCCATTCACTCCTCCACGTCTAACCTCCCAGCATTCCCCTGAGAAGTGGAGGCCATGGAAAAACTTCCCAAACCCAGGATTTACAGAGAATGGGGCCAGGTCAACAGGGTCTACTTCTTTTCATTAATTCATTCCTTCCAGCTGACATCTCATTTTCTTGAAGGTGACCTGCGGAGGTTGGCTCCCTCCCCCACCAGCTCACCCCCTCCTTTCTCTCTCTGCCAGGCAAGATCACCCCTCTAAGAATAATAAGGAGATGAGAGCAGGCCGCTGGGCCTAGCTGTTATTGGAAGATGAACTGCTCCCTCTGCTCCTCCTTGTAATACGTAATTCCGGGGCAGACCCACCATCTCAAGGCTGCCACAGGGAAGAGAGGTTCCTGGCCTCCTGCTCCTGTGTTCCCCAAAGCTGTGGCTCACACAAATCCTCTCTCCGTGTCCTTTCCTCATAGGATGTCTAAAATTTCATCATCAATGCAGCTTTCCTTCCATCCTCTCACCTACACACACATACTTTATTGATTTATTAATGCATTCAACCTTTATTTACTGAGCACATTCTTGCTCTTGGTATTGTGCTAGGAATTGAGGATGCTTGCAGTTGCATGTCATCTGAAAAAATATTTTAAAGCTTAGCAGACAAAGCTTGACCCTAGAAGCTTCATCAGAGCTTCCAATAGTTGGTAAGGAGATCTTATAGGTAGAAGAGATGGGCCATAGGCTCTAGAGCCTGCACTGTTAAAGAAAACCTTTTAGATTGTTTTCAAACCAAACTTGAGTCTACCTGCCCAGCCTAGCAAGCTAAACACTGACATTGGGATCTTCAGAGAGAGAAAGTGAGGCACTTACTGCAGAGTGCCAAGCAAGGAGAATCAGACACACCTCATGCTTAAGACCCAAACTTCTCAATGGCTCACACGTAAGAGTTTGTTTGTTTTTCTTTTTGTTTTTTTGAGATGGAGTCTCACTCTGTTGCCAGGCTGGAGTGCAGTGGCACGATCTCAGCTCACTGCAGCCTCCACCTCACGGGTTCGAGTGATTCTCCTGCCTCAGCCTCCTGAGTATCTGGGACTACAGGCATGTGCCACCACGCCCAGCTAATTTTGCGTATTTTTAGTAGAGACGAGGTTTCACCATGTTGGCCAGGATGGTCTCGATCTCTTGACCTCGTTTTTCACCCGCCTTGGCCTCCCAAAGTGTTGGGATTACAGGTGTGAGCCACTGCACCCGGCCACCTGTAAGAGTTTTTAAAGGTGGGGCGGCAGAGGTTATAGGCAAAGTAATACATCAATACATGAAGATTATACTTTGGCTTTGGCTTGTCCCAAAATGGTGGGACATCTTACAGCAAAGGGCTTACAGGTTATAGGTGGATTCAGACATTCTTTAATTTGCAACTGGTTAAGGAAGCAAGGTTTTGCCTAAAACCTTGGGGTCATCAGAAAGGAATGTTATGGTTTGGCCTGTGAGCGTGACTGTCTCTAGGCTACTCAGGAAGAAATTTGTAAAAAGATTGGCAGTCGAAATTCAGTCCTCACTTCCCCCTTATCTGAAATCTACAAGACAGTGGTCAGTATGTTCCAACTGGTGGGGGTCCAGGTTTCTGAAGAACAACTCAGGGACACAGGTCAAGAAGTTATCTTTAGTTTCTATAGGGAACCAAATATCTTGTGGCTCTAACTTACTTGGGTGACAATTGTTTTAAGCTACCATTGCCTTCTTGCTTTTCAAGTTGTTCATTTACTTCTCAAGTCTAGCTAGGTGCCTGGGATTTTCCTTGAAGGAACTCAAGATTTTATTTCCATGCTTGGTGGGGTGGGCAGCAGGCCTCTAAGAGGGAACCCTGCTCTGTCTCAAAATGAGAGATGTCCTCGGGGAGCTTACGCTGGTATAGAGACATCAGGAAGGTCTGGGCCTTGAGGGATAGATGACATTATGCTAGGAAGAGATGAGGTCAGAGAGGATGTTTCCAGGTGGAGGAAGAACAAGTGCAAGGGTGGCAGAGAAGCGGGTGTGTTCGGGGAAGAGTGAGTGGCCCAGTATGGCTGTCTTCTTTCACATCCTCTCCAACCCTGGAGAAGCCAGCATTTGGGGGCTTCAAGATGACAGCTTTCCAAAAATAATTTATCTTCAGCTTTGGTGTGTGTCTGATAGTTTTTTGCTCAATGATTCACATTTTACTCAGGGTGATAGTAAAGTGAATTATTTCCCTGAGCACAGAGACTGGTGAAATTGAGTGTGTGTCTATGGAGCGGGGGAGGTGGTGGGTGGTAGGGAGGAGGCCTGGCTGAGTGAATCTGGCCTGGGATTAAGCATTTTCCCCAGATCTACCTTGAGCAAGACCAGGTGATAGAGCCTGGTGGGAGGTGGGGCTGGGTGGGGGATGGCTGTGTAGGGATGTTCCATCATTCTCTCTAGGACAGTTCAGAATCTGCAGTCCAGGCCACTCTTGTGGATTTCATGAGACAGTGAACATCTCTGGATTGCCTGTTACGTTATCCAACATCCTTTGTAAGAGCATCTCTGCAATAACTCCCTCTTGGAATGACAAATTGCTCTTTTTGAACTCTGAACAGAGACTACCCACCTTGCAGTAGAAATTTCATCTCTCCAGATAAGCTTGTTTGCCTCCTTTTATCTGCTACCACAAACTATATAACCTAACCATTGGCATCTTTGGAATTGCATCCTATACGTTTAATGTAGGTCTGTGTAATGGGCTACAGAAAACAGAATGGGCCCAGTGGAAATTTCCATTGAGGTTGTGAGTGATCATTCTTCCTGGAAAAATACTATTGGACAAGATGGTAAAAATAATTTTGTTTTCCTAGAATCTTAAACAGAAAAGTATTGTCAGAAAAAGCCCAGGGACTTCAATTTTTCCAGAAGGTTTGGAAGATCTTGAGGGTATTGACTCTTCTAGAAAGAAACATAAGATCTCCAGGACTGAGGATCCACGTTTGAGAGATGAATGAAGTCAGATCAATGTCCAGTTGAGAACCACAGGGGAAATGATGTGAATAGGCACCATTGCATCCAAGGTGGACCAGTGGTGAAAATGTGAGGTGCATGTGTCTGGAGACTGAGGACAGAGGGGCTACCCACCTGAGGAATGGGGGGCAACCCTTTTCACATACAGGTATTGGGCATTGCTGGTTCTGGCTCTAAGAGACCAACCAACCTCCCCCAAATCAGAACTCTTAACTACAATATATTTTCATTATTGCCTGGACTACCAAGACATTCAGGAGTAAAACTAGTGTTCAGCTAGTGACTAGACATTCCGTGTTCCCTATGTGTCTATTTCTTTGTAGTTCTTTTTTGGTCTTTTTTTTTTTTTTTTTTTTTTTTTTTTTTGAGATTGTGCTAAAAAACAGAGGCAATATATAATAGTAAAATAGAATAGTTTTTCAAAATCAACTTCTATCCTCAAATAGTGACTTTTCTTGAAGCTCTGGAGAAGAAAGGCACTCCCCATAGAATTAGTAAGAGGGACTTTGTCCCCATGCGCAGTGTGTGTGTGGCTCTCCTCACCTTCAGGTGCCCTCATACTTGTCCTTACAGGGGCCTCTAATATGCATATATCCCAAACACTTCTAGCTCCTCCACATTTCTCAGGCTCTATCCCACCCAAGTCCATCAATCTGTCTATCTGTCCATTCATCCATCCATCCACCTCTTCCTCCCTCCACCCACCGACTCTACTGCACTCTCTTAACAAACATTCAGTGCTTTTCTTCTGAGCCAGGAATAGGGTTATAAAGATAACTGGGAATTGGTGCCTGCCTTCCAACAGCCTTTGCATGTAGTAATGGAGAAGATTTACCAATAGGTACCTTCAAGAGGTGTTAGAACAGCTAAAGGAGTAGTCAGTACAAGGTTCAGAGGAGGAGGTGAGAGCATGGGCTTTGGGCCCAGGCTACCTGAGTTTCAAATTCTGACTCTACCACTAACAGCTGTGTGACCTTGGGTAAACTACTTAACATCTCTGTGTCTAAGTCTTCTCATTGGTAACATGGTGCCCTGTTGTGCCTACCTCAGAAGGTGGTTATTCTGCTTATCTATTGCTGCATAAAGCCAGCCATTTTATTATATTTCACGCTGTCCTGGGTCAGTCGCTCAGGCTAGGTCTGCCACTCAGTGCATCTGCTCCACATTCTGTCAGCTGTTGTCACTCGATGGTGTTCAGCTGGCCTGGAGGGTCCCAAAAGGCTTCACTCACACATCTGGCATCTCAACTGGGGTGACTGAAAGGCTGGGTCCAGCTGGGATGGTCAACTAGAGTGCTCACAGGGCTTTTATTTATTTATTTATTTATTTTGAGATGGCGTCTTGTTCTGTCGCCCAGGCTGGAGTGCGGTGGTGCGATCTCGGCTTACTACAATCTCCACCTCCCAGGTTAAAGCAATTCTCCTGCCTCAACCTCCTGAGTAGCTGGAATTACAGGTGCCTGCCACCACACCTGGATAATTTTTGTATTTTTAGTAGACACGGGGTTTCGCCATGTTGGCCAGGGTGGTCTTGAACTCCTGACCTTGCAATTTGCCTGCCTCGGCCTCCCAAAGTGCTGGAATTACAGGCGTGAGCCACCCTGCCTGGCCGACAGGCTTTTTATGTAGTATCCCAGGGCTCCCAAAGAGAGCATGCCAGGAGATGGGAGTGGCAACATCTTTTAAGGCGTGGGCCAAAGCATCATTCCTGCCACATTCTACTGGTCAAAGCAGACCCAGAGCTTGCTTGGATTCAAGGCGAGATGACTGAGACCCCCACCTCTCCATGGCAGGAGTATAAAGAATTTGTGGCCATTCTTGAAGCCACCACAGGTAAAGATTAAATGAGTTAATACATAAAAAGTAGAGCAGTGACTGGGAGGGCAGGATTCCAAGTAAATGGTGGTGTTTGCACATATGACTTGTGGGCAATTTTATGAGAGTCATGGTCTTTGCTAATCAAGGTAGACGCTCAGACTAATCAATATATGTAAAACACATAACTGACTAGTAATTAACGAGACACTTATACTCTCCAGGGACATCCCAGAACAACCTGGTGGGAGGCAGAGGGCAAGATGTCATTCGGAGGCCTCTTCCCTGCCTTAGGACATGCAGAGTCCACTTGGAGTGGCTACTTCTTTGGTGCCCTGGGCTCACAGATCCCTGAATGCACAGATGAGCAGAGACGGCTTTCAGCTGCCTGTCTGAGATCCCCCTCCCAGAGCCCATTGCCTAATTGGAAAGGGCCATTTCAACATCTTTGCAGAAAATGGAGTTTTTCTTTCCATGATGTTGTGATTTGACTGGGAGTTAGCAAAGCATCAGTAGAATCCTAAATGACTACTTAAAAAAATCAAGCCTTCATCTCAGCCTGGTGCGGGGCTCCCGCTCTCCCTTTGTGGCTAGGAAGATAAAACGCTTTCATGCGTGTCCTCCCGCCTGTGAACACAGGCTGGTTAAATATTTCTGGTAATGGCTTGTCTGTGCCAAGGATTTTATCTTTTCCCAGGAACAGTTCCTGCCTTAAAAGGGCTTCCACAGGGCAGAGCCATAACGCATATGCAGAACGCAGGCTAAGGAAGTCTTCGGGGAGGAAAGAGTATCTCAGAGGGGCAGGTGCAGCCACAGCGTGGGCCCGCGTGCCTGGTGCTAAGCTGGGCCCATTACGCGTACATCACATGATTTAATTCTCACTAAATTGCAAGCTGGGATGGGGCGGGGGGACGTGAGGGTTATTTTTTTAATCTCTTTTTGTAGTTGGAAAATCCTGGAGCCCAGAAAGGTGAAGCAAACTGCCTGAGGTCAAGCTCATAATGTGAAGTGGAGCTGCAATGTCTACTCAAGAGTGTCTGACATCTGCACTTTTTACTCTGCCAGGGTAAGCATGGGGGTCTTTCCACCCCTGTCATTGCATTTTACGCTGTTACTAACTTTTGTAAGGCCCCAAGCCTCAGGGCGTCCCCACTCTGGGGTGGACCCATGACTGGCGGCACAGCTTGGTTGTATGTCTTACTTAGGAAGACCCCAAGGCATGGCATGTACTAAGTCTGAATATGGGTGCGAAACCAGGACAGAGATCACAAAATACATTGCAGGGTAAAGAAAGGGAGTAGGGAATATTTAGATAGCCTTAGGAGGAGGGAGTGGAGGCTGGGCGCAGTGGCTCATGCCTGTAATCCCAGCACTTTGGGAGGCGGAGGCAGGCGGATCACAAGGTCAGGAGATCGAGGCCTTCCTGTCTAACACAGTGAAACCCTGTCTCTACTAAAAATACAAAAAAATTAGCCTGGTGTGGTGGCACGCACCTGTAGTCCTAGCTACTCGGCAGGCTGAGGGAGGAGAATCAGTTGAACCTGGGAGGCAGAGAGCTGAGATCATGCCACTGCACTCCAGCCTGGGAAACAGAGCGAGACTCGGTCAACAATAACAACAACAAAAAAGGAGGGAGTGGATAAACAATGGTGCTGCCTGAGAAGCCAAGAGCTGCAGGTTCACATCCCAGCCATGTCATTAAATCACTGTGGCATGACCTTGGAAAAGTCTCCTCTACACCTGGAGCCTCAATTTCCCCTTTTTTTTTTTTTTTTTTTTTTTTTTTTTTGAGACAGAGTTTTGCTCTCACCCAGGCTGGAATGCAGTGGTATGATCTTGGCTCTCTGCAACCTCCGCCTCCCGGGTTTAAGCGATTCTCCTGCCTCAGCTTTCTGAGTAGCTGGAATTACAGGCACTCGCCACCATGCCTAGCTAAGTTTTGTATTTTTAGTAGAGACAGGGTTTCACCATGTTGGCCAGGCTGGTCTTGAACTCCTGACCTCAGGTGATCCACCCACCTTGGCCTCCCAAGGTGCTGGGATTACAGGTGTGAGCCACTGTGCCTGGCAATTTCCTCATTTTTAAGTTGAGGGAATATGCTCTAGCCCTTCTGTGATCCCTTTTAGCCCTGAATCCGGGAGTCTATCAGGGCTGCTGCATTCAGCTGCATGGGTTGTACACTACACAACTCCAGGTAGGTGCTGCTCACGGACTGCCACTGCAGTGGCCCTAGATTCTATAAAGATGGATATAGATGAAAGAGATGGGAAGCAAGGACCTGAGAGGGCAGCAAAGAGGGGAGAGGGGGCTCCAAGCAGAGAGAAAAATGGCCTATAACCACTTTTCTCCATTCAAGAAGTAGATAAGTCTTTATACTACACTAAGGAGTGGTCAGGTAGGCGTATCTGGACCAGTGGAGGTAGATCTGTGGGGTTCGTCGCTAATCATACTCACTACTCACATCTGATCAAGCCCAGTTTAATTAGCCCTGATTTTAGAGGGTTAGGCTTGGTCCACTAGGGGGAAAAGTGAAGCCAAAACACAGCTGAGATAATGATCATGGATGTACCTTCAGAGGGCCATAAAAACAGCAAAGAAACTAACCATGGTGAGATACCTGCAGAAGCAGCTCTTCTCATGAGAACCCTGAGGCCTCCAGCTCTGCCCCACCCCCAACCCCCACCCCCCAGTTCATCTATCAATGTACTGGTCTCTCCCTATGGTTTGTTCCTCTCTCTCTTATCACTGCCTGCGTATGTGTTGAATATATTTGCATAGTTGTCCTTGTGTGAAAGCCTCACAATGAACCATGAATTTAAAAGTATTTAATTGGCCACTGAGTCATGGTGAAACCTCTCAGCCCTGGTCAGGATTAGTATAACTAAGCTGACTTGAATCTGGCATGATATCATGGGAGTAGGTGTGTTATAAAAGTGATTCCAGCCCTCTCTTCCTCATTTTCCCTATTTCTTTGACATTGTGCCACGGGATGATGCAGCAAGAAGGTCCTCACCAGGTGCTCCCTGGCTCTTGGATTTCCCAGCTCCAAAACTATGAGCCAAATGAATCCGTTTATTATAAATTACCTAGTTCAAGTACTCTATTATAGGAGCAGAAAACAGACTAGGAGCATTGGTACTGAGAATTGGGGCTGTTTCTACAACAAATGTCTGTAAATGTGAAAGCAGCTTTGGAACTGGATAATGAGCAGAAGCTGGAAGAATTTGGAGAAGCAGGTTAGAAAAAGGCTAGATTGCTGTGAATGGACCATAATGAGCAATTCTGGTGTGGTTGCAGAAGAAGAAAAGACCTCAGGAAAGCCAGAATCTTCTTAGAGATTACTTAAGTGGCTGTGATCAGCATGTTGGTAGAAATATGGGCAGTAAAGGCCATTCTGATGAGGTTTCAGATGGAAAAGAGGAATATCTTATTGGAAATTGGTGTAAAGGCCCTCCTTGTTATGAGGTGGCAAATAACCTGGCCAAATTGTATCCATGCCCAAGGACTTTATCAAAGGCAGAATTTCAGAGTGATGAACTAGGATAACTGGAGGAAGAAATTTCCAAGTAAAATATTGAAGGACCTGCATGGCTACTTCTAAACGCACATGGTAAGATGCAAGAGAAGCAAAATGATTTAAAGACAGAATTTTAAGGAAAAGGGAAGCAGAGCAGAAAGGGTTGGAAAATCCAAAGTCTGGCCATGTAAAGAGTGAAAAGGTGGCCGGGCTTGGTGGCTCATGCCTATAATCCCAGCACTTTGGGAGGCTGAGACAGGCAGATCATGAGGTCAGGAGTTCAAGACCAGCCTGACCAACATGGCGAAACCCCGTCTCTACTAAAAATACAAAAATTAGCTGGGCATGGTGGCACTTGCCTGTAATTCCAGCTACTCGGGAGGCTGAGGCAGGAGAATCGCTTGAATCCGGGAGGCAGAGGTTGCAGTGAGCCAAGATTGTGCCACTGAACTCCAGCCTGTGTGCAGAATGAGACTCATCACAAAACAAAACAAAACGAGTAAAAAGGCATATTTAGGAGAACAAACCAAGGGTATGGCCAAGTGACCATTTGCTAAAGCAATTAAGATGGATAGAAGGAAGCCAAGTGCTGTTTATCAACGCAATGAGAGAAAGACCCCAAAGGCATTTCAGAGATCTTTGAAGCTTTCACCCTCATCACAGGCCCAGAGCAGGACCATAAGAGCAAAGTTTTCAGAGAGGCATCTGTAGAACTTCAGCATTTGCTGTCCTGCACTGTTTTGGGGCTCTGTTCCCCAAATTACAGCATAGTGCCCCTTGTCCACCTTAGCCATGGCTTAAGCCTACCCAGGTTCACCTCGACCTGCCAACTCTGGAAGGCATAAGCCATAAATCTTGGCATTGTCCACATGGTGCTGACACTACAGGCATGCAGAATGCGAGAGCTGCAGGCACGGCACCCTCCACCTGGATTTCAAAGGATGTCATGAACAGCCTGGAGGCCCAGGCAGAGACCTGTTGCAGGGATAGAGCTACTTTGGAAAGCCTAAACTTGGTCAATGCCTAGTGAAGCCATGGGAGTGGGGTAACGTCCAAGACCCTAGGACTGTGGGGCCTTTCTTCTTGACTATTTCTCCCTTTTAGAATGGGAATGTCTGTCCTATGTCTCTTTCACCACTGTATTTTAGAAGTAGATAACTTGTTTAATTTCAAAGACTGACAGGTAGAGAAAAATTTGCCTCAGGATGAATCATGCTTTGATCTCATCTATACCTGACTTAGAGGAGATTTTGGACTTTTGACTTTTGGGTTGATAGTAGTACAAGTTAAGACTTTTTAGGGCTACTGGGATGGAATGAATGTATTTTACATGTGAAAAAGACATGAGTTTGGGGGGCCACGGGTAGAATGCTAAGGTTTGAGTGTTTCCCCCAGAAAGGCAAGTGTCGGAAACTTAATTCTCAATATATCAGAGTTGGGAGGTAGACCTTTAAGAGGTGATTAGGTCATGGAGGCTCTGCCCTTGTAATGGATTGATTTTATTATTGTGGGAGTGGATTTGTTAGAAGAGCAAGTTCAGCCCTCTCTTGCTAACTTCTCACTCTCTTTTCCTCTCTTCCATATGATGATGCAGTAAGAAGACCCTCACCAGATGTGGCCCCTCACTCCTGGACTTCCAAGCCTCCAGAATCATGAACTAAATACATTTCTATTTGTTATAAATTACTCAGCCTCAGGTATTGCTAGAGCAGTAGAAAACAGACTGAGAAAGGCTGTGTCTCCCTCCTCAGACTGAAGGATCTTTGTGATCAGATGCTGTGTCTATATCCTTTGTTCATTTGTTTGATATTTGCTGAGGACCTTTTAAGTGCCAGGCACTATTCTAGATTCAGAATACTATGTTGAAAAGACAGACAAAACCACTGGTCTCATGGAACTTACAAGTTAGTTGCGACAAATGACAATAAACAACAAACAATTTTAGGTTACAATAAGTACTAAGAAGCAAATAAAAGCAGCATAATCGTCATGGTAGGAGTGGGGTGTTAACTGAAATGTGTGACTGAGGCAAGAGTCTCAATCAATCAAGGTTTATTAAGCCAGAGCTTGAGAATATGTCTTGGAAAAACGCAAGTCATAGATGCATCTGTGGCTGTTTTTTCCAGAAATGTTTTTTTTTTTTTTTTCAGGAGGCTTAGTATTTATATACTTTCTGAAAGGGAGGTTTGGTAAGTGAAAGAATGATTGATCTAATCTTGTCTTTGTTCTGTATCTGCAAAGATAAGCAGTATCACTGTGAAATCTAACAGACTTTAGTTTTAGGAGCTACACTTAGATTGCAGCCCTAAAGTTGTAATTGACATGTCCTTGTCTTGTGGGAGGATATGCATCTTGAAAGTTTTCAAAAGCATCTGGAGATGCTAGAGGCCTTTTGCCTTTCTGTGGGGATCTGGCTAATGGATAACGCTTTGACACAAGGTTGTGGAGTGACAGCTATTCATCTGGGGAAAAGATGGCAGTGTTGGGTCACTCAGTCTCCGAGGCTTAACTTTTTCTTTGGCATAATGAGTTTGGGGGTCCTGAGATTTTTTTAATTTTCTCTTACTGGGTGTACGTGTCTATTTCAACTGGAATGGTTTGGGCAGCCTCTCTGAGCAGGGGCTTCTTATGTATTTATTTATTTATTTTTGAGACAGAGTTTTGCTCTGTTGCCCAGGTTGGAGTGTAGCGGTGCAATCTCAGCTCACTGCAACCTCTGCCTCCCGGGTTCAAGTGATTCTCCTGCCTCAGCCTCTGAGTAGCTGGGACTACAGGCACACACCACCATACCTGGTTAATGTTTTGTATTTTTAGTAGAGATGGGGTTTTACCATGTTGACCAGGCTAGTCTCAAACTCCTGGCCTCAAGTGATCTGCCCACCTCAGCCTCCCAAAGTGCTGGGATTATAGGCATGAGCCACCGCGCCCAGCCAGAGGCTTCTGAGATGAGACTTGAATGATGAAAATGAGCCAGCTATGGGAGGAAGGTCTGGGTGAAAAGCAATTCTTTCAGGCAGAACTGACTGCAAGTGTGAAGACCATGAGATAGGAGAGAGGAAAAGAAAGAAGGTCAGTGTGTCTGGACTTAGTGCGTGAAGGGGGTGGCACAAAGATGAATGAGAAATGTTGGTTCAGGCAGTATGGAGATCAGGCAGGGCCTTGCAGGTCACCAGGAATAGAAGCTTGCAGAGAATGGGCTGTGACTCCTATCCTAGGGGGTCTCCCTGAACCCCTGAACTTTCTATGGTTTCTCTATAATATTCTGATGGGTATCTGAACATCTGAATGTAAGGACATTGTCCCCTGTCTCATATTCCTCTGCCCAGGACACAGAGCTCTGCTGACCCCAAGCAATAATGGAAGAAGTATCCTGCCCATGCCCTTTCTGCAGCTGCCTCTGGGTGCAGACCCTCTCCGTACCCTTTCCCAGCTTTGTTATTGCAGACTTGGTCCCCAGAGCTCAGCCACTCACTTCCTGCTCTTTAGCACAATCTTAGTGAAGCCAAAGAGCAAAAGACCTCCTTAATCCCAACTCTGGATTTACAACAGGTGCCTGCAAAGCATGCAGCCTGGCAGACCCAGAAGATGCAGCCCATCTTCAGCCTGTCTTCCAGACCTGGCAGTCATCACTGGAAGCCCCAGTGTCTCTTCTCTGCCCCTACAGCTCAGACAACCTACAACAAACGTCAGTGAAGACCTGTCCTTGTCACGTCCCCCGCAAATGGGCTGTTAAAAGGCCAGGTTGGGAAGTCACAAGGATCCATTGTTGAAATCTGGCAAGTTATTTAAGTTCTCAGTTCCTCAGTTTCCCCATCTGTAAAACAGAGATAATAGTATATAGTTTTCAGGGTTGAAATCAGATCATAACTACTTGGCTCCATATGTTAAAAGGGGTAAAAATGATTATGCTTACTATGTGCTGGACACTGTGCTTAGTAATATTTAATTATCATAGCCATCATAGCTCAATGAGGAAGGTGCATTAGAATCCTCATTTCTCAAATGAAGACCCTGAGGTGCAGAGAGGCCACACAACTCTTCAAGTATGCCACCTACCAGGTAGTGGTTCTCAGCCAGGTTTGGTACTGTCTCCCTAGGGGACATGTTAAAACATGGGTGTGTGCTTTTGGGTTGTCATGCTGGCTGGAAACACTGGGGTTGGAAGAGGGGGCAGGAAGGATTCCTAGTAAGTGTGCCCCCTTGGCAATGTATGGCTCTTATCATGTGTTGAATAGTCCTACTCAGGAAAAATTAATCAGCCTCTGTTTTGAGAAACACTAATTACAGCACAATCCCACATTAACAGAAAAGGAACTGAGTCCCAAATAAAGTGATGAGTCCAGATTCACTTGGTGCATCAGGCCAGAAGTAGGACAAGAGCCAAGCCCCTATCTTAACCACCAATCTTTACCACGTGGGGGCCCAAGCCAGATTGTGGACCACCTGTAGGGGCAGGCCAGTTGGCAGCAGTGGGTTGGTGCTTCCTCTCAAAAATCCATTGGGAATGGCCCTGTGATTTCCCCTTCCCAGCCTGAGGAAAACTTGCCCCCCTCCACCCTCTATCCCCTGGCTAGAAAGATGTTCTTAGTTATCTTTGATTGGTTTCTCAGATTTCCATTGCCCAAGGCCAATTTCCACAAAGGGAAGGTGTCAATAATTACATTTCTGCTCTCCATACCCTGTAATTAATAATTGCGATTAATCTGGCACACTTAGTCAAATATTGCAGGTCCTAATTGGCTGCCGTGCCTTTCTTCTTCTGATTGAGACAATCCTATTCTTGGCAGTTCTGCAGCCAGCTGCGGTGAACTCAGCAGGACCTGTCAAATGCTTCTGCTTGGCAATTTGCATGACATTTTGGGCGGCAAAGCAGAGTAGAGGGGTGAGGTAGCTGGGCCTTATGCGTTGGGGCAGAGGGGCTGAGATTAGGAAGCCCCTGGGTCCTGGTCAAGGTGTTGGAATAGATCTGTTTCACCCTTAACTTGCCCTGATCAGACAGAGCACCTCGGGGTTTATTTCAGTTCCAGATGCAAGGTAGCCCTGCCCTCTCCTTTCACACTGGATGTGAGAGGGTTTAAGGGGAGGTAGTCTGGTTCCCTCCTCCTCTTGTCTTCTTGTCCCAGGGGGCAGGAAGTTTACTTCCTATCGGGTGGTAAAAACAAAACAAAACAAAACACACCATTGTAACCCTGGCCTCTGTCAATTCATCTCTCAGGCCAGAGGTATGTACTGCAGCATCCAGTCCCTAGGAGGTCTGGGTTGGGGAATATCAGATTGTAAGGGAGGGAAAACAATCTTTCCTCTATGCATTTAGGTTTGCTAACTGGAACTCTGCAAATTAAACTGATGAAAGATTAACAAGAGGAAAACAGAAATTTATTTTAGGCCATACTTGCATTGCTATAAAGAAATGCCTGAGACTGGGTAATCTATAAAGAGATTTAATTGGCTTATGGTTCTGCAGGCTGTACAGGAAGCATAGTGGCATCTGCTTCTGTGGAGACCTCAAGAAGTTTCCAATCGCAGCAGAAGGCCAAGGGCTAGCAGGCATGTCACAAGGTGAAAGCAAGAGCAAGAGAGAGCGAGGGAGGAGGTGCCACACAGTTTTAAACGACCAGATCTCTTGAGAACTCTGAGATCTCACTTATCACCAAAGGGATGGCCCAAGCCATTCATGACAGGTCTGCCCCCATGATTCAAACAACTACTACCAGGATGCACCTCCAAGACTGGGGATTACATTTCAACATGAGATTTGGGTGGGGACAAATATCCAAAGTGTATCATTTATTAATGCATGCATTGTGCATACACCTGGGAGAAACTCGGTGGTGAGTACCTCAGAGGGGTGTTTAGAACTTGGACTTGCATTGCATCTTAGCAAAGAACAATAGTTTTGCAGAGAAGTGACAAGACAAAGGAAAATTCCTTCCAGCTTCTAGGGGAGACAAATTGATGGAAGGCAAATATATGGGGAAAGAAACAGTAGATAAGAGCTAGTTAGTAAGGTTTGTCTGTGTATATGCTTTCTTCTATATTATCTTCTTCCTGGTATAAGAAGCTTTTGTGTATATGCATATGTGTGCCTGTGTTGGGGGGCTATGGGGTTGGGGCACTTTTACAAGGGAATTTATGTTCTGTTTTTATGTAGTAGAAGGAGTCCAGAGAGCTTGTCCTGTGTCTGCCTTTTCATTATTGCATTCAGCTCAAAATAATCCTCATATACCTGAGTGGCATGTTTTGGCACGGCGTACTCTGAATTCCTTTAAAATAAATCCCCTGTCTTCAAGTTTCTTCCTGAGATTTCCTTGCCATTCCTAATTACAGGTCTGAAATTCTACCATTGTAGGTTCATTTCTTTGGGACCTAGCAGTGGTGGGGGTAGTGGGTCCCCCTTTTCTGAGGTTCCTAATTGTATCAGTTAGGATCCTTTTTATTGTAAATAACAGGACACTTAGCTTGGTAGCATAACAATTTATTGGCCTAATGATTGAAAAGTTTGTAGAGACTCTGGCTTCAGGCATGGTTTGATCCAGGGGTTCCCATTGTCAGAAGGGCTCTGGCTCCATTTCTCTTTGAGTTCCTTGGCTCTGCTCTACTTCTAGGCCAGTTTTCTCTTCTGGCCACCACACTCTTCCCCACCACCATAGTGCCTACAAAACTATCTGGACACACACAGCTTCTCTTCTGGGATGTTCCTGCAGAAGAAAAGGAAGTATCTCTGGTGAAGCCCCTAGCAAACATCTCACAACTCATTGACCTAGATTGAATTTTGTGTTCCTCTCACTTAACTCCCCCAATAAATCTCTGTGGTTCAAGAGGGGTATGCTGACTCCCTCAATCCCCTCAGAGTCCAGCTTAAAGTCATCACACCCAAACCACATGGGAGACAAAGGAGGAGGAGCAGTGACCCAAAGGAATGTCTGGTGCTGTTGGTCAGGAGGGCAGGGAAAAATGCGTCAGGAAACCACCAGTGAATATCCACATGTCCACTGAAAATCGGTTACCCCAGGGCAGAATCATCACATTTATTACATAGCATGGGAGTTGGCAAAATATGGCCCTTGGACCAAAGCACATGATTTTATAGGTAGTTTTATCTGAGCACAGCTAGGCTCATTTTTTTTGCATATTGTCAATGGCTGCTTTCATACTACAACAGCAGAGTTGAGTAGTCATGACAGATAACTTATGGCCTATAAATGTAAAGTATTTGCTTGCTAGCCCTTTAGAGAAAGAGTTGGCTGGCCCCTGATGGAATGTCAGAGCTAGAAAGGGAAATCAGACATTATCTAGTCCTATACCTTTCCTGTCACAGTCAGAACTATCCCTAGAAATTTAAATCCTGGTCCCAGAGGGAGAGCATGACTTGCTGCTGAGGCTGAATGGGGGTTAGAACTCTGTTTTTTGTTTGTTAGTTTTGTTTTTTTTTTTTTTTCATGAGCCAACATCTCAGCTGTGAAGTACACTCAGAGCAGTTGAGGACCTAGATTGAGGTGGGAAAGTGGCCGAGGGTGTCTGGGAGAGGAGACTGGGGATTCACAAGGCACCAAGAGCAGCTCTCACCTTTCCCACCTTCACCAGAGGCAGCTGGGCATCGAGCAGGCCATGGTAGGGTGTCCAGTTGAGACACTGAGGCTGGGAAGGTAG
Source organism: Homo sapiens (assembly GCF_000001405.40). Taxonomy (NCBI): domain Eukaryota; kingdom Metazoa; phylum Chordata; class Mammalia; order Primates; family Hominidae; genus Homo; species Homo sapiens. The sequence continues at coordinate 40,265,904 of NC_000006.12, read as the reverse complement.
TCAGGACATTCCTCACCTTCAGAACCTTATCTCCCAGGAGAGAGACAGCATTTGCTCAGGCCTGACCCCCACCAGATCTGCAGCCAGATCCCAGCCCCTGGCCTCTGTTAGCTCCACAGTGGGTGCCTTGGAAAAAGGAGCAGAGTTTGCATTTTTATGACCTTATCTCACATGCATCCAGCTGTGTGTGTGGATGAGTTCAAGGGCTACAGGCTTTCTGTAGTTCCTTTACTTAGATGTAGGATTCCATGCAACTGAAATCCACGGACAAGCAGGATTCCTCAGTAATAGCATTAGCTAACATGTATAGAGCGCCTACCTGTGCCAGGTGCTATTCCAGCCCCTTACCAGGATTCATTTACTCCCTAAGGGATGGCCCATATCATCCTATGAGTCAGATATGAACATAAGCCCAATTTACAGAGGATAAAATGAAGGCTGGAGAGGTTAAGGAACTTGTCCCAGGTCCCACAGCATGTGTCAGTTGAGGCCTCTGGGGAGTAGATGCTAAGATTTATTGAGGTTTATTGGAAGTATTCCTGTGAAAAAAATATAAAAGGGGGAGAAAGTAGAAATGGAGAGGGAAAACCTTCAGACTAGAATATAGACCTGAAACCTGGGAAAGGAAAAGGAGCTGGGAGAGCCTCAGACCACTGAGTAGCTCAGACAGTCTCAGCCAGCCTGGTGGGGCACTCTGGAGCAGAGACAGCCCATTAGAGGGCCTGGCATTGGGCAGGCATGGCCAGGCCCTTGTACTCCTACTGGTCTCTGTCATTGGCTGGGACTGATAGGGAAGAATTGGCCTTGGCTTTAGAGCCAAGGTGGACCCTGAAGGTGCTGGTGTTGGAGGCTGTCAGCAACTGCCCTCTTAGAGCTGAACAGCAAATTCCTTTTTGAAAGGGAATCCGAGAAGCCTGCCTTTGTGGCCACCACATAGCTAGCTAATGAACCAAGATCCAAACTCCAGCAGTCTGGGACCGGATGCTGGTGTAGTTAATGCCTCTGCTTCACCCCTTGGTGGATAGTGTGGGGCCCTATCAGGAACACTGAGCCAATGCTAGCACAGGGTGTCCTGGATCTGCCACTATCAACAACTATGCATCTTTGGGCAAGTCACCCCATTCATTGATTCATTCATTGAAACACTGAGCATTTGCTGGGTGTCAAGTCCTGTGATTAATAAAATGCAGGCCATGGCTTCATGGAGCCCTTCACATGGAGATCAAGGACCACAATGGCCCACAGCAATGCTGAACAATATAATACGGGCAGTGATGGAGGGCCCTCAGGTCATGATGGAGTACAGAGATATGGGTGCCATCATGGGCCTCAACTTTATCTGAAACAGGGAGTGGTTGGACTCAAGGAACTCTAAGGTCCCTTTCTACTCTATAAAATCAGTTTCAGGTCAAATATGGGGAATCACAGGATCTGCTCCAACAGATCAAGGGTCTGGAACTAGGGTATAGTACAGCTGGGAGAACCCAACCTGGTCTGTGCAAGCCCAGACTCAGGCACAGCTGCCCCATCCTACTTCTTGCCCAGGTGGTCTGCTCTATTTCTGAGTTGTCTCTTCAGTGGGCTCTCAGCAAATGATTGGCTTCAGGCTGGAGTTCATGCTCCTGGGATTTGAACACAATGCCTTTGCTGCTCCAGACCCCAGGGCAGGTCCTCCATCTTTGCATTTATTCAAACACAGCTGGGCCAGGAGTCCAGGCTGAGAACCAGGCCAGCCGGGCTGGAACCCTCAGTTAAACAGTAGACATTCATCAACTGACGGATGAGTCCTAGCAAAATCAGCATACTCATTTATAAAGCCAATCACCCAGAATTTTCTGAGTCCTTTTCCTCACCCAGCCATGCCCAGACACATGACCTTGAAGAAGTCTGTTATCTTGCTACAAATTATTACCAGGAAAGTCTATGGCCAATTAAACAAGCAAATGTTCCTCTTGCTCTTTTTATTTTCGTTCTCTTAAATAAGCTCTGGCCTGACCTGCAGGAGAAGATGCTGGACTCTCTCCTGCTCTCTTCATCAGACTAAACATTTTTCCCCATAACACAGACTCCAGAGCTTGGTTATTAAATCAGCAAAACCCAAAAGCTCCCAAGATAAACTCCTGATGATATGCTAATAGCAATTACTCTGGAGAATTTCAATCGGTGCAAATCACCAGGTAAATGTCAGCAGCAGCAAGCATCCTGGCTAAAACAACCCAATGGGTAATTTGCCAGTTTATTGTTCAGAAACGAAAACGTGAATGCAACGGGGCTCTGGTGGTCAATGAAAAAGCATTGAAAGTGGAAAACCTTTCCCTTGCCTTAGCCAGAGAAAGTCCCAGAAAAACAACCCTGGTGTATAGATTCTTCTCTGCTTCTCCAGCCTTTTTTTTTTTTTTTTTTTTTAAGAGAAGGTCTCACTGTGTTGCCCAGGCTGCCAGCACTGTAGCCTGAAACTCCTGGGCTCAAATAATCCTCCTGCCTCAGCCTGTCGGGTACCTTAGTATTACAGGCATATGCCACCATGCCCAGCTAAGTTTTTAAATTTTTTGTAGAGACAGGGTCTTATTATGTTTGCCAGGCTGGTCTCAACCTCCTGGGCTCAAGCGATCTTCTGGCCTTGAGCCAGAGATCCTGTAGTCCCAAAGTTGTGGGACTACAGGCATGAACCATCACACCTGGCCTCCAGACATTTTTGACTACTGTAAAGGAATATATATTAGGTTGGTGCAAACGTAATTGTGGTTTTTGACATTGAAAGTAATGGCAAAACCGCAATTATGTTTGCACCAACCTAATAGAGCAGGGGGAAGGGGCATGATTTTTTTTCCCTAAAGTTAGCCATATGTTTCCCATTCACTCCTGCCCCGACTTTTCTGATAGTACAGGCAGGCTACACGGCCTACTCCTCACTGAGCCCCATCTCTCAATAATATGCTTCTTTCTCTATTCTTTCTGTCTCTGCTTGTCTTATTCTCTCTCACCTGCTCATTTTTCTATCCTGACTTCTCCTTCCCCTGTCTTTCTCCTCCTTTTCCTCAAGTGGGTCCTCTGTGACTTTGCTCTTCAATCCATCTGTCCTACTACCCTGATATTAGGAAGTTCTTCCTACACCCTAGCCTTCCTCCACCATCTCAGTCATATTTTCCCCCCTGGCCTCAAAAGTTCTGCCCTCTCTCTGGTGATCCCAGTTTGGTCCTAGTGAATGGTCAGGCTTTCCCAGCAGACAAATCCACAGCAGTTCATAGCTGTTTCCAGCCCATACAGCAGCTCTGTGTAAATTAGAACAAAGTGGCCCTTTTCATGGGACAGATGCAGCTTCCATGCCAGGCACACAACCTGGAGGATGTCAGCCGCATTCACCCCCTTGGCCAGGTAGCTTTGTGTACAATGAGTGGATGGCAGGACAGGCAGGACCTGGTGTTCTCTGGGGATGGGCATCCAGAGGGGACTACTGTGGGCTGGATGGGTTCCTCCCACAGCTGCAGAGGCAAGGCCCAGAGTGACCATTGTCCAAGATTAGTGGGCATAGACTTACCTGGGGAACTTGTCTAATATGCAGATTCCTGTCCCAGCCCCCAGGGAATCTGCTCCAGCAGGTTTGGTGGGGGCCCTGAATCAAGTTCCCAGGTGATTCTGATGCAGACCATACTTTGAGAGTCCCTGATTCCCTAGAACAGTGACCTAGAATTTATCTGGATTTGTATACTCCCAAAATAAGTACATTAATTTATACATTTTATACATGTAATACTGAGAGCTAGGATATTAAGTACTGGAAGTAAAACATTTCAATAAAGAAAAATAAATATGAATGGAAATTATTTTCTTCCTGCCTCCAAAACTCTGCTTTTAACTTTCAGGGAGTATGTTCCCCATTTTGGAGGCCAAGGCCACAGAGGCTGGGAAAAGAGCTTTAGCCATTGAAAACGCGATGTCATCACCCCACTTGGGGCCTTTCTCCTCATGTGCTCCTACCCTCTACCTTCCTGGCCCCAATCAGCAATACTGATGCTCAGGTAGGGGACCAGCCTCTTATGATTAACATGAGACCTCCAGGCTTTCCTTCTGTCCACTGTGAATTGCCCATGATTTCATTTCCTTTCTAGGCTGGCAGGGGGCTATGGTGGGCACATTCTGGCTTTCAGGTGGACCCTGACTGCAGATGCTGCAGCCCAGTCCTCCATGGATTTGCCTTTTGCTGTGGGAGTGTTTGGACGTTTCACTCTGTAATTTTCAGCCATAGCCAAGGCTGTGAATCAGGCCCATGTTGATTTAGTGGTGTAGAGTATTTCTAGAGGCATGCTTCCTCACCTGTAAAATGAGAGGTTTGGACTGATTGACTGCTAAGGCCCCTTCCAGCTCCAAGAAGCAAGGCTTCTATAAACCCTGCCAGCACCATTCATGAGTGGAAGAGTAAGTGGTAGCTCTTGGAAAAGACCAGGACAAGAGGGAAAAGCTGATTAGTAAGTTCAGTCTTCCTACCAATTCTTTTTGTTCCAGTGAAAGACCTGAGAGAGTCACGTGTCCCGAGAGAAAGGGCAGTATGTCTTTCAACCTCAACCCTTCAAAGCAGGATCAATAGTCACAATCTGGGTTCTAGTCCAGAACCAATCTATTTAGAGCAAATGGTTCTGAGCAATTACTTCTTTTTTTAAACTCAGTTGCTTCTTCCAAAAAGACAGGAGTGGCCTGCATGATCACCATGGCAGCTTCCATGGGTGTTGTCTAAAATTTTTTTTTTTTCAAAATGAAGGTCATGAATAAATTTTAATTGTTTGGTGGGGCAAGATAGGGCATGAAAGACTAGAAAGTTTTTTGGAAACTTTAGCTTCAGGCGTGTGTGTGTACTGGGTCATTGTTTACCAGTGCACTAGTCAGGGTTCCAAGAGGAAAGAGAAGACACACTTAAATTAGGATAAGTTGAGCAGGGTTTATAGAAAGAATATTTACAAAGGAGAGAAATAGGGAAACCACCATGCAAGACCCGAAGACTAGCAGCAGTGGGGCTGTTAGCACCCCCCAGGGCAGAAGGATCTTGGGGAGGGAGTACTTTCCAGACCCAACAAGGGAGTCTTATGGAAAAGGCCACTGTATTAGTTCATTTTCATGCTGCTGATAAAGACAAACCCAAGACTGAGTAATGTATAAAGAAAAAGAGGTTTAATGGACTTACAGTTCCACATGGCTGGGGAGGGCTCACAATCATGGCACAAGATGAAAGGCACATCTTACATGGTGGCAGGCAAGAGGGAGAATGAGAACCAAGTGAAAGGGGCTTCCCCTTATCAAACCATCAGATCTCATGAGACTTAGTCACTACCACGAGAACAGTATGGGGGACACCACCCCCATGATTCAATTATCTCCGACTGGGACACACCCACAACATATGGGAATTATAGGAGCTACAGCTCAAGATGAGATTTGGGTGGGTACACAGCCAAACCATATCAATCACCTTGGGAGAAACAGTGGCTGTGTTGAGGTATAGCCTCCTACCTCAAATGAGTAAGAAGCAAGTGAGGGGAACGAATACCCCGGCCTCTCTCCTCCTTTCTTTTCATCTCCTGCTGGAGCTCACCTTTACTAGACCCTCCCCAGAAGCTGGAAGGTAAGACAGCCACAGGTGCAGTGTCTTACAGCTCCTGGGACAGAAGGCAGTATGTCCTAACAGGCAAAGAGACAAGTTCTGGCACAGGGAAATGCACAGTATATCTTTTACCATGCATTGCAGTCAAAAACGCTTGAAAGCCATTGTCCAGTAAAAGACCTTGGTGGCATTTGGAGCCAGTATGGACTTAGAGTCAGCCAGAACAAAGCTTGAACTCTGGCTCTGCCACTTGCCAGCTGCATGACCTTAGACAGACTACTTAACCCATCTGAGCCTTCACATCCACACATGTAAGAAGATAGAGAATAATGTTGGCTATGTAGGTTTATCCTGAGGATTAGAGATAATCATTGAGGAATGGTGGCAAATGGGGGTATTCAGTAGGGACAGCATTAATCCCGTGTTCTAGGTGTCACGACGGGAGTTATTCACCAAGGACAGGCAGCCCCTTTAGCACTGGGCTAAGGACTTTGACAAGTTTCTATTTCTTATTTTATTAATTTTTTTAGAGATCAGTTCTTGCTCTGTTGCCCAGGCTGGAGTGCAGTGGTGCACTCGTAGCTCACTGCAGCCTCTATCTCTTGGGCTTAAGTGACCCTCCCGCTTTAGCCTCCCAAGTGGCTGGAACTACAGGTACACAGCACCATGACTGGCTAAATTTTTTATTTTTACTTTTTAAGTGATGAGGTCTCTCTATTTACCCAAGCTGGTCTCGAACTCCTGGCCTCAAGAGATTCTCTTACCTCAGCCTCTTGAGTAGCTGGGATTGTAGGCATGAGCCACTGTCCCTGGCCTGCAGACAATTATTGATGGAATGATTTATAAATTGCAAGGTGTTTATTGCTTCTGGAGAAAGCACAGGCCATTGCCAACAGAATTCACTAAGAGTTTAAGCAGTAAGCAGGATTAAAGCCCAAGAAAGGAATCAGAGAGGGAGTTGCTTATCTCAGAAGCCTGAGGTAGGTATGCATTTTCCATGTAATTCCCATGTACTGTGGCAGCTCCTGAAAGCCAGGGGCCTGTTCTGGCTGGGAGGGAAGGCAGGCAGCTTCCTGTGTGCCTGCAGCCATGGTTCCTTAGGCTGAACTCATATTCCCCCCAGGCCCTGTTCCAGGGACCCTGGCCCTTACTATCCTATCTACAATCCTAGGCTGAATTCATGGCAGAATGTCACTTTCTTTCTTTAACAAACACTGGGTTTCCCTTTGTTCTAACAAATCAAGCCAGAGTGTTCAGGCTTGTATTAATGGGCCACATCTTACTGAAGCCTCAGTTTCCTCATCTGAAAAATAGGATGGTAACTCCAGCCTCAGGGATGGCTGTAAGTGTGGACATAATGTGTGTGAGGAGCCTGGGCTGAATCAGTAAGTGGTGACTTCTGGTCTGGCTGGCCCTAGGTGTGTCTTCCTTGGATAACAGCTGTAGCTATCCTCCCATGCAGATGGGGTTCTTCCTCTATTAGCAGGTCAGCCTGATTTGTATGGATCCTCCCACTGCGTTTAAAAGCTGTTGATGCCACTGACAGCTACCTGTGGCTCTGCTAAAAGACACTGATAATTACGCCTGGTGCTCAGCCTTGGAGAAGGCAATGGACCTGAAGACTGCTCTGCTGGAGCCTTCGGCCCTGTCCTCATTTACATAATAATCAGGGGCTTCACTCACATTCCAGCCACATGCACTTACGCACACACATGTGTCCACACACACGCACACACACAGGGAGGCTGAGATTAGGCTTGACATTGGGACTTTGGTAACTTATGAAGAGGATTCAAAAAGCAAGCCAGGAGCGCTGACTTGAAAGAAATGACAATGCAGTGGCTCAGAGGCCATCCTCCATGCAATGCAGTGACAATACTGGGTGCTGGCTGTGATGGAGTTCTAGAACCGAATTTCTCAGGCTGGGCTCTAATCCAAGCTTCACCACATTCCAGCTGGGTCCCCTCCAGCAAGATATTTAGCCTTTCTGTGCTTTGGTTTCTTTAATTGAAAATGGGGATAAAAATATGTTGTGATGAAGATGTCACGAATCTCTATATGTCAGGAGCTAGAAGAAAGCCAGGCACATAGTAAGCAAGTGCTCCATGGATGCGAGCTATGACCGCCTTCTTCATCTTCATCCCCATCTTCAGGACATCTGCACTCATCTTATCATCTCCCTGAAGTAGAGTTGTACAGTGAGTAGAGCTCTGACTAGGGAAGGGGAAATAACATTTATTCATTATTATAATTTCCCCTATACATCATTTTAAACAGGATATGAAGTAAGTTATAAACATCCTTATATTCCATCAATATAAACAGAAAAAAGTCCATGAGAAAATTTGGGTGGTGGGAAAGTGAGGACAAGGTACAGAATGCCTCTCGTGGGGTCCTGTGGAATTTCTGGAGGTGGCCATTATTTTGGCTCTGAGTGTCATAAAAATATGATCAGTTGCAAAATTCACTGACAAATGTACGTCAGTTGCAAAATGGATGAGCCTCACAAACAGGAGGTTGAATGAAAGAAGGCAGAAACAAAAGAGTACATGCTGTGTGATTCCATTTATATAAAGTAGAAACATGGGCAGCACTAATCTATGCTGTTAGAAGTCAAGGTAATTGTCATCCTTGCAGCAGTGGAAAGACTGGGAAGAGAGCAGGGCAGGCTCTTGGGGGTGTCAGTAATGTTCTCTTTCTTGGTCTGGGTGTGGATGACATGGGCATATTTAGTTGATGGAAATTCATCAGGCTTTACATTTACGGTGTGCATATATGCATAGGCATATATAGGTAAATATATATATGTATTTCATCAAAAATTTAACATAAAAAGCAGTTGCTTGGTAGGAGCATGGCTTTCAGTACATTGGAGTATATAAGTAACACTTATTTTTGACAACAGAGATAACTACAGAGCTAATCTCTATTGACTGCATATTCTGCAACTGGTATTCTGCTAACCACTATGTGCATTTCCATCACAGCCATCCTGTGAGGGAGTGGGGTACCCTACTTTTACAGATGGGGCAGCTGAGGCTTAGTGAGGTTACATGACTTCTATACATTCCCAAATCTCTTCTTGATTTGCGTATGCCTGCCCTCTACCCAAAAACCCCCACCCACATAGCACAGAATCTGGCATACAACTGATGCTCAATAAATGTTTGAGGGAGAAAGGGAGGGAGGGGAGCATGTCACTGTATTGTCACCAGTCACCCCATCTTGACATCCTGAAATCATTTTTTGTCTCCTCTCTAATTCCCATTGCACTTATAGGCAGCACCAAATGGCACTTAATTGCTTTCTGTTGCTAGGTCTAAAATGCTCTGTCAGTCAGGCCTGTGCCTCCAAGCAGCACAATTGTTTGGCATGGCTGAAGAATGAAGAGGCACACTGCTATTCCTAACAGGAGAAGAGCTTGGGTGGGAGACAGAGGAGGGGAAGTAGTCATCCAAGGTGATGGAGGGTTGTGGTTGGGGGGGGATGGATTCCTGTGCCTGACTCCCCCCGACCTGCCCAGATTCTTACTTTTTAACCCAGCATCTGGAGAGAAAAGTGAGAAAATGCTTCCAAAATGAACATGTCCCCTTCTCCCCCTCCAACCTCAAGGACTTGGTTCTGTTTCTGTCCTCTTCTGTGGCCCTTCCCCCCTATTGGATTCTTTGTCTGAATTAAGGTTAGCAAGTAGCCCAGTTCGTGGCTAATTTACCACTAAGTTTGTATTTTTACTCTCCCTGCACAAAAGCCTGTTTCTTCTGGGAAGACTTTAGTGGACATCAATAAAGCTCCAGGTGTAGTCCTGGGGAGACTCATCACCCTCCTGCAATCCCAGATCTTTGCATCTCCCTCTAGAATTGTCTAGGACATGGCTTTCCAGCCCCTTGGGAGGGCTGTGTCTTTCTGCCACTGCTTGTGTTACACTGAGTCAACATTCAATGAATAATGAATTATAATAATAATAACTTGAAGAAATTTATGCCCTAGCATCAACTAGGTCCAAAACATGAAGGGAAAGCTCACTGTAAATTATGCCCTGGGACGGGTGAGTGAACAAGGCATCTTTCCCCAGAGACCTCCAAATCAACTCATTTAAATTAATAAATCCCACTTTCCTCTGTGCCTGAATAACAAGCTTATTTATGTGTCTTAGAATTGGCAAAAATATCTAAGTAAAAGAACAGAGCAATTACAGTTGCTTCTTTACACAGATTTTCGAGATACTATCTAAGCTTCCTAACTCTTATTTTGGGTGAAAGAAAGGGGAAAGAAATGAATTCAACCTGATGAATGCATTGCTTCTAAATCTACATGCTACCAAATAACCAAATTGGCTGAATTTTTTTTTACTTCTGAGTAGTTTCTTCTGTCTTTTCTGGGTATGGGCCTAAAACCCTGATACAGAATAATCTTTCTTGGAAAAATCCTTGCTGAGTTCAAGACTAGAAAATGTGGGTTTGCTCTGACAGATCCCTCTGTAGAAACCCCCTGTACTCAGGGCTGAACTCTGAAATATTTAATAAAATGTAGGGTATAGCACTGGCCAGTTGGAATGACTGTGACCTGCAAGGCCTCTGCTGTGTCAATGCTAACTCTTTAGTTTCTGAATCTTAGGGTGATCAGTGTGGAGAAGATCTTGTAAGAGAGGCATGGTGGCGTACTTAATGGGCTCAAGATAGCAGCTCTTTGCCAATGGGGATGAAAGTATCTCAATACTTCAACAGTACAGATAACAGGCCACCTTCTACCAGTGCTCAGAACAGCTAGGAGTGGAAATAATGTTTTAATCGGCTTCTTGTGGGTCATTTCTATTCTCTTCTCTCTAACCTTGTTCTCCTCAAACTACCTCTAATCTGTTTTTCAGGCCCAACCCAGCTCATATAGTTATGGTGCAACATAATTCCAGTGCTAACTACTCAAAGTTAGTGCAGACTCCACAGGTTAAGGGCATAGTTTTCTTCAAGATTGCCCTCACGTTAGACACTAATTGCAAGCTCCGAGGTCCCCCAGCCATTCACACTTCTAACTAGCTTCAAAGTCAGCCATTTCCATAGCTCTTTCAGGTTCGATAATTCAGTAGAATAACTCACATAACTCGGGAAAGCACTATATTTACAATTCATTTTATTATAAAAGCTACAACTCAAAACTAGCCAAAAGAAGTACAGTGTACACTGCTCAGGTGATCGATGCATTAAAATCTCAGAAATCACCACTAAAGAACTTATCCATGTAATCAAAAACCACCTGTACCCTGAAAACTATTAAAATAAAAATCATTTGCATCGTAGCAACAACAACAAAAGAACTGTCCCAAAGACGAGATGCATAGGAAGAGGTGTGTGAGGGTCCCAAACGTACAACTTCCATGTCCTCACATCACCCTCGTGGAAGATCCACCAGATGTTCACCCGAGCCTCTGTGTCCAGAGTTTTGGGACTTTGAAACATAGTCCATGTGACTGAACTCAATCTCCAGCTCCCCTCCTCTCCTAGGAGGCTGGGTAGATACACTAAGCCTTAAAGAGGATTCTGATGTGCATCAGGTTGAAGAACCACAGCTCTAGCGCATAGAAAGTGCTCAACAAATGTTTGTTGAGAGAATGAATGACTCCTGTAAGGAAAATCCTCTTCATCCAATCTGTGGAAACAGGTTTTCATTGAGCTCTTTCTCAAATAGGATCTGTCTCTATATTGAAGATTTGTTACTTTTAGCTAAAGAGGAATTTCTTTTTTAGCCTTTGAGCTCCAGCTTGAGAGCCCTGAGTTCATGATAATTAACCCAACACAATCTGCCTGAAGTGCAGTGAAAGATATCTTTGTGCTCACTTGTCACAGTATCTAGGTATTCAGGGAAATATAACTGCCCTTATATTTTCACGTGATACCTGACCTTTTCTTTCATTGGGGAGTTCCAGTCAACAATATTATGGTGCATTATTTCAAAGGGTCAGAAGTAGGTGGAGCAAGAGAGGAACATCTGATCTCTAAAACATTCCTGAACTGCAGCAGGAGAGAGGAAGGCTAGGCTTCAGGAAGAACTTCCTCAAAATCAGGGGAGCAAGTTATAGGAAAGTGATAGGGACCTAGGAAATTATGATATCCTCTTTCATAAATGCTTGAGTTGGGGTGGGTCTTATCTGTGGACAGAGAAACCACAAGATTTTCAGGATTCAGGGAACTTAATTGAGAAGTGGTTGTCTTTCAGTGAGGAATCACCAGACCAGCCATGTGGATTTGAACCTATTTCTCCCTGTTTCTCTGCCTCAGGGTCTTTTAGCCTAGGCACAATGAACATTTATGACTGAATAAGTATTTGTGGTGGGCACTGTCCTGTGAATTTTGAATGGTTAGCAGCAACCCTGGCCTCTCTTCTCTAGATGTTGGTAGAACCCTGTGTTTATTTGTGACCATGAAAAATGTCTCCAGACATTGATAAGTTTCCAAGGTCAGGGAGGACTGTCCCATGTTGAGAACCACTGCTTTATGGGTACCATGAGGCTAGGAGGATCTGTAAGGTCCTTCTTGGCACCAGTATCCCAGGATTCTGCCAAGCAAAGCAAACACCACCCCATAGCACAGGGGGCAGCAGAAGATTTCTGGCAGAGCCTGACTCCAAGAGACAGAGTTTGTGGCTGCCATGTCAATACACTGTGAACCACCACAAGGCCAGCCTGACCATGATTGGCTCTCTTTAAAATGCTTGTCTTTCAGACCAGCTGTCGGATGTCTTCCAAGACCGCCTAGTCTGGGACTTAAAATTCTAACTTGGCTGGTGCAGGTGGGGACAGAAGCCACAAATAGGAATCCCCCTTTCATTTGAAAACGGACAGCCCAGGCCAAGCTTTCACAGGAAACCAAGGGTTCAGCCTCATAGCAAATAGATGGCAATGTTACTACCAGAGTTAGAGTCTGAGCTACTTTTGAGGCATTGTCTCCAGAAGGCCCTTTCAAGGTGAAGCTAGTGTAGCACTTATGGAAGTGCAAATCCTGACTTTATTTAAAATTAAAATGTTCTGTTTAGCATGAAGTTTTTGCATTAATTTTGATTTTTTAGAAATGTTACATTAAACTATTACTGAGTTTTTTTGTGCCCCCTTAAGTGTTGTACCCCAATAAGTATTTCACTCACCTCAACCTAGTTTTGACCCTGATCATCAAGGTTTTTTATCGCAGAATGGCAGGTCCAGGGGTGAGGAGAATGGCAAAGGGAGCAACCAAGGCTTAACCTGAAGGCACTGGACATCTGGTGTTGTAGAGACCCCCAGCAGGGACTGCTCAGCGTGGAAGTACTGAAGATAAACTAGGCAGAACCTCCCAGCCCTAGTCCTCAATGAATGAGTGGTTCTAGGATTCCACATATCATTCATTCATTTATTCACAAGTCTTTCTCCTAGGGCCTGTGCTGGGGCAGACATCAGAGAGACCAATAGGATGGTGCTCACTTTCCAGGTGGGGAAGACAGCTCATAAACAAACGAGGCCTGATGTCAGTGAGAAGGTGATGATGTCAGTGATGCAGAAAGTGCCACAGGAGACTCCATAAGCAGTGATTCATTTGATCTGACCTGTGGGGACAGAACTCAAATGCAAGATTCATTCTCAACCCAAGAGAGATCTTGTCAACCACAGGTCATTTTCCAAGCTTGCTAACAAGCCTGCCAGCATCACAGTGATGAGCTGTGGGCTGGGGATTTACTTAGCTTCATTTCCTTTAGTCACTTAGGTAACAATTGAGGGACTTTCTACTCCCCTTCATATAGCCAAGGCTTGATCGGGTGGAAACAACTAATGAAACAATTCCTGTGTAATTAGAGTGTTTAACTGATGATCATCCAGAGTACAGTTTTTTCGCTTTGAGATTTTTTGGGGGGCAAGGAGATTCAGAGAAGAAGCAGAGAGAAAATAATTTGCTTGTGAACGGTGGTCTAACTCCCCTTCTTACCAATGAAGACAATGAGGCCCAGAGGGGGCAAGTGACTTGTTCAGGATGCCAGCCTTAAAAGAGAACTTATAAATAATAATAGTGTGGACCCACAGGTGAGAGGAGAGAAGTGGGGAGGGCAAGTTTGCCTCCACTCCTCTAGCTGTGCAGGAACATGCACAGCTTTCTTCCTTAAGAAATTCATTAAGCAGCAGCTAATCCCCATGGCAGCGATAAATGGTACTAACAACAAAGCGTTTGGTTTCTCATAGGAGATGGGGTCCCTTGCAGCTGGTGCCAGGTGTTCCACACTCTGAGGTAGAGAGGCTGAGAGAGCTCACAAGAGTTTACACTTGGAAGGGATGGGACATTGTGCCTCCTCCTCAGCAGCCCTGGATGTACCTTACTGTTCCTCTGAGTTCCCTGCAGCTGAGGCATCTGCTCTCTTTCAACATACTCTCTTCTGGAAAGAGGGAGAGCAGGAAGCATCATGGGTTGGGGAAGCTGGCATTCAGAAACATTTGGCCATTTGCCCAAGGGTAATTTGCCTAGCAAATTGCTGGCAGAGCCTGCTCTAGAACCTGGGCTGCTGTATTTTCTGCCCACCCTGGTCTCTGTGGCTCACTTCTGCTCCTACAATGCAGAGTCAGGGGTGATATCTTACCAAAATGGGTCTACGTGTGGTCATCTCCACCACAAGACCAACTGCTCTCTATTGAACATCACCAGTGCAGGGGAAACCCATTGCCTCTTGACACAGCACAATCTCTCTTTGAAGCCCTCCATTAGGAAGTTCTTTTTTACAGCTTCCTTAGTTTTCTGTGTATAGACACCGCCCATCTCCCCTCCAAGACTCCCCACACAAAGCATACATCCTTCACCTCTTCATAGCCTCCATGCCTAACACAGTGCCTAGCTGAGTCTATGTTTAGAAAACATTGGCTCCCTATCAAAGTTATTGAAACAGAAGAAAAAAAAAGAAAAAGAAAACATTGGCTCCCTTCCCCTGCCCTGAACCTGGATTCTCTGATTATCCACATTGCAGTAGATCCATTTCCTGGGAGCTGCAATGCGAGCACCTTTACCCACAAAACAGGGGATTGCAAGTGCAAATGCACAGGGGGTTGAGGCAGGTAACACAAAGGAGTGAAGCCAGCTTGGTGGGTCTCCAGGAACCCTCAAGCTCTACCTGAGTGGGCAGCTTAGCTCAGCTCCAGCCCAAGGGGGTCTTAGGAAACTATGGCCACAGTCCTGCCAGCACTTCCCTTGGTCAAAAGGAAGCAAAACTGGGTTTCTACGTGAGATTTCCAGTTGTCTGCATTTTTGGCATTTATCTTTTAAAAAAGACATTTTATGATCAAGTCAAATAAAACATAAGTCCAGGCTGCCTGTTTGCAAATTATGACTTTAGCATTTTCTTTGGTATCAGGTGAAAAGACCTCAGAAAGGGGCAGGGTGGGGAAGAGTAACCCACATATAAAGGGTTTTCAGGAGAGGGGCTCATGACATCCTTTCTCCATCTCCCTTTCATCTCCTCTCTTTGCAGCACCCTGTAGGGAGGAGACGTGGCACCTGAGTCCCTGCACTTCCTACTGGCCCCGTCGTGGCCTGGGTCCTATAGTACTACCTCCCACCCCTGTTTTCTTGGAGTCACAGCCTTACCACTCTCTTTCCTTCCTTGTGGGTAGATGAGAGGGAAAAAACATCAAGCCCCATACTTTCCATGGCTGGCAATGTTCCTCTCAAATGTCTTCTCAGCAAATCTCTGTGTTTTCAATTACCTCCTAACACACCTCTAGGGAGCCCAGCCAAGCAGGAGGATTAGTAGAATAATGACTTTAAATTATTTACTTCTTTCCCCCCTGTCTTTATTCTGTGGCAATATTGAATCTAATCCAGGTCCAGATGCATTGGATGATACATGACAGGTTATGGCTAATAACTGATCTCATTTTCAAATTAATATGCAAATTCCTCTTCAGAGCTGAGGAATTAAAAAAGCGAGTTGGGGACAGCTGGGAAGAGAGGAGTGTAAGTGTAGAAGAAGTGAGAAGGAAGAGGCAGATTCATAGTCCACCCTCCCACCCCCAGTCTAATCAGAATTTTTGCATGAGAGACAGGGAAGGGGAGATTTGATAACATGGAAAATCTTTGATGAACAGAGTCCCTGAGTGTACTAATGTCTCCCTCTACAGGGAGGCTACAGGATCTTGAGCATTAGAGCTGGAGAGGAATCCACACCCATTTCACAGATGAAGGAACTGAGGCCTGAAGTTACACAATGTGTTAGGAGCAAGGCTGTGGCTATAAACCAGAGTATTGGGGGGGTCCCTGTGCCAGCAGGAGGGTGGCAAGAGAGATCAGTCTTCTCCAGAGTAAGTACCAAGGGAAATGGGATTCATTCCACTCTAGACTCTGAAGATGCATCCCTTTTAGTTCAAGAAGCAGACCCTCTCTTGCATGAGATTCTCTCTAGGGCCATACAAAGTGTTTGCTCAGAGTACTGACCACTGCTAATAATTACTTGGTTTGGAGAACTGAATTAATTTATGAAGCCATGAATATGGGGCACACAACTGAGCACCTACCATGTGCCAGTCATTGTGCTAATCACTACAGACAGGTTTTTGCCCTATATATTAATCATCAACTCCACATAAGTGGGGAAACTGAGTCCCCGCAAGGTATAGTGACTTACCCCAGGGTGGAGATTTCATGGGAAGGCAGCTGTAGGTTCCAGGGCTCTTCAATCTGTCCCAATGCTCCCTCTGTCTCTCAGGCCTGCTGTTTGCTTTCAGGCCAGGAGCTCAGGGATGTGGTTGTACCCAGCATGGATTTCTTTAGCCTATTTTTAAAAAGCTAATGGAAAAACAAGTTGGCATCTTCCCAGATCACCCTGAAAGAGGGGTATTCGAGAGAAGAAGCCACTGGCAGCAGATGACCCATGGCCAGTGAAGAGGAAGCGGTGGGTCTCTAGCTGGGAGCTGGGCCCAAGCATGGAGCTTTCTCATGGCCCAAAGATTGACACCTCCAATGCTTCATTAGGCAGGATTGTCTCAGCAGGAACCTTCTTCCTTTAATCACTTAATTTTCACATTGGTTTCTTTAATGCATATTTACCCTCCTGTCTTTTCCCTTCTCTGGGCTGTAGTCTTTGCTGTCATTGTAACTGCATCTCAGATTTTAGGGCAATGGATGCTGAAGGAGGAGGCTGTGGAATGGAATGCAACAGGAGGCCAGACCAGGGGGCTCTTAGAGATTTTCTTGCTACCCTATTTCAAACTCAGGATCCTCTTCAGGAAGCAATGGCTCAGGGGCCAGATTCCCAGAGGAAGGTGGGGAAGAAGGGACGAGATGGAGATTCTCAGGTTGTGCTGTTCAATGTGATAGGCACTAGCCACACGGGGCTAGTCACACTTGTATTTAAATTAATTAAAACTTAATAAAATTAAAAATTCAGTTCTTCAGTCATACTAACATTCACAATAGTGTTCAATAGCCATATGTGGCTAGTGGCGAATATGTATTAGCATGACTAGAGCATTTCCGTCATCACAGAAAGTTACTGGCAGCACCATTCTAAGCTCTGTTCTGGGTCTTAAGCAGAACAGAGAACATGGTTTGATTGCTAAGAGTCCTTTTTGGTTCTCTGTGCCCTAAATCCACTTGCATCACCCAGCTCAGGGCTCTACCTGTGGTGGGGCTTGGTACTTGGCACTCCATTGCCTAAAACCAGAAGAGGAGACAAAGTGTTTATTCACCCAAGAGTCAGGCCATCTATATTTCAGCAAGAGTAACCCACATGTAACCGGCTGTTAAAGGTAAAAGCTCTTCCACTGGTCTTCTGAACAATCTTGGGAATGGAGGGTCCCTTGGACTAAGGGGGGTTTCAAAGTAAGGAGAACAGAGAACACCAAAAATGAGGTGGTCTTGGGCTTCCACCAGGTGGGAGTTGTCCCCTGCTGATCCTTTCCTTACAAAATAAAGGAGTTTCCTAAAGAGCAGGACCACTGCACTAAGGGAGCCAGCACTAAGGAGAATGGGCAAAGGGAGGAAGGGAAGAAGAGAGGGGGGAAAAGGAGGAGTTAGAAAGCCAGGGAGGGTCCTGACAGGCACACAATCCCTCAAGCATGCCCAGCTCTTTTGACAGACCTCACACTTTCCACAGCCTCATGTGGTGCTCACAGTACACTGATGAGGAGCAAGGACACCTTTCGCTGTTGCACGCACTGGGCAGATGAGGAAACAGAGGCTCAGAGATGTTAAGGAACTTGACCAAATGAGCCTCCTGCACCAAGTGACAGTCCTCTTGTTGTGCCTCATGTGTCTCTCTCCTTGACTCCTCCTCAGCCACCATGAGGGAGGCTGCAAGCCCACTTCTGGGCACTGAGGATGGTGAGTGGCAGGTGGCTGCAGGAGCTGTGTGTAGACTGTGCATGCGGCAGCAGGAATTATTTGCAGGCTGAGAGCGGAAAGCCATTTAGCAGTGGAAGCAGCAGGTGAGACAGCAGGAGCAAGGAGCTGCAGAAATAAAGCCATGGAGTGGAGGGGTGCAAACAAGAGCACAGGAGAGATGAGCTCAGCACTGAAGAGGCCAGGGGAGAAAGGGAGGGTGAGCAGCCAAGGGCAGTGGGGTCTGAGGGGGAGACTCCTCACAACCTGACACTGTGTCACCTGCCATGTCAGGCCAGGGCAGACACCATAGTGGGAGAGCCAAGGGCACTGTGCCCCAAGGCAGTACCTTCACCAAACCTACCCATGGGTCTAGCTGGCCACTGCGCAGAGAAGCCAGGATGATGCTACAATGACCTGGGTGGTGAGCAGTGGGCTTTTCAGAAACTTCTAGGTATAAATTTATTTTCTGGGTAATTATGTTAGTATCAATGAAATTCCTTTCTGTTACAAGTTGTATAGCAGGTTAATTATCCAAGTTCCCCTTCACTCCAAAATAGGGGGCTGGTTATCTTGACTTTCAAACATTTTTTGCAGTGATCCAAGCAAGACATGTATTTGACATTATGACCCAGTGCGTACACACACACACACACGCACACACATGCTCATATACACACCTATGAATGGAGACAGCAGTTCCTCAAAACAATACTCTATCAAGACATACTTTCACAGTCTCTTTTTCTCTTCTTTTGTCTCATTTCTCTTCTTTCCTTCCCTTCCATTTGATTTCATTTGGAAAAACGCCAGTCATAACCCATTACATTGATTTTGGGTCCTCCTCACTAATGGGTCTTGACCTGCAGTTCAAAAAAACACTGATCCTGATAGATAAATTATATAAAAACCTCTTACTGCCCTTCCCTTTTTTTTGAGATGGAGTCTTGCTCTGTCACTCAGGCTAGAGTGCAGTGACACAAACTCAGCTCACTGCAACCTCCGCCTCCCAGGTTCAAGCAATTCTCCTGCCTCATCCTCCTGAGTAGCTGGGATTACAGGCACTTATCACCATGCCTGGCTAATTTTTGTATTTTATTAGAGACAGGGTTTCACCATGTTGGCCAGGCTGGTCTCGAACTCCTGACCTCAGGTGATCTGCCCGCCTCAGCCTCCCAAAATGCTGGGATTACAGGTGTGAGCCACCATGCCCAGCCTGTGCTTCCCTCTTATTAGGCTGCCTATGTGACACCTTCTGTTAGGAAGATGCAATCTCTGGAAATGTGTGCTGCATAGAACACCAGGTGAGGGTCTATGGAGGTTTCTGAAGCATTAGGGAAGAAATATCTCACCATTTTTTGTTCTCAAACAGTGATGCAATTGACATTTATACAAGGGACAGTCTATTCCCTGGCATGTGGATTGGCTTTTACCGCAAAATGTATAAAACAGGACAATGCGGATAGTCATTAGACCCCCGGTACATGTGTGCTCAGCACTCCACCAGGCACTTTACGGGTTTTATTTCATTTACTCTTCACTACAATTCTATAAAGTCAATATCATTAGTCCCATTTTACAGGTGAAAAAAATAGAGCTCAGGGAATACAAGCAACTGGTCTAGAGTCACATAGAGGCAGAGTTGGGATTTAAACCCAGGACTGTATATATTGTCTTGGGAGCATTAAATTTTTGAGTGGTTGAACATCAGCATTGTTCTAGATAACAAAAATGTCAGTATCTTGTGTTCAGTGTCCTCCCCTCCACAAACACACAGAAAAACATTATTCAACCAAATCTGCATATAATTGTCCAATTTTTTATGGCATGGAAATGAGGCTTATTGAGTCTACCTGTATAGGTCTCCACGTGTCCCTTCTGAGAGGAAAATGGGGGAGGTGTCAGATGATTGGCAACCTCCAAAGGGAATTTGAAAGAGGCCAGCAGTCTCCTTCTGATTTAGGAAGGCCTGCTGTGTGGGCACTACAGGTCAGCTTGCTCGCCCTCCATCCTGCCCTTCTTCTAGGCTGTCTTCTTGCACTTTAAGGGCTGGAAAGCTAAGAATTACATTCCTCAGACTTCTTTTTTTTTTTAATATACTTTAAGTTTTAGGGTACATGTGCCCATTGTGCAGGTTAGTTACATATGTATACATGTGCCATGCTGGTGTGCTGCACCCACTAACTCGTCATCTAGCATTAGGTATATCTCCTGATGCTATCCCTCCCCCCTCCCCCCACCCCACAACAGTCCCCAGAGTGTGATATTCCCCTTCCTGTGTCCATGTGATCTCATTGTTCAATTCCCACCTATGAGTGAGAATATGCGGTGTTTGGTTTTTTGTTCTTGCGATAGTTTACTGAGAATTATGATTTCCAATTTCATCCATGTCCCTACAAAGGACATGAACTCATCATTTTTTATGGTTGCATAGTATTCCATGGTGTATATGTGCCACATTTTCTTAATCCAGTCTATCATTGTTGGACATTTGGGTTGTTTCCAAGTCTTTGCTATTGTGAATAATGCCGCACCAGTTAGAATGGCAATCATTAAAAAGTCAGGAAACAACAGGTGCTGGAGAGGATGTGGAGAAATAGGAACACTTTTACACTGTTGGTGGGACTGTAAACTAGTTCAACCATTGTGGAAGTCAGTGTGGCAATTCCTCAGGGATCTAGAACTGGAAATACCATTTGACCCAGCCATCCCATTACTGGGTATATACCCAAAGGACTATAAATCATGCTGCTATAAAGACACATGCACACGTATGTTTATTGCGGCATTATTCCTCAGACTTCTTTGTAGTGATTTTTCTACGTATCTATTAAGCTCTCTAATGAAATGTTTTTACATAAGACTTGGGAGACAAAGTGAGGTAGAGGCCACCTTGCTGCTGCTTTTGATTATATTTCTGCTAGAAAGAGAGGTTGAGGAGATGTGGCTTTTATTTTTCCTCTGCAGCAGCTTCCCAGTGCCCGCTTTTTTTTGGGTGTGGAGAAGCAGTTGTAGTGGACACAGTTGCTGAAAATCACATTCCAGACCCACCCACCAGCTTTGAGAGCAGTAAAACAGACAGGCACAGGGCACAGCTGTGGGGTTGCTTTCCTGGATTCCTGAGCCCTGAATCATGGCTTAGTGTGATCTTAAACTCAACAGCTTAGAGGTGCCCTAGAAGGAGCAGCTCCATTGACAAGTCAGCTTTGCAGTGTTCCAAGGGGCATCCCTGGACCCAACCTGAAACCCATAGGGTTCTAGTCCTCCTAAAGATTTTTAGGCACCTAATTCCATGCCTCTAATATCTTTCCATTTGAAATACCTAGAGATGTTTTCCATTTCTTTCACAGAACTTGACTGATATATTTCCTTGACTCCCTGAGTATCCAACCGTCTTCAATACATGGAAAGGGAAAGGAAAACTCTTTCAGACAAGAACATCCACCCTACTTTAAGGGGCTGAGATTTGGTTCAGAAGCCCACTCAGTTGATTGCTTTGGCTCATTGATTTCTACAAAGTTATAGACTTCTTGTTCACAAATGAAAATGCTCTGTTTCATGAATGTGTTGGTTGATTTTGTTAGTAAGAATCCTGTTCAGTATCAGGGAAGCTTCAGACACTTAGATAGGTATTCCTTCTCCTACTGGGCAGTTCTGAGCTCTAGAAGGCTTTCTGTGGGAGCAGGGTGTTCCCAGGGAAAGTCTCAAGTCCTGCTTTCCAGCCCTGAAGATAACAGTGTGTTGCTTCTCCCCACTGAGCCGTCAAAAGCCATGACAGATATCTTTTATTCCCTGAGGTCCTAGGAGTGGTTTGTAGGTTACCCAAGGAAGATCTTGTTTGTCCCCAGGATGGGGAGGAGCAGTGAGGCCTGAGTGGTTGGATTCCCTGCCCAGGGATGGTCCCGTATGGATATGGCTGGCTGGTGTGAGGAGGGGGCATTTAACACAGGAATCCTGCACTTCAATCATGAGAAGAGTTACTGAGCATGGCAGCCAGCACCATTTCACAGAGGAGCAAAATAAAACTCAAAGAGGAGAAGGGACTATTCCAGGTCCCACCATGAGTCAGTGGGAGAATAATGACAACAGCCCAGAACTCCTGACTCCAAAATAATTGTTCTTCCTACCCCAGTACACCAACCACCCGTTTACCCAGAAAAGACAACAGACAGACATCACTTTTGGAGGGTGTGACTGGGGACATGGCTATCACTGAGGTAAAGCTGATATGTGAGTTAGCTGGCGAACTTCCCTGCCTCCATTTTAGGCAATGAGGTGCATCCATCAGTATCCTTACAGCAAACAGGTGGCACCCTGAAATTGGGTTGCTTGGGGAAAATTTAGTGAAGAGACAGTATAAGTCAGCATTCTCCAGAGAAACAACCAATAGAATAGCTAGCTAGCTAGATTGCTAGATAGATAGATAGATAGATAGATAGATAGATAGATAGATAGATAGATAGATAGGAAATTTACTATGGGAAGTGTCTCACATGATTATGAATGCTGAGAAGTCCCACAATCTGCCATCTGCAGGCTGAAGAACCAGGAAAGCTGGTGGGATAATTCAGTCAGAATCCGAAGGCCTGAGAATCAGGAGCTCTGACATCTGAAAGCAGGAAAACTAGATGTTGCAGCTCAAGAAAAAAGAGAGAATTTGCTCTACCTATGCCTTTTGTTCTATTCAAGACCTTAACAGATTGGATGATGTCCACTCACACTGGTGGGAGCAGATCTTCTTTACTCAGTCTCCTTATTTAAATGCTAATTTCTTCCCAAAACACCCTCACAGGCAGACCCAGATAGAATGTTTCACAAGCTATCTGGGCATCCCATAGCCCAGTCAAGTTGACACATAAAACAAACCATCACAAGGACATTTACAAAGCTGTTGGTAGAGTGTGGAAAATAATAAAAGATGGTTCAGTTGTCCAGGGAGGGCATTTCCATTTCCACCTGAGGCCTAGAGGGTCAAAAGGAGGGGGAATAGTACTTGGAGCTTAGAGAGACAGTGAGCTGTGTGGGAAGGCCATGTCAAAGGATCTGTGACCTGCAGTCAAGGGATGTGGCCAGCCTACAGCATCCCCTCTTTCTACCTACCTCCTTAGGTTGTCCAATGATTCAAGCAATGTTCTTTCTCCCATCACATTTTCAACAAGGGTGCCCAGTTTATTCAAGGGCAAATAATAGTCTCTTCACCAAATGATGCTATGTAGGACAACTGGATTTCAAAATGCAAAAAAAAAAAAAAAAAAAAAAAAAAAGTTGGGCACCTACCTCATACCATATGGAAAAATTAACTCAAAATGGATCAATGACTACAATATAAGAGCTAAACTCATACAATTTTGAGAGAGAGAGACTCAGGTGTAAATCTCTATGACCTTGGATTTGGTAATGGTCTCTTAGATATTAGACCAAAAGAATGAGCAGCAAAAGAGAAAATTGAACTTCATAAAAATTAAAAACTTTTATGCATCAAAGGACATAAATTAAAAAGTGGAAAGATAACTTACAGAATGGGAGAAAATACTTGAAAATCATGTATTGAATAAGGTTTTAACATCCAGAATATAAAAAAGACTCATAAGAAAAGACAACCCAATTTTACAAATGGGCAAATGACTTAGATATTTCTCCAAGGAAAATATACAAATGGCCAATAAGCAAATGAAAAGATGTTCAACATCTTTTGTCTTGAGGTAAATGTAAGTCAAAATCACAACGAGATACCACATCTCACATATTAGAACAATAATAATACAGAAAACAAGTGTTGGTGAAGACTTGGAGAAATTGGTACTCTTGTATATTGCTAGAGGAATGATACAGCTGCTGTCAAAATAGTTGGCAGTTTCTCAATAAGTTAAACATAGACTTACAATATGACCCAGCAATTCTACTCCTGGATATATACCTAAAAGAATTAAAAAGAGACTCAAACAGATAACTTATATGTCAATGTTCATTGCAGTATTACAATAGCAAAACAAACCGAACCCCAAAACAACTACAACAAAACCTCAAGTGTTCATCAAGAGTGGATAATAAAATGATAGTACAGTCTTCCCTCCGTATCCACTGGAGATTGGTTCCAGAACATCCAAAGATACCAAAATCCATGGATGCTCAAGTACCAGATATAAAACAGCAGGGTATTTGCATGTAACCTAGGCATCTCCTTCCTTATGCTTTAAATTATCTCTAGATTACTTATAATACCCAATACAATGTAAATGCTAGGTAAATAAGTGTTATGCTACATTTTTTTATTTGCATTATATTTTATTGTGCTGTTATTTTTATTTTTATTTTTTAACATTCAGGTTTGGGGGTACATATGAAGGTTTGTTACATAGGTAATTTCATGGGGGTTTGTTATACAGATTATTTCATCACCCAGGAATTAAGACCAGTACTCTATAGTTACCTTTTCTCCTCCTCTTTCTCCTCCCACCCTCCACCCTCAAGTAGATCCAGTGTCTGTTGTTTCCTTCCTTGTGTTCATAAGTTCTCATCACTTAGCTCCCACTTGTAAGTGAGAACATGTGGTATTTGGTTTTCTGTTCCTTCATTAGTTTGCTAAAGATAATAACCTCCTCTTCCATCCATGCTCATGCAAAAGACATGATCTCATTCTTTTTTATGGCTGCATAGTATTCCATGGTGTATATGTACCACATTTTCTTTATTCAATCTGTCATTAATGGGCATTTAGGTTGATTCCATGTCTTTGCTATTCTGAATAGTGCTGCAATGAATATTTGTGTGCATGTGTCTTTATGGTAGAATGATTTATATTCCTCTGGGTATATACCCAGTAATGGGATTGCTAGGTCAAATGGTAGTTCTGCTTTTAGCTCTTTGAGGAATCACTATCCTGCTTTCCACAATGGTTGAACTAATTTACATTCCCACCAACAGTGTATAAGTGTTCCATTTTCTCTGCAACCTTGCCAGCATCTGCTATTTTTTGACTTTTTAGTAATAGCCATTCTGACTGGTGAGAGATGGTATCTCACTGTGGTTTTGATTTGCATTTCTCTAATGACCAGTGATACTGAACTTTTTTTCACATTTGTTGGCTGCATTGTATGTCTTCTTTGTAAAAGTATCTCTTCATGTCCTTTGCTCATGTTTTAATGGGGTTGCTTTCCTCTTGTAAATTTAAGTCCCTTTTAAATGATGAATATAGACCTTTGTCAGATATATAGTTTGCAAATATTTTCTCCCATTCTGTAGGTTGTCTGTTCACTCTGTTGATAGTTTATTTTCCTGTGCAGAAGATCCTAAATACAACTAGATCCCATTTGTCAATTTTTGCTTTTGTTGTGATTGCTTTTAGTGTCTTTGTCATGAAATCTTTGCCCATTCCTGTGTCCAGGATGATATTGCCTAGGTTGTCTTCCAGGTTTTTTATAGTTTTGCATTAAGTCTTTAATCCATCTTGACTTAGTTTTTGTATATGCTATAAGGAAGGGGTCCAGCTTCAGCCTTCTGTATATGGGTAGCCAGTTATCCCAGCACCACTTATTGAATAGGGAGTCTTTTCCCCATTGCTTGTTTTTGTCAGCTTTATTGAATATCAGGTAGTTGTAGGTATGTTGCTTTATTTCTGGGCTATCTATTCTGTTTCATTGGTCTATGTGCCGGTTTTTCTACCAGTACCATGCTCTTGTGGTTACTGCAGCCCTGTAGTGTAGTTTGAAGTCAGGTAGTGTGATGCCTCCAGCTTTTTTTCTTCTTGCTTTGGATTACCTTGGCTATTCAGGCTCATTTTTGTTCCATAAGAATTAAAATTTTTTTTTTCTAGTTCGTGAAGAATGTTGTTGGTAGTTTGATAGGAACAGCATTGAATCTGTACATTGCTTTGGGCAGTGTGGCCATTTTAATGACATTGATTCTTCCTATCTATGAACATGAAATGTGTTTCCATTCGTTTGTGTTTTCTCTGATTTCTTTGAGCAGTGTTTTGTAATTCTCATTGTAGAGATCTTTCACCTCCCTTGTTGGCTGTATTCCTTGCTATTTTATTCCTTTTGTGGCAATTGTGAATGGGATTGCATTTCTGATTTGACTCTTGGCTTTGCTGTTGTTGGTGTGTAGGAAGGCTAGTCATTTTTGTACATTGATTTTGTATGCTGAAACTTTGCTGAAGTTGTTTTTCAGCTGAAAGAGCTTTTGGGCTGAGACTATGGCATTTTTTAGATATTGAATCATGCCATATGCAAACACAGATAGTTTGACTCCCTCTCTTCCTATTTGGATGCACTTTACTTTTTTTCTCTTTCCTGATTGCTCTGGCTAGGACTTCCAATACTATGTTGAATAGGAGGGGTGAGAGAGGGCATTCTTGTCTTGTGCCAGTTTTCAAGGGGAATGTTTCCAGCTTTTGCCCATTCAGTATAATGTTGGCTGTGAGTTTGTCATAGATGGCTCTCATTATTTTGAAGCATGTTCCTTCAATACCTAGTTTATTGAGAGTTTTTAACATGAAGAGGTATTCAAAGCCTTTTCTGCATCTATTGAGATAGTCATATGTTTTTTGTCTTTAGTTCTGTTTATGTGATGAATCACATTTATCGATTTGTGTATGTTAACACAACCTTGTATCCCAGAGATGAAGCCTTCTTGATCATGGTGGATTAGCTTTTTGATGTGCTGCTGGATTTGGTTTGCAAGTATTTTGTTGAGGATTTTTGTATCAATGTCCATCAAGGATATTGGCCTGAAGTTTTTTTTGTTGTTGTTGTTCTGTCTCTGTCAAGTTTTAGTATCAGGATGATGCTGGCTTTATAGAATGAGCTGGGGAGGAGTCCCTCCTCCTCAATTTTTTTTGTATAGTTTCTGTAAGAATGGTACTAGCTCTTCTTTGTACATCTGGTAGAATTTAGCTGTGAATCTATCAGGTCCTCAGCATTTTTTGGTTGGTAGGCTATTTATTACTGATTCAATTTCAGAGCTCATTATTGGTCTGTTCAGGAAATCAGTTTCTTCATGATTCAGTCTTGGGAGGGTGTATGTATTCTGGAATTTATCCATCTCTTCTAGGTTTTCTAGTTTGTGTGCATAGAGGTGTTCATAATAGTTCCTGATGGTTATTTTTATTTCTGTGAGGTCAGTGGTAACATTCCCTTCATCATTTCTAATTGTGTTTATTTGGGTCTTCTCTCTTTTCTTCTTTATTAGTCCAGCTAGTGGCCTTATTAATTTTTTCAAAAAAAAAAAACCTCATGGATTCATTGATCTTTTGAATGGTGTTTCATGTCTCAATTTCCTTCAGTTCAGCTCTGATTTTTGTTATTTCTTGTCTTCTGTTGGCTTTGGGTTGATTTATTCTTGCTTCCCTAATTCTTTCAGTTGTGATGTTAGGCTATTAATTTGAGATCTTTCTAACTTTCTCATGTAGGCATTTAATGCTATGAATTTCCCTCTTAACACTGCCTTAGCTGTGTCCCAGAGATTATGGTATGTTGTATCTTTGTTCTCATTATTTTCAAAGAACTCCTTGATTTCTGCCTTAATTTTATTATTTATCCAAAAGTCATTCAGGAGCATGTGGTTTAATTTCCATGTAATTGCATGGTTTTAAGCAATTTTTTTAGTCTTCACTTTTATTTTTATTGCACTGTGGTTCAAGAATGTGTTTGGTATGATTTCAGTTCTCTCACCTTCACTGAAGATTGTTTTATATCTAATTATGTTGTCAGTTTTAGGGTATAGGCTATGTGCAATAAGAATGTATATTCTGTTGTTTGGGGGTAGAGAGTTCTGTAGAAGTCTATCGGATCCATTTGATTCAGTGTCGAGGTCAGGACCTGAATATCTTTGCTAATTGTCTACCTCCATGATCTCTCTAATACTGTCAGTGGAGTGGTGAAGTCTCCCACTATTATTGTGTGGGGTCTGTGTCTCCTTGTAGATCTCTAAGAACTTGCTTTATGAATCTGGGTGCTCCTGTGTTGAGTGCATATGTATTTAGGATAGTTAGATCTTCTTGTCGAGTTGAACCCTTTACCCTCATTATCTTTTTTTATCTTTGTTGGTTTATAATCTGTTTTGTCTGAAATTAGGATTGCAACCCCTGCTTTTTTCTGTTTTCCATTTGCTTGGTAGATTTTCCTCCACCCCTTTATTCTGAGCCTGTGAGTGTCATTTTGTGTGAGATACATCTCTTGAAGACAACATACCATTGGGTCTTGCTTTTTTATCCAGCTTGCCACTCTGTGCCTTTTAAGTAGGGCATTTAGCCCATTTACATTCAAGGTTAGTATTGATATGGGTGGATTTGATCCCGTCATTGTGTTGTTAGCTCATTATTATGTTGGCTTGTTTATGTGGTTCCTTTATAGTGACACTGGTCTGTGTGTTTAAGTGTGTTTTTGTATTAGTTGTTAGCAGTCTTTCTATATTTAGTGCTTCTTTCAAGATCTCTTGTAAAGTAGGTCTGGTGGTAACAAAGTCCCTCAACATTTGCTTATCTGAGAAGGATCTTATTTCTCCTTTGCTTAGGAAGCTTGGTGTGGCTGAATATGAAATTCTTGGTTGAAGATTTTTTTTCTTTAAGAATGTTGCAGATAGGTCCCCAGTCTTTTCTGGCTTGTAGGGTTTCAGCTGAGAGGTCCACTGTAAGCCTGATGGTGTTCCCTTTGTAGGAGACCTGCCCTTTCTCTTTAGCTGCCTTTAATATTCTTTCATTTTGACCTTGGAAAATCTGACGATTATGTGTCTTGGGGATTATCTTGGGTAGAATCTTGCAGGAGTTCTCTGTATTTCCTGAATTTGACTGCTGGCCTCTGTAGCAAAGTTGGGGAAGTTTTCATGGATGATATTCTGAAACATGTTTTCCAAGTTCTTTGTTTTCTCCCTCTCCCTTTCAGGGATGCCAGTGATTCAGAGATTTTGCCTCTTTACATAATCTCATACTTCTCAGAGGTTTTTTTCATTCACTTTTACTCTTTTATTTATTTTTGTCTGACTGTCTTATTTCAGAGAAACAGTCTTCAAGTTCTGATACTCTTTCTTCAGATTGGTTTATTCTACTGTTAATATTTGTGATTGCATTGTGAAATTCTTGTATTATGTTATCAGACCCATTCCATTTTTTTTTATACCAGCTATTTTGTGTTTCAGCTCCTGTATTGCTTTATTGTGATTCTTATTTTACTTGGACTGGGTATTGCCATCCTCCTTAATCTCAGCGGTCTTTGTTCCTATTCACATTCTGAATTCTATTTCTGTTATTCTAGCCAGTTCTGCCTGGTTAAGAATTCTTGTTGGAGAACTGGCATGGTTATCTGGAGGACATACAACACACTGGCCATTTGAGTTGCTGGAGTTCTTGTGTTGGTTCTTTCTCATCTCTACATGTGGGTGTTCCTTTAACTGCAGTGTAGATTGAGTACAGTCAATAGACTTCTAATGTTTTCACTGGGCAAAGGCTTTGCGTGCAGGATTTTT
Organism: Homo sapiens; assembly: GCF_000001405.40. Taxonomy (NCBI): domain Eukaryota; kingdom Metazoa; phylum Chordata; class Mammalia; order Primates; family Hominidae; genus Homo; species Homo sapiens. The sequence goes on along the minus strand of NC_000006.12, from coordinate 40,236,537 downwards.
ATTTGAAGCTGACATCTTGTCTCTGGTTTCAGATGGGGCTATGTTAGTGAGGTATTTTTGGCGTTGAAGCCTAAGAGTGTGATCCAGTAGGTGTCACTTAGGCTTACTGGTCAGTTAGTAGACTCTTGCTCAGTTGTGTGGCTCCCCTATGTTTCCTCACAGTTACAGCTGTGTTCCCTCTCAGTGTTCTGAAAGTGTGGGTTCCTCTCCCTCTTGAGTGCTGGCTATAGATGGTGGCTTGGCACTCCTGGGCTGCCCACTGCAGCTCTGGAGTGATGTCAGGGTTTATGCTCCTTCCCTAACTTGGAGGCAGCAAAGGCAGGGACCTTAGTAGTGGTTGTGGCCAAGGGTCTTTTGCTTGTCTCCTGGGGGCTCTACCCCAGAGAGATGCAAGTCAGCAATCAATCAGTGCAATCAGTCCATGACGGAGCATTTGTGCTGGGGGCCCTGGCTAGGGGCTCCCTGTTGGTGATGAACAGTGGTGGGAAGGGGAATGATGAAAGACAGACTGGCCTTATTCCTTGGGTTGACTGCAGCTTGTTAGAGGTGTGGATAAAGCACTTAGAGTCTTTGCTCCCCTGTTAGTCTGAGGTTAGCAAGGGCAGTTCCACCACAGAGGCAGTGGCATACAGGCTTTTAGTTGACCCTGGAGGCTCTGTCAACTCAGGAGTTTCTGAGTTGCTGTTGCCTCAATAGCTCTGCTGGGGTGGCTGGAGGCCCAGACCTGGAGGACCTACCTGGTGGAGATATGGAAACAGGCAACCATGTAATAGTCTGACCACTTTTCTGGAGGGCTGCTGAGTTATGCTGGGTGCCTGCTCCAGTCCCTAGTTGCTTCAAATTTTTTAGTACCTGGAGGTATCCCCAGTGAAGACTACAAAACAGCAAAGATGGTGGCTTACCCCTCCCTCTGGGAGCTCCACCCTAGGAAGGTATGGACCTACTGCAGTCCCAAACACACCTGTAGGAAGTGGCTGGAGACTGCAGTTGGAAGATCCTGCCCAATGAGGAGGAAGTAGATCAAGGACTCACTTAAAAAAGCAGTATGGCCACATTTTTATAAAGCAGCTGTGTTGTGCTGAGGGTCCACTTCAGCCCCGGTTGCCTCATATGCTCCAAAGCTTGAAGGCTGGAATAGCCAAGTCACCCAAACAGCAAAGATGGGGGCCCACCCCTCCCTCGGGGAGCTCTAACCCAAAGAGGTTTGAAACCTCTATCAGCCAGAGAATACCGATGGGGGCAGCTGGAGACCCCATTTGGGAGGCCCCAACTGGTGATGAAGAACAGGATCAGGGACCTCTTTAAAAAGGCAGTTTGACCACATTTTCATAGGGCAGCTGTGCTGTGCTGTGCTGGGGGTCCACTTCAGCTCCGCGTTGCCTTGGACTTTCCAAAATCTGAAGGTCAGAATAGCTAAGTCACCCAAACAGCAAAGATGGTGGCCTGCCCCTCCCTCTGGGAGCCCCATTCCAGGGAGGTTTCAAATTTCTGTTGGCTGGAGAACACTAGTAGGGGTGGCTGGAGGCACTTGTTGGGAGATCCCACCCAATGAGGAGGAATGGGATCAAGGACTTGATTAGAAAAGCAGTCTGGCCACATTTATATAGAGCTGCTGTGCCGTGTTGGGAGATCCCTTCTGTCCCTGGTCAGCTTGGACTCTCCAAAGCCCAAAGGCTGGAATGGCTAAGTCGCACAAACAACAAAGATGGTGGCCTGCCCCTCCCCCAGGAGCTCCATCCCAGCAAGGTATAACACTTCTGCCAGTGGCTGGCTAGAATTCCAAGCCAGTGGGTCTTATCCTGCGAGGTGCCATAGAAGTGGGGACTGCAGACTGTTGCTGCTCAGCCCCCCGGATTCAGCCTAATTCCTATGGGTAAGTGCAGGAGTCTAACCTCCTACTTTGCCAAAGTTGCAGCTACTTTTTCTGGGAAGTCCAGAGAGCCCAAGTTTCTAAGGCTCCTGGGTCTCCACGTATGCCTGAGCAGCTGCTCTGCTGAGATTCCACGTAGCTCTGAAGGCCCTGGTAGAGTGGGTTCAAGAGGGGATCTCCTGACCTGAGGGTTGCAAAGATCCATGGGAGAGGCATGGGTTCCCAGGGTTGCACATTCACTCACTGCTTCCCTGGGTAGGGGGAGGTTCCCTTGGCTCTGTGTTGCTCCTGGGTGGACTATTGTCCTGCCTTGCTTTTCTCCATTCTCCGTGGGTCAGGTTGTTTCCTTAATTAGTCCCAGTGCGAGTACCTGGATGTTTCTGTTGAAGATGCTATATTTACTCACTCCTTCCATTTTGCTCTGCGACAGCCATGCACACTAGCTGTTTCTAGTAAGTCATCTTGGCCACCTCCCCCTTTTATCATTTTGAAAAATATTTTCAGTTCACAGTTGGTTGAATCCATGGATGCAGAACCATGGGTATGAAGGGCTGACTGTATAGACATAAAATTGAATATTATTCAGCTATAAAAAAAGAATAAAGTTCTAATATAAGCTACGACATGGATGAACCTTGAAAATACTAAATGAAATCAGACACAAAATGACAAACATATGATTCCACTTATGTGAAATATCTAAAATAGGCAAATTTATTAGAGACCAAGTAATAAATTAGAGGTTACCAGAGACTGGGAGGAGGAGAAGATATAAATTTATTGCTTGATGGATACAGACTTTTTATTTAGGGTGATAGAAAAGTTTTGGAAACTGGGCATGGTGGCTCATGCCTGTAATCCCAGCACATTGGGAGGCCGAGGCGGGTGGATCACTTGAGGTCAGGAGTTTGAAACCAGCCTGGCCAACATGGTGAAACCCTGTCTCTACTAAAAATAAAAAAAAAAATTAGCCAGACGTGGTGGTGGGCACCTCTAATCCCAGCTACTCAGGAGGCTGAGACACGAGAATCACTTGACCTTGAGAGGCAGATGTTGCAATGAGCTGAGGTTGAACTACTGCACTCCAGCCTGGGTGACAGAGCAAGACTCCCTCTCAAAAAAAAAAAAAAAAAAAAAAACCAACAACAACAACTTTGGAAATAGATAAAAATGATGGTTGTATAATATTGAAAATGTAATTAATACTACAGAATTGTACACTTAAAAATGGTTAAAATGTTATATTTTATAAGATATATATGTATATATGTGAGACTATGTAATGTATGTATAGGTGTGAGATATATATGAGACTATATTCTTTTTCACATTTTTTAAAGAAAGAGTGCAATATTGAGCTGGAGACTACTGTGGGAAACTGGGGTTCAATCTTAGGGAATCATGTAGAATATGCCTCAGAATTGGCCATTTGAAGGATGAAAATCTAGGATATTTGTCCACTAGCTTCTGTTCCCCATTAGTTGAGAGTTGCCCTTGGGATTGCAACCTCTCCCACATTTTTTGTCTGTGCCTAGGCATGGGCTAAGTTCCATAGCTTCTGAGAAAGACCAGAAGCAGAAAAGCAGAAATATTTTTCTGTGCCCTAAGGCAAGACTCTGTTCCCACAAATGTGCTGAAATCAGTGATGTGAGGCACAGTAAACTCCTACAGATCACATCCTCCCCCAGGTCCAGAAACCCCTTCAATCTGCAGTGCCCTTTTGAAGGAAGCAGCGGGTGGTTTCACCAGTGAGAAATTTGCACATTCTTAGAACCCAAGAAGATGACTGGGGGCTTTCATGCCTGCTGACATCTTAGGAGAAATAGACCAATGGGCTGAGTCATTGGGGGAGACTGCTCAGGGTTCTCTGAGCAACATCACCAGCATGTGGTCATTAGCGTAACATCACCTATGGCACAGAGGGTGTCCATTTGAAATCCAGCCCCCTCTGGGGTTCTTCTCTTTCAGGTGCCATGACATCAATTTTCTTCCACTTCTGCACACCTGCATCTTATAAATCCAATAACAAAATAAGACTCCCCAGAGAAATGTCTTCCTAGAAAGTAACAAAATGATTACGAGATCTCCATGTGGGAGAATAGAGACTTCCCGTTGAAAGCCAGTGTTCCATTAGGACAAAATCTTGTACAAGATCTTGTACTTTATTTGGGTGATGGGGAACAAAGGCCAGTTTGTAAATCTAACTCCCTTTGGAAATCAGCATTACCATCACAGATAGGGATATTAAAGTGACAGAATTGATGGGATGAATAATCTCCTGGGCATGGGCTAGTGGAAAACACCATAGAAATTGAGGTCAGGCTGCCACGGCCACCGTGTTGCTGAGCTATCTGAGCACATCCCTTCCCTTCTCTGAACCTCAGTTCTCCCACCTGAAAAGGGCAGGAATTAAGTGACATTGCTTCTGTAGTCCTTTCTAGCACTATTCTTCAATGACAGGATGTTTATCTATATCTACCCTGGCATGTCTATCTGACTTACAAATTTGTTGAGACTGAATCTCCCTTTGCCAAAGTTTTGGGGAAATGAGTTTTTGTCCTTTATCATCTCCCTTGATTAGTATTGACTAAGCGCCTACAAGCACTCTGGGCTGAGATCCTGGCTTTGACCCCTGCAAACTCCTGTCATCAAGAGGAAAGACAGGTCCATGTGGGGCACAGATTAATCTTTCTTGCCCTTTTCCATCTTCTTTGTGAGGTGTAGTTAGAGCACAATTTTATGAGTTTGCATGTGGGTGAAAGTAGTAGAAAGGACTAGTCACTAGGTGTTAAAATCTTTGTCAGAAGTAGCATGGAATAGCAGACAAGAAAATCATAAAAACAGTAAGATTTGTAGTTAGAGAAAAGCAAGTTCAAATCATGGCTCTGCTGCTTACTAGCTTTATATTTTTGAGAAAATTATTCACAACCTCAGTATCTTCATTGTACAATGTGGATAACTCTAGTTGCATTTAGGATTAGCAATTAGGTATTTGAATACCTGATGAATATAAGATGTTCAATAACTGTAAGCTATTATTATTTTGAGGTAGAAATTGTAATCTTTTGGTTGCAAGCAACAAAAACTGACTAGCTAGGTTAAATTAAAAAAAGAACTTTTGTCTGAAGGACACTGGAATAGCTGACAAAAATCAAAGGAATAGCGAAATACCAGGATGCAGAATGGGCAGATAACAGGACTACTTCAAGGATCTAAGCAGCGGGAGGAGTGAAATTTTTCTCAAGAAACCGCTTTTGAAAAAGTCAGCTCCAACAATTCCTGGAGGGCACATAACAGAGTACAGACATGGCCCCTGATGGCCTGCCCTCTCGAGGAGTCTGTGGGAGATGCTATAGTGGGATGTTTGTCCCCTGAAACCCCACGTTAAAATTTGATCCCCAATGTTAAAGGTGGGGCCTAATGGGAAGTGCTTGAGTAATGGGGGAAGATCTCTCATGAACGGCTTGGTGCTGTCTTTGTGGTAATAAGTGAGTTAGTTTCCTTGAGAGCTGGAAACGCTATTAGTTTCCTTGAGAGCTGGTTGTTAAAAAGAGCCCGGTGCCTCCCCACACCTTGTGTCCTCTCTCACCGTGTGATCTCTGCACATGCTGGTTCTCCTTTACCTTCTGCATGAGTGGAAGCAGCTTGAGGCTCTCATTAGATGCAGATTCTGGGGCCATGCTTCTTGTACAGCATGCAGAACTGTGAGACCAATAAACCTCTTTTCTTTACAAATTATACAGCCTCAAGGATTCTTTATAGTAACACTACAAGGACTAAGACAGAAAATTGGTACCAATGAGTGGGGTGTTGCTATAAGGATGCCTGAAAATGTGGAAGCAGCTTTGGAACTGGGTAATAGGCAGAGTTTGGAGGGCTCCAAAGAAGACAGAAAGTCTAGGGAAAGTTTGAAACTTTCTAGAAATTGGTTAAGCGGTTGTGACCAAAATTCTAATAGAAATATAGACAGTAAAGGCCATGCTGAGGAGGCCTCAAATGGAAATCAGAAACTTACTGGTAACTGAAGCAAGGGTCACTTTGCCCTAAGGGGTAGCAGAGAACCTAGCTGTGTTCAGTCCGTGCCCTAAGGCTTTGTGCAAGGCTGAACTTGAGACAGAGCAAAGACCCCTCTCAGGGGCCTGTCAGGCACCTCTCCTACCCCTTCCAAACCATGGAAATAAATGAAAATCTTGAATTCATTTAAGGGGAATTCCAGGAACCCTGAGAAGCAAATGAGCAACTTGATAAGCAAGAAGGTAATAGTAACTTAAAAACAGCCAAGGAAGTTAGAATCACAGGGTATTTGGTTCCCCAAAGAAACTGAAGACAATATTTAACATATGTCCCTGAGCTGTTTTCCAGAAACCTGGACCCTCATGAAACAGGTTCGCTGGCATGTAGATCTAAGATAAGGGGGATCTGAGAACTAAGCTTTGACCACTGTTCTTTGTTCTAGATTTCTTCCTGAGGGGCCAGGAGGAAGCCACACTCACAAGCCAGAGCTAACATTCTTTTCTGCTGACCCAAAAGTTTTAGACAAATTTTCATTTTCTTAACCAGTCACAAATCAGAAAATCTTTGAATCTACTATGACTTGTGGGCCCCTGCGTTAAGATGTCCTGCCTTTTTAGATTAAGCCAGTACATAGGCTCTATGTGATGATTTATGACTTTGCCTTTAACCTCTGCCTCCCTGTATTTAAAAACTCTTACCTGCAAGCCACTGGAGAAGTAGGGTCTTAAGTGTGAGCTGTCAGATTCTCCTTGCTTGGTGCCCTGCAAACAAATGCCCACCTTTCTCTTATTGCAAACCTTGGTGTGGATGTTTTAGCCTTACTGCAACAGCCAAGTGGATCCCAGTTCAGTGTGATAACAAACTTAAGAGGAATGACCTACGGTATACTGTGAAAGAAACTTCTAAGCAACAAAGCCTTCAATAAGTGATGTGGCTTCTTCTAAAAACCTACAATCAGATGTGCAGCAAAGGAATGACCTAAATGTGGAATTTGTAATTAAAAGGGAAGCAGAATGTAAAATTAGGAAAATTCACCACTTGGCAATGTGGTAGAAAAGGAAAAAGCATTTTCAGGAGAGAAATCCAAGGGTACTGGCCAGCAAGCACTTGCTAGAGAGATTAACACAGGTAATAAAAGACAGCCAGGTGCTAATAGTTAACACAATGGGAAAAAGGCCCTGAAGGTGTCACGGGATCCTTGGTGAGTTGTTTCACCAGCTGTGGCCAGCAGTGCCTTCTGCTTGAGTATTGCTCACACCTGCTGGCCTCATTCTGCCCATTTGGCCCAGCAGGCTGCACTCAGCTCATGCTACCAGTCTGGATCCCACACCTACCAAGGGTGAGCCAGGCATGGAGTGATAAGGGGTATGTTGGCGAGTGAGCATGGGGTCCAGCCACTGTGCCCAGCCAGTCACACCTACGGTGGGACAGGCAGCTCCAGGTGCTGGCACAGGTGTTGGCTCCATACAAGGCTGCAGCTGGACCAGATGTACTGCACATGGCTTCTGCTGTGGGCACCTGCTTCTGGATGAGGGAAACGCAGTGGTGCCTGGAAGCTTGGGGATGCCAGGAACCACAGAGCCCCAAGATGGTGTCACAGCCCTGACTCAGGGAGCCCCTGGGTCCGGGCTCCCTGAAGGGCCTCAGTTCTTCTCTCCATCTCATCGCCAGCAACGTGGGTAGTTGGGTGGCATGTTTCAGCCCTGTTTGTGTTACAGCTCTTTTAGTCCCACCATTCAGTGGGTCCCAAGTTCTTGTACTACATCCAGGAAGAATGAGGTATGTGGACAACTGGAGGGTGAGCAAGATGGAGAGGAGCCTCACTGAGCAGCAGAACAGTTCTCAGGAAGACCCGAAGTGGGTAGCTCCTTCCTACAGGCAGATCATCCTGATAAGTGTCCAGCTCTCAGTGGAGAGGAGACCTGCAGTGAGTAGCTCCTTTCCACAGACAGACTGTCCTGACAAGTCAAGGATACCCGCAGTGGGTAGCTCCTTCTGGCAGCTGGTAGTCTGGAGGTCTCTGTGAGTCTGGCTTGGTCTGGGATTTTTATGGGCTCAGAAGGGAGGAAGTCATGCTGATTGGTCCGTGGACAGTCTTAGAAAAAGCACCATAAGTTCTCACTCTCGGCTGGGCTGCAGACTTCACCAGGAACTGACAGCCTGGCCCTCAGACTTCAGTCTGTCCCTGGCTTGAAGGAAGGGCTTCACTGAGGACCCATCCCTTTCTGTCCAGGAGCCTGTCTGCTTCCTGCCACCATCAATCATATTGTCTATGGCACCTAGGCTCTTTGTGCCAAGGGGCTGCAGGCCCATGCCAAGCCACCCTCAGCCCCTACTTGACCTCCCTCCCGTGCTCTTCAGTGTCCAAAGTCCGGAAAGGGCCGAGGCAGCAGGGGGCTGGTGTGTCAGCATCACGCTGAGCGTGCATACACCCAGCCAGGTTGAGACAGCACCCAGGCTCGGCTTCAACTTTGCTCCAAAATTGGAGCGAGCACGGAGAGTAGGGAGAGGCCAGGCAGCGAGAGTAGGCACTTCCAGGTCTGCAGGGGAAGGCGGGCTTCTTGGGCCCCCGAGAGCACAGGGATGCCCGGGTCTGCAGCTTCGCCTGGGCAGCTGCGCCCAGGAGTGCAGGACTCCCATCCTGCCAACTTGAAAGGGGGCAGGGCTCCCACCTGTGGAGCACCCAGCCCCAGCTGCACCTCCCCCACTGCACCTCCCCCACTGCACCTGGCATGCCCACAGTGGCTGCTCCAGAAAGGCCGCTGCTGCCATCAAAGGCATTTCAGAAATCTTTAAATTTGCCCTCCCATCACAGTCCCAGAAGCCGAAGAAGACAGAATGGTTTGGGGGTACAGGCCTGGGGCACATCTTCCCTGGGATGCCTTGGAATGCTGCTCCCTGCATCCAGGCCACTCCAGCTCCAGCTGTGATTCTAATGATCCCAGGTATGACGTGGGCCATTGCTCCGGAGAGTGCAAGCAGTAAGCTTTGGTGGCTTCCACATGGTGTTAAGTCTGCAGGTGTCCAGAATGCAAGAGTGGTGGAGGCTTGGTATCCTCCACCTAGGTTTAAGAGGATGTATCAGAAAGCTTGGGTGCCCAGAAGGAACCCTGCTGCAGGGGCAGAGCCCTCATGGAAAGACTCTAGTAAGACAATGCTGAGCAGACATATGGGGCTGGATCCCTCACAGAAGGTACCCACTGGGGCACTGTCTAATAGAGCTATGGAAGCAGGGCCATCACCCTCTAGACCCCAGAATTATAGTCACCTGTAGTGCATAACTTCAACCTGGAAAAGCCACAGGCATTTGACTCCAACTTGAGAGAACAGCTACGTGTACTGTGCCCAGCAAAGCCATGAGGGCAGGGCTGCCCAAGGCCTTGGGAACCCACCCCTTAAACCAATGTTCCCAGAATGCAGGACATGGAGTTGAGGATTATTTTGGAGTTCTAAAGTTTAATGTCTTCCCTGCTGGCTTTTGCACTGGCCTGGGACCTTGCACCCATTCCTTTTGGCTGATTTCTCCCTTTTGAAATGGGAGTGCTTACCTAATGCCTGTCCCACCATTATATCTTGGAAGGAAGTAAATAACTTGTTTGGTATTTTACAGTCTCATAGCTGTAAGAAACTTGCCTTGAGTCTCAAATGAGACTTCGGACTTTTGAATTGATGCTGGAACAAGACTTTTGGGGACTACTGGGATAGAACGATTGTATTTTGTATGTGAGGACATGAGATTTGGGAGGCTAGAAGAAGAATGCTATAGTTTAGATGTTTGTCTCCTAAAACCTCATGCTGAAATTTGGTTCCCAGTGTTGGAGGTGGGGCATAATGGGAGATGTTTGCGTCATGGAGGCAGATCCCTCATGAATGGCTTGGTGCCTTCCTGATGGTAATGAGTGAGTTATCACTCTATTTGTTTCCCTGAGAGCTGGTTGTTGAAAAGAGCATGGCACTTCCTTCTTTCCCTGGCTTCTTCTCTCACCATGTGATCTCTGCACAGCTGGCTCCCTTTCCCTAAGTGGAGGAAGTCTGTGGTTCATCCCAGATGCAGATTCCCAATCCTAAATTTTTCCAGACATCAGAATCATAAGCCAAATAAGCCTTTTTTCTTTATAAATATCCAGCCTCAGGTGTTTATTCATAGCAACACTAACCAGACTAAGACAGGAGCCAAACTGCCACCTCAATTAACATGTACTATAGGGATGATGTATTTAATAATGTCCGGATCTGTGCTCAACCTTTGCTCCTGAAGAGACCCTGGATTCTGGAGATGTGGATTATGTGATTTTTCAGCTGCTGTGAGTAAGGCTCTGACTAGCGGGAGCTACCCGCTTCTCCCAATATACACAGCCTCAGTGATCTACAGGATGATTAATGGGTGTCCCCCTACCCCCTGTTTATCACTAGCAATGACAGTCACCAGCTATAGGCATAGTTGAGAAGAGATTGTAATCTATACTTTATGTTCATTGATTTCTACAAGTTTCTATTATGCATACTGCTCATCAGTATAAATAATTTACATCACAAATGTTCTGTATTGTCCCTTTTCACACTTCTTATTCCCTTATAAAACCAAAGAACAGAGTCCTAGCAACACAATGCCCACCTTATTCAATGAAATATGATGGTACTTCCTAGAATTCCAAGTGTGAGCACTGAATGGAACCTCAGAGCTCATTTGGCTCAATAGTTCTGGTTGTACATTAGAATCATAGACTTAAATACTGATGCCCAGACCCTACCCCTAGAGATTCTGATTTAATTGGTCTGAAGTAGAGCCCAAGAGTCAGTATTTTTAAATAATTGCTAGGTAATTCTCATATGCAGTCAGGATTGAGAACTATATAGATTTGGCCCAAGCTTTATTTGCAGACAGGAAAGCTGAAACACAGTGAAGAACATGAAGACATGTGCTTCAGGCCACTTGATTATTTGCTGAACTGGGGCTTCAACCCAACTGTCCTTATTACCCATTCATTGCTCTTTCTCTTTGGATAATTGATTGTTCTTGTCCTGTGAAGAGTTAGAAGGCTTCAAGTAGGAGGTATTAGATTCAGCATGTGGTTGAGAGGGGAGACTTATGCTGAGGGGAACCAAGACTAGGGCAAGCAATCCAGGGACTCTGAAGACCAGAGTCACAATGAGACTTTACATGTAAAACACACATTATAAACCGTAGCACATGATACCCATGTCAGTTTCTGGTGTGAGAGTGATCATAAGTGTAAGAGAGCATTTGGTCATTGTGTTTCAAACTGGTAGTTATGTAAAGGAAAATGGTGCCACTCTGTATCTGAAATAAAATGCCATGACCAAGAGACTCCACTCAACTCCTGGGCGCCTTCATCTAACGGAGGCTGTGTTGTATTTTGCTTATATAGCTAGGTTTGTGCCCACTTCTCAGTTTAGAGATATATGCATAAGGGGTAGAAAAATAAAATTTGAAAAAATAATTTAAAGGAATTCAAACTAAAAAAGTGTCAGTTGCATCTGAAGATGAGGAAGTACACAATTGGGAGTTATACAGAGGGACTTGCTTCTCTATTTTGCTTATGTAATGAAGAAAAATGGTCAGGAACAATTTCTCAAAGCAGACTGTTGAATTTATATAAAATTTTGAAATCAGAGATTATTTTGGGATTATTTGATGGTTTCAGAGATGGGAGTAGGCTGAAGTTAGCCTCAGAACTGTGCTCACTTAGACAAGACTTCACTAGAGTAAGTTGGCTGCTGACTGACTAACCCTCAAAGGCTATCATTGATTGGTTGGTTTTTAGAAGTGTGTTGGATGGAGCAAGTTATTCCTGATGGATTAGATGGAGGCAAGTTGTCATTGATTGATCAGACAGATTTAAAATTGATTTTATAAAATAGTCTTTTCCTAAGAGGGTAGAGGCTTCATTTTAATTCTCAGTTGATGGTTCAAAATTATCAGCTAAAGGATTTGTGTTTCCATATTGAAAAAAATAACCAGATGTCTAGCATAATGGATCCAAGTGGACCCAGGGGAGATATATTACTGTGAACTTTCAGAACATTAGAGACTAGGAAAAGATCCCAAAAGCTTCCAAGGAAAACACAAGTCACTTACAAAGTATTAGGAATCAGAATGTCTTTTGATTTCTCAATTGCAACTAGAAGCTAGAAAGCAAAAAGTGAGTCTCAAAATTTCTGAAGGAAAATTACCTTCAATTTAGAATTCTATACCCAGCCTAAATATCACCTATAAGAAAGGGTAGAATAAGACATTTTCAAATCTTCAGAGTCTCAAAAAATTTACTCCCCTTGAACCTTTTCTCAACCATATCCTTAAGGGATTTGCTCAACCAAAATAAGAAAATAGACCAAGAAAGAAGAAGATATGAGATACAAGAGGAGGAGATTCATCACTGGAAAGAGGCAAAGATGATAAAGGAAGATCCTAGGATGACAACTATACAGCAGCTATAGAGGGCAATTAGTTTAGATGTGTGTGACTCATGATATGTTAAGGACTGATAAATGAGGATCCCCGCTGCCTACCTTCTTTTTGATCTATAGATGAAATTTTCTGAGTTTAGCCCAGGTTGTTATCTTCTATAGGCTTATGGTAACTGTGTGCCTTGATCCCAGGCTATGACCAAAATATTCTATTCAGCTCAGTTTCCCCTGGGAGCCTTCCTCTAACAGGGGGCATGTTGCCCTTTCCTCAAACACCTGGGTTTGTGCCTGCTACTCAGGAATACAAACATAGGTGTTAAAAAGTGTTAAAAAGTAAAAACAAAGAATGATTAAGACTTTCAGCTCTATTGCCAAGGGAGGAATATTTCTGCCAGGGGACACAACTGTGATTCCATTAAGCTGGAAGTGTGGACTGTCACCTGGTCACTCTGGGCTCGTCATATCACTGAATCAACAAGCAAAGAATGGGAGTAAGCTGGGGCAATTAATTCTGACAAACAAGGAGAAATTTGGTACTACCCAAAGGGGGTAGGGGGAGTATAGCTGACATTCAAGCAGTCCCCTGGAGTGCCTCCTAATAGTCTCATGCCCTATGATTAAATGGGAAATTTAATCACGGTGTAATGGTTACCTCTGGGGATGAGGGATATGCAACTGATAAGTAACACATAGGGCTTCTCAGGTACTGGTATCTCTTGACATTACATAAACTCAGAGTGATCCTTTAAATTGTAACTATGTCCTTTATACGCTACCGCATGTATGATATATTTCACAGTTTAAATCTATATCACTTGATATAAATAAACCAGCAGTGATGCTTACTAAGCTTATTTCTGAAGGTGTATTATTTTAGTACTAAGAAAAGCTCAGTGAAAATTCCAAATGATTATGATGAACTGTCTTCCTGCTGCAGCAGCAAAGATTGTTTTCTAAAATAAATAAACTGATTTCTGACTGTTTTAAACACAATGGTATACTTTTTAATTTTGTTGATTATCTTCTACATTCATTAATGGCTGAACTAGAGTTAATTCACACACACAGACACATGCACACACGTTATAAGACTTCCTAGTAACTCTTATATTGGAGAAGGTGGCAGAATCTCCTGCCCTTTATTATGAAATTGCACCTGGAACCTTCCTTTTGGTAGCTGACACCAAGTAGGAACAGGAAGAAGAAGAGAAGGGTATATACTTAGTCTTATACTTAGTCTAAGCGTGAGCTTATTTGAGAGGGTAAAAGGATGTGTCCCCCAGAAGCCTTTGACAAAGACCTCACCCACTAGTAGAACTGTGGCCAAAGGATGTCTAACATTCACCATTTAGGTTGGCTGCTCCTCTACCCACAGGGAGGAGGACTAAATAAGATGATGGGAAGGAAGGCCAATAGTAGTCATTCCAAAATTCAGCCATCTTGGAGATCATAGTGAATGTTCCCTTGTAGATACGAGGAGGGAAAATCAACCCCTTGTTCTGTCCACAGGGAGAAATATGCTAGATGCAAAAAGGGAGGGGCTGTATTAGTCAGGATTCAATCAAAGAAACAGATACATCTATACTGACCTTCAGACAGTAACCATAATTGCTGTTTCCCTTCTGCCCTCCAAACCTTACTCAAATTTATCTTGCGGGCAACTCTAGTCTGAAACCATACATTCTAGGAAATGCAGTTTCAGCATAGCTAAGTTGACACAGTACAAAGCCACCACATCCACCCCTTAAGCACTTGACATTCATACATATCTCTATTTTTTTCAATTATAAACACATCAGCACACTTTATAATGTTTTACAGTTAAAGTGTTTTTCTATTCATGACTACATTTGACCCTGTGCTTATTCTTAGTATACTACTACCAATAAAAAGAAGATACCATTATTTGAGTGCCTCTTATATGTCTTAACTAGGTCATTTTAGCTTTTAAAAGTCTGTCAGGCAGCAATGTGAGGTGGCTCATGCCTGCAATCCCAGGATTTTGGGAGGCTTAGGTTGGAAAATTGTTGAGCCCAGAAATTTGAGGTTGTGGTGAGCCATGACCACACCATTGTGGCCCAGCCTGGGCAGCCACAGAGTGAGACCCCATCTCTAAATTAATGAAATTAAAAAAATTAAAATCTATAAGGTATAATTTGTTCACCATATTCAGATAAAGAAATTGGGGTTCACGGGATACACATCTCCTTAAACTATATCTAACTTCCAAATACACACAATAGCAAAGACATGCTTTTGCCTAACATGATGCAACTCTATCCTTCATACTACAGAAAACATACCAAGTCTCTCCTCAAAAGAAGAGACAATGCTCTTATCTATCTTTGGCTTATGTTTATTCCCTTATAGCTGTGTCATGTCTTTCCTTTAATACTTCTTTAGCTTATAAACTGAGATATAAAGTTAGCTACTATTAACACATCTTATCTTAGATGATAGGATAATGGGGGGGAATGGGTTAATGTCTACAAAATATATTCATATCAAAATAAGGAAAATATACATTACTTCCATCTTCATTTCTGAAACAGGTTATGTGGTTGTAGCTGGTATCTACAACTTACCGTCTTCTACTACTCATTTTACACTCCCTTTGTTGTTAGCAAGCACCTTTGCCTGGTAGGGGTGATGTGAGACTTTATTCCTCATTGGGTCATTGGGTTGTTTTAATTTTCCATTGAATCACAGGGCATGAGAATATTAGGAGGCACTCCAGGGGACTGCTTGAATTTCAGCTGTACTCCGCCTACCCCCTTTGGGTAGTACCAAATTTCCCCTTGTTTGTCAGAATTAATTGCCCCAGCTTACCCCCATTCTTTGCTTGTTGATTCAGTGATATGATGAGCCCAGAGCGACCAGATGACAGTCCAAACTTCCAGCTTAATGGAATCACAGTTGTGTCCCCTGGCAGAAACATTCCTCCCTTGGCAATAGGACTCAAAGTCATGGGGACAGGAAGCAAAAGTTTTGCTAGTGACTCACTAGGGATAATAGCAAGAGAAGACACTCTCATTTCTACCCCTTGATTCCTGGCCCCATAAATCCTTCCTATAGGGGAAAATATACTGGTTACTGATTTAAAGCATGTACCACATTCTGGAGGGCATTGCCTAAGCCGTGCAAGCATTGCCACTCATTTGAAGATCAGAAGTAGTAACTGGATCTTCAAATGGCTATTCCACTTGGCTTTTCCCACCACGACAGCCCTTACTACACAGATTGGAAACCAGTATGGGGATTTTGCCAGTTGCTAACTATGTGTATTCCAATTATACATTCTGGAAATACTTACGGAGTGGTGTGGAGACTTACTGGCCCCAGTGTAATCACCTCACCTCCATGAGCTCCTACCTCTGACATGGGTCTACGGGAACAAATGTTGGCTCAGGGCCAATGTCCATTACACCCTGAAAAGTCCAATTATTTTCCTAGTGCATTGCATAGTCACCCTGGTAAATGGTCATCAGTTTAAGGAAGACTGAGAGGAAGATTTACAGTACTCATGTTTGGTGCTACAGTAGGGTTGTTTCTCAAGTGGACCTAACCTCTTCTTCATTCAGGTGGTACTGGGTTTGTGAATTGGCTCGTTTGAAAGTTGGTTGAGGGACTAGAATTCTCCATTTTGGTAACTTAAGTTATATCTCTATTACCAGGATTAAAATGTTTCTACTTATATAAATCAAGTAAAAACTTAGTAGGCTGCCCATCTATTTCTATTTTAGAGCTCTCATGATCAACTAGCCAACACCAAAGATCTCTGCAGGTCAAACCATTCTGATTACTGCTTTGGCTCTGTTGCCCACAAGATAGTCATGCTTACCTTGTCACTTTCAGTTCAGTGCCACCACTTGACCCCTGCCACCCAGGGATCCATCATCCCACTGGATTCAGGGAGCAGTTTGAAGGCAGTACTTCCCATGGATGTCCCTGGCCTTCACAGTATAATTATACAGAGCTCTTTGAATATGCTGGGTCTCCCCTTGTGAATGTTTCACATCCTTGGAGGAGGAACTGTCTTTTAGGTTATAGTTTTTGGGGAGGAGAAGCTGGCCTTATATACACATTTATTCTAGCATTCCCATCTCCCTGAGCCTTTAAATAACTTCCTCTTCAGTATAACAAGAGAAAACTGGCATTTCCACTTTATTGAGTGTAGGCCATCATGGGGCTCAGGTATTAGTCAATCAATGAAGCAGACTGTTAGAGCCACTCCCCGCCACTAGAGCCAACACTTGAATCCAGAATCTCTGCTTAGTGAGCTCATATGAATAAATTATGCCTAATCCAACATTATATTTCTAGCATTCTGATTTAATAAACTCAAGTTCCATTCCCACATATATTATCCAGATTTTTATGTAAAACGGAAAAAGATTATGTAATTCTTTTGGTGTGTATTGCACCTCCTCACACTCAGGGGTCTGTCTGGACTTGAGTCTGGTTGTATTCATAGATCTAAGCAACGAGAGGTGGGGTAGGTCCTGAGGAGGATCAGTACGTGTAGTTCCTTCAAGGCAACTGCCTCAGGGAAGGCAATTACAGGTGCCTCAGGCCAGGGGAGACCAAGCTCCTCATGCAAGAGTAGAAGGAGCTATTTCTTTTGGAAAAGGAGGCCTGGCAGGATTTAGGGGTTCAAGATCTCCAACTTCATCAGAATCTTTCCGTATGTCCCCATTCAGTGTTCAGTGCACCATTCTTTCCCAAGCAGAGAGCCCTTAGGGTAACCGAAGAGACTGAGAGGCTGGGAATTCAATTCGTGTTGTATTTCAACCTTCTATGAGATTAGACTTTGAGTTTGGTTTTCAGAAATCTCAGTAACTAGAGGTCGCAAAGGTTTCTTTATAGTCATAGAATTTTTCAGGTCTCCTCAGCAGAACTTGAGCTGGGAATTTCAAGCCCCAAACATATAACTTTATTTCTCCAAGTCCTCCATCACAGTTAGGAGCAGCCAACCAACTCCATTATATTCCTTATGGTCATTAAAATGTTATATGACAGAAACCACTTAGCTACCCAAAGCCTTGTTTTCTACAAGCATTTCAGTACAGGTGTTTACAAGTGATCATTTAAATAGCTGTTTTGCCACTGCTTGCTATAGACTACCAGTGCCTTCCTTACCACTGGAAACATAATCATTAATATTTTGAAATCTAATCAGATCAGATGACCAATCACAATTGACCCAGAATCAATTCAGAGAAGGCATTCCTATGATTTTGTTTTCTGGAACCACTTTGGACACTATATTCTGCATCAGCTAGAGATACAATAGACATGGCATAGAATATGTGCTTTCTCTGAAGTATCGGACATTACAGGGGAGACAGTAAAAATCTAAGTTCAGTTTTGTGTGTGTGTGCCTGGTACTGAGCCTGAAGTCATAGGGCAAGTGTTGGAAAAGAAAAAGCTTGTAAAGTGGGAAAAAGTAGGATAGCTGGACCCCAAAGAGTAACAAGCTGAAAGCTTTTCCTGTCTCTCTCATCTCCAAGCCTCCAACCCCTCTCCATGGATGACCTGCAGGAGAAGATGGCCCTCTTGCTGCAGAGCCACACTCACACCTGGCTCCGGTGTTGGGGAAGTACAAAAAGAGATATCACAAAAGCTGGAGGAGTTGATAGATCTACTTCTGCCCACACCAGCAAAGGAAGTCAACAGATTATTTAACAAGCCTGTGAGTTGGCCAGGTGTGGTGGCTCACACCTGTAATCCCAGCACTTTGGGAGGCCAAGGAGGGCAGATCACGAGGTCAAGATATCGAGACCATCCTGGCTAACATGGTGAAATCCTGTCTCTACTAAAAATACAAAAAATAGCCAGCCATGGTGGCAGGTGACTGTAGTCCCAGCTACTCAGGAGGCTGAGGCAGGAGAATCACTTGAACCCAGGAGGCTGAGGTTGCAGTGAGCCAAGATTGCCACTGTACTCCAGCCTGACAACAGAGCGAGACTCCACCTCAAACAAACAAACAAACAAGCAAAGCCTGTAAGTTACAACACAGACTGAATTTCTTCCTTCAGAGAATAAGTCTCGAATTGCTTCACTTCTGCCTTTCAAACCTTCTGCAAATTTCTGTTGTGGCTCTAATCCAAAAACATACAGGGAAGGGAATTCTGGGAAATGCAGTTCAGCTAAGTCCACACATTATAAAGCCACCGTAATATCCCAAGCATCTAGAAATACATGTGCAAAGGGAGAGAGATGCAAAGCAGTAAGGTGTTCTGGGTGATCCAAGGATATTTATGTCTGCTTCAAAAATCTTCTTTTTAAATGCAGCCAGTCTATCCAGACTGGAACTGTGAGGAAAACTGCCAGAGAATAACACATTCTAAGCTATATCCTAATCACTGCTCCAACTGAGACTTGCACTTTACTGGTTTTCACTGTCTTAGGTCTTATCTGTGGCTTTGGCCTTAGCCATCAGATTGGTGGACTGCTCTTATTTCCCGCTTCTGCCTCTGGCCTTGCTCTCCTGGTATTGAACTCTGGCTTTCCTGCAGGACCTAAAAGATGCCCAGTTGCTATAGCTCCATGGGCTCTATCCAAACACGTCTGTTGTTTACCAACCCCAACCTACAGGGGAACAGAAAGTAGGTAAGTGAGTCACGCAGGTGAGTAATAATAATGATGGTGATGTTGATGGTAAATTGTCTAGCATCTTACAGCTTTCAAATTTCTTTTTATCTATGCAAAGTCTGAATCAGTTAGAATCAATCATGCCACTTCTGAGCTGCTCAGGGAGGCCTGTGAGTAATAGACCCCATGTGAGTTATGGTTAAGAAAATCCTACAGCAGTGGGAGACCTACTGCGAAAATAGCCCATTCTCGCCTCCCTAAAATGGTTTGTTTGGTTTTGCTCATTAAATGTGTATAATTACACCTTAAAGTTGTTTTCATTTGCATTTCTTTAATTGACACTGTGAATGCTTTTTTTTTTCCCTGAGATGATTTGCCATCTAAATTTCATTGAGTTCGCACTTTCTTCTCATCTCTTTTGATCTCATGTTTTGTGGAATGAGAATCAACCTTATATATTTTATCAAGTGTGTATATTTTGGATAGTAACTTTTTCTTATTACATTTATCAAACATATTTTTGTTGCTTTTCTTCTGATATTTATTTTATTGCTTTTCACTGTACAAAAGTCTTTGGTTTTATGGATTTCAACACATCCATCTTGTTCCTGATGACATCCTCCATTTTTAATAAAATTTATTTCCCCTCAGAATTGAGATAAATATTCTATTTTCTTCTAGATAATTTTTTATGGATTGAATTTTTATATATATCTTTGACCCATTGGAGTCTGTAGAAAGTAGTATTAAAGAGCCTAGCCTTTGGTGTTAAAATGATGTGAGTTCAAATTCTGTCTCTTGCCCCTGGGAGGCCGATCCCTCCTGTGGTCCACCCATATCTTCTTTCATCCTCCTCTTCTTCCAGGCCTGGGTATCTCCTGCCCTGTCCTCTGCCAGGACAGTTCCTGTCGGCCCCCAGGGAGCATGAGGTCCAGCAGGCAGTCCTGATCTCAGGGGCCCTGAGCAGCTCACTCCTGCCTCGCCCTCCAAAGCATCCTGGCCTACCTCATCTGTTGGACAGCTGCCTACCAGCTGCTCTCTAGCCTCTTCAGCCTCTACTTCCACCAGCATTTGGTGGGCTCCAAGATGCCTGCAGACCCTCCTGCACCCCTGAGGTCTGGTCCTGGGCCAGCAGGACTTGGGCCAGCCCTTTTGTGTATGCCTTGATGTCCCCAGCTGCAAGACAGGGCTGGGACTTTCAGCTGTCCCCTTCACCATGGTGCCTGAGCCATGGACCCCCTTGGATTCCATGTTTCTGCCTCAAAACTATCTCTCCTGGGCCCTGCAAAAGAGGGTCATGAGGATATTGCTGCCAAAGTGCATGAGCTAGGTTTGAGTTGGGGTGGTCGTACAGTCTGGGGGAAGGAGTGTCTACACTTCTGAACATATAAAAGAGCAGGCCAATTTTTACCAAAAAAAAGAAAAAAAAATCTGTCTTTTCTTTTTGGAAAGAAATCATTTGTCTTCTCTGAAACTATTTTCTTAGATTAGTCCACCATATTTCATTTTCATTATTTATACATATTTATGGGACACATGATATTTTGATACATGCATACAATGTGTAATGATCAAATAAGGATAATAGGATATACAGCACCTCGAACACTTATTTCTTGTATTGGAAACATTTCAAACCTTCTAGCTATTTTGAAATATACAATATGTTGTCATTACCTACAGTCACTTTTCTGTGGTATCGAACATTAGAACGTATTCCTTCTAACTGTATGTACCCATTAACCAACCACTTTTCATGTCCTGTCCCACTACAGATATACCCTTCCCAGTCTCTGGTAACTATCATTCTACTCTGTACCTCCATGAGATTAACATTTTTAGCTCCCACATATGAGTGAAAACGTGATATTCGTCTTTCTGTGCCTGGCATATTTCACTTAACATAATGACCTTCACTTCTGTTCATATTGGTGCAAATGACAAAATTTATTTTTTTTCTGTGGCTGCAGAGTATTTCATTTTGTATACATACCACATTTTAAAAATCCATTCATCTGCTGATGGACATGTAGGTTGATTCCATTTATTGGCTATTGTGAATAATGCTGCAATTAACGTGGGAATGCAGGTATCCCTTTGATGTACTGTTTTCCTTTTATTTGGATAAATACCCAGTAGTGGGATTGCTGGATCCTATGGTAGTGCTATGTCTTTCTTAAATATTTTTAATAGTGAAATATAATACACAGAGAGGAGCATAAAACATAAATGCACACCTTATTATCTTTTAAAAATTATTTCTTCCTTATTCATTATTCCAATTGGATTCCACTCTAAGATATTTCGTGGAATTTTAACTCAACAGAATTCAATCTCACATTTATATTGTTGAAGTGCACTGGGGGCACTTCTAGCCCAAGAAACGAGTATTTGTAGGCTGACCAATCAAGATGGCTACCACTGGAGTCTAACAATAGGAATAGCTCAGCAAGAGGGGATGTCTCAAAATGAATAAGCAGAAAAAAATGAGCAAAAAATTGGGACCTGAAATTCAATGATTGAGAATCAGAACTGAAAAGGTTAGACAGAGAAGGTGATGAAGAAATAAACAAAGCAGGAAGTTCACAGAATTGATGGCTGTATCCACAATGCCGGGTATCAAGGAGGTGCTCCTTTTACAATGACCTTGTCACACCTCAGTAGACAGGGAGCAAGCACTAGTGAAGCTGAGAGCAAATAGAGGTGCACTGTTATCTTACTGCATTTGGTATTCCTAGACATAAGGTAGTTCTCTCTCTCCAGCCATTAATGTCTTCTTTTTGCCATTAAATATTTATAATGTTATTTGAATAAATCTTTTATGGGCCATGTTGATATTCAAATTTGTTTATTACCATAAATGGGCTCTTTGTTTTCATTTTCTTTTCAGTGTGCTACTGGTATAGAACACAATTGATTTTCGAGGCATCTTAAATCCCATAACTCTACAAAATTCATTTATTACCTCTAATTTTTTTTGGTTGATTTCTTTTGATTTTCTAGGTCATCAGTGAAAAGCAATATTTTTATTCCTTTTTCTCATATGTTTATGTCTTTTATAGTCTTCCTTCTCCAATAGTTATTATAAGTTCCTCTGGTACTTTATTAAATAGATACAGTAAAGAAGACATCTTTGTTTTATTTTTTGTTTTTAAGAAAATGACTTTAACGCTTCTCCAACATGTGTAATATGTCTTGCATTTGAAACAATATATGTAGTTTGAAATGGGATGATGACTTTTAAATAATTTAAATAATCTAAAGAAGAAATCTATACATCTAATCTTTACAAAATTGTAAACAAAGTGCATTTTTAAATACACCAGAGGTTATTTCTGACACATGCTAAGATAACATAATGATACTTGCTATTTTGTTTTTCTAATATGACCAATTATTGAGGTTTTTCATATTTATATAACAGCTTTGAATTCCATGATTAAACCTGGTTTGGGTTTAGTAAATTATTCTCATAAGGTGCTTATTTTTATTTTCTAAGTTTTATTTGGGATTTTTGTATCTGTTTTCCCAAAGTGAATTGTTCTAGCTTGCCTTCATGGTTGGTATCTGTCAGATTTGAGAATTAGTCTGTATTTGCCTCAAAAAAAGTTAACTTACATTCTTTTTTATATTCTTAGAACTCAGATATCCTTAATTTTTTGGAAATTAAGAAAGCCACCTAGGGAATCCATCTAGAGTAGTTTCCTGGTGTGGAATAAATCTTTAATAGCAATGCTTACCATTTCTTATTCTGTTATTAGTCTGGCTGTGTTCACTTTCTTTTCACATTAGTTCTTGGAATTTAAAAACATGTTTGGAAGAGTATGCATTTCCAGTTAGATGTCAACTTTATTACCATGTAACTGAGAATAATTCTCCTACTAAATTATAATAAATACAAAAGAAAAATATTTCCTTTCTCACTTACTGACTTTTTAAATAATCTCATTGGGGATGGGACTTTCTCCCATTTATCTATTTTTGCTGTGAGCCAAGTGAATGCAAAACTCACTGTAAATGTGTATGGAAGGGGCAAAGCACAGGGTGAGTCCCTTTCTGTATGACATATGAGCTTAGTGTCCAAAGTTGTCTCTCCTCTATTTAATTTCCATTCATATTCGTATTTATATCTTGGGAGTCTGAACTACTTTATGGAATAATATATTTTAAATAATTTATATCTTGCCTTGTCCAAAAAGGTAGACTGAAATATTAAAGGGTGTAAAAATATTACAAAGTTAAAGAAATTTAAACAATTAAGTGGGCCGGACTTGGTGGCTCACGCCTGTAATCCCAGCACTTTGGGAGGTCAAGGTGGGTGGATCATGAGGTCAGGAGATCGAGACCATCCTGGCCAACATGGTGAAACCCTGTCTCTACTAAAAATACAGAAAGTAGCCGGGTGTGGTGGTAGGCGCCAGTAATCCCAGCTGCTTGGGAGGCTGAGACAGGACAATCGCTTGAACCCGGGAGGCAGAGGTTGCAGTGAGCGGAGATCGCGCCACTGTACTCCAGCGTGGGCAACAGAGCGAGACTCCATCTCAAAAAAAAAAAAATTAAGTATAGGAAAATAGATGTGTTAAACACTGATAAAGGTTAGATATTTGCAGTAAAATGGTAAAAAGCTAATCTTTACACCTTGCAGTCTCTTAGTGCATGTAATTTCCTAATGGTGTTTATGTGATTAAGTATTGATATGAACAAAGTTGATACAATCAAAGTTGCCTCTTCTAAAATCTCTATACTTTCTCTCTCTTTGCTTAGTTACTTATATGCTCCTGGCTCTCCATTGCTTCCTGTAATCATCTTCCCACCTGGGAATATTCTCCTCCTGGCTGTGCCTGGCCTGGCAGGGATGGAGAGTTTCAGATCTCTGTGCTTTCTAGTGGTTTCTTCCTGAGCAATGCTCTTGTCCTGCAGTCTGAGAAAAAGGGGTAGATTTGTTTTAATTCTTCCAACTTTTAGTATCTTTTTTCATCTTGGCCACTTAAAAATTCCTATCTTTACCTGTAAAGTCTAAAAAATTAACAAGTTGGTTTGGTTTTCCTGGGTATGGGAGGAGCTTTCTTTGAGAATTGAACCTGCTTAATATACCCACTGAGATTGTTTTTCCTTTAATGATACTTTTGTTTAATGATTTGTTTTAAAATGGGTCTCACGTGTTGGCCTTTCTCTGATTCTTCTGGCAACTCATATATTCACAAAGGAATTTTCTTGATCTATTTTCAAGCTTCCTAGTTTGTCTTCATGTATCTATTGAACAAAAAAAGTATAGATGCCTGCAATAGTATGGGTTTCTAATGGAGAGCCCCATCACATGATCTGAATATTTGTGTTGCTCCAAAATTCCTATGTTAGTACCCAATCACTAGTGTAACGATATTAGAAGGTAGGGTCTTTGGGAGGTAATTAGCTTGTGAGGGCAAAGCCCTCATGAATGCGATTAGTGTCCTTATGAAAAAGACCCCAGAGAGCTTCCTTCTTCCACAGGAGGATCCAACAAGGAGGCACCATCTGTGAACAAAAAGTGGGCCTTCACCAGACACTGAATCTGCCAGTGCCATGATCTTGGATGTCCTAGCCTCTAAAACTATGAGAAATAAGTTTCTGTTGTTTACAAGCCACGAAGTTTATGGTATTTTGTTATAGCAGCCTAAACGGACCAAGATGCTGTGTAATAGACTCAGTGGAAGTCTGATCTAGCACACTGTGCATTTCCAAATCTGGTTATCAGAGGGTGTGGTTTAGAGGTAAGGAAGTGAGAGGTAAGGAAGGAGTTGAGGCATGGGAGAAGTGAGGAAGTGGAAAACTTGGGCCATGAAGGATGCCTCAAACTGACTTCACAAAGAGCCTGGAGAATGGATTTGGAGACCCAGAGTCAGTGAGGGGAGTCTCTGGAATTCATTAGGCTTAGACTAAATCTGGGTTTAAAGACATGCAGGCTCTTCAGGTGTTGAAATCAGATAATATAGAGGCTGGGGAAGTTGGACCTTTCTCTGAGGGAATGGGCAGTGCTATAGACCAAATATTTGTGTCCCCCTCCAAATGTATATGTTGAAAACATCTCATCATTGTGATGGTATTTGAAGGTGGGACCCTTAGGAGATGCTTAGGTCATGATCCCTCCTGAATAAGATTAATGCCCTCATAAAAAGAGGAGACATGATATCTCTCTCTCTGCTCCCTCCCAACTGAGGATACAATGAGAAGACAACCATCTGCAAATCAGGAAGTGGCCCTCACCAGACAGGATCTGCTAGCACCTTGATCTTGGACTTGTGAGCCTCTAGAAGTGTCAGAAATAAATGTTGTTTCAGCCACCCAGTCTGCGGTATATTTGTTATAGCAGGCCAAAGTGACTAAGGCAGAAAAGGAATAGAGAATCATGCAAAACCAAAGCTTCCAGGAGTCATGGAACCTGCCTTCCCTTCCTCCTGCAGTGCTGACCCCAGTGCCTAACCCAGTGTGTGTGGCATCAACCGCAAGTAAGATCTGACCATAGCTTGCTAGGGTTAATTAGTGCTCATGTGGGGACCCTGAATCTCTTACACTTTTATCAGATTTTCCTTCCTGATCTGTAAATAATTATCTCATGCTTTTTGTATCTGTGTGTCAGGTGCTGTTGCAGTTTGGTGTTCCAGGAAGCAGGCTCTGAGATAAGAGAGTATAGTATGTGGCATGTTTATTAGGAAGGCCCTGGGAGTCAACCCTTATGGTAGGGAGGGGAAGAGGCAGACTGGGCAGAGGGAGAAGCTGAGCTGTGAGGCAGGCCAGGGACAGCCTGGAGCTCTGGCATTTCAGTGTTATTTCCCCACCCACATTCATCAGGCACGTGGTGTGTGGGCTCCCCTGGGGGCATGACTTTGGGCAGGTGGCTCTCTGCAGTAGCAGCAGTCCCTGAATGGGCTGATAGCACCTCCAGAAGTTGGGGTGACATTGAAGTGGGGGAGCTGGGCAGCACTTCCTCAGGTTCACCACAGGAACTGGACTAAGGTCAGAAACTCTCAGCTTGCAAGAAGCCCAGACTTTACAATGACGCAGGGCGACATGGGAGGACACAAACCATTATAGCACAATACAGTAATTACTATAATTGAAGTGTGCTTAAAATATCAGCATGAGTTTCTGTGTGTGCAGAAAGAACTATTTACAGTTACTTGGCTTTCAAATTAATTTTTGAAACAAAATATTTTGATCGTTTGCCTATGTCTGCCCTCAACTACAACTCTTGTTATTCTATTTACAAATCTAATAAATTTTAAATAAAAATAAAACAACCACTTTCCATTAGGCTTTTGAATAATGTTCCATCCATTCAAGTTGAACAGATTTAATTCTCTCTGAATAATGTCTAATTTACACACTTAGCTAAATTTACTAAATATTTTAAACTATATTTATAAATGTAATTTTTTTTTTCTCTCTAAGGTCTCCAAATGTCTAATAGGGGAACTTCTGGTCCTAAAAAGAAAACCTTCCCAGCTATTTAAAACGGTGGCAAATTGATTATATGTAATTTATAAATCAGCCAATACTGACATTTTCACCAAACTTAGTCAAATAATTTTACAACTTTCAACCTTAAAATCATAGACCTAAAATCAACCAGCTTAAATTGACTTCTTTAACAAATACATGGCAAGGGGATTTTTAAAATATAGAATTGTAACACATAGATTAAAAAGCTAAAGAACCAATCATGTGTGATTCTTACTTGCTTCCTGATTAAAAAGCTTACAAAAATTTCATAGTATTCATGAGGCAATGAAAAATTTGAACACTGACAAGACTTGATGTTATTAAGTTATATATACACACACAAACGTATACACATATATACATATATGTACATATATACACATATATACATATATACATATATACATATATACATATATGTACATATATACATATATGTACATATATACACATATGTACATATATACATATATGTACATATATACATATATGTACATATATACATATATACACATATATACATATATACACATATATACATATATACACATATATACATATATACACATATATACATATATGTACATATATACATATATACACATATATACATATATACATACATATACATATATACATATATACATATATACATATATACGTATATACATATACATGTATATACATATGTATATACATATATACATATATGTACACATATACATATATACATATATGTACATATATACATATATGTACATATATACATATATACATATATGTACATATGTACATACGTACATATATGTACATATGTACATATATGTACACATATACACATATGTACACATGTACATATATGTACACATATACATATATGTACACATATACACATGTACACATATACACATGTACACATATACATATATATACATATACACATGTACACATATACATATATACATATACACATGTACACATATACATATATACATATACACATGTACACATATACATATATACATATACACATGTACACATATACATATATACATATACACATATACACATATACATATATACATATACACATATACACATACATATATACATATACACATATACACATATACATATATACATATATACATATATATACATATATACACATATATAATACCTGGGATTTGCTTTTAAATTAAATGGAAAAGGAGAAGCAGATTTAGATGGGGAAGTATTGTCCTTGAGTTGTCCTGGAGTTGTTAAAGCTGGGTGATGGGTTCATGGGGTTCATTAGACTATGCCATACATTTTTGTATTTATTTAAAATTCTGCACAATGCATACTTTTAAAAAATTAAGAATTTCGAGATTTAATTTGCAATTTTCAAGATTTATGAGATTCCTTCAGATATTTAATTTGTAATAAAAACCCATTAAATATCAAATTCACAGATTGTCCGCATTTTTGCAAAACAGATTCCTTGACTAATCCTAAAGCATTAATGCCATGGGTTTGATTTGTCTCACTATTTCTTCTAAGACTACTTAGGGTGGAAAAGATACCCATTAGGTGGTGAGTCTCAACTCTGGGAGCTAGCATTGTTTTAAAGCTCCCCAGGTGACTCTAATGAGCAGCTAAGGCTGAGAACCTCTGCATTCATGCAGTGCATGAAAATCACCTGGAGGCTTGTTAACATGCAGCATAGTGGACCTCACCTGCAGAGGTTCTGACCCTTGGGACTGTGGGGGAGGCCTGAGAATCTGCATTTCCATAAGTTCTGAGCGATGCTGATGCTGCTGGTTCAGAGACCACATTTTGAGGGTCACTGTTGCAAGGCAAGCAAATTTACTACCTTAAGAGTGTTGAAGTTACCAGATCAATAATTCAGGTCCACGTCACTGAAACTATCTCATGCAGGCTGAAGTAGCATAATGTCCTGACTTCTGACTGGGTATAGAAGCTGCAGCAGTATATGACCAAGCAGATTCATGTTATGACATGGTGGTGAGGGGAAGGGGGTCCTCCTTTTCATCTGGGTTTTTGCAATCCTTGACTCCTGTATTTAAATCACACCTCCTAAGAGGTGAGGGGAAGAGTGGATACCTTTCTTTATCCAGCTAGCTGTTTTCACTGCCTGCTTGGGGTTTCCTTATTTTTAGCTTTCTTAAGACATTTTAGCTCTGAGGACATTTAAATATGAGTCTTCAGGGTCCTAAATCTCCTCACACTTTGTCTGGCATTGTGGTCAAAGTTGTTAAGCCCTGGTTGTGTTACAGCTGGAGCATCACAGTCTGCCTGGAGAACAAGGGAAGACTTCACAGAGGAGGTGTTTTTGACATGAGCCTCAAGGGATGGTAGGGGTGTGGCAAGTGGACAAGGGGCAATGGAAACAGATGGTCTGGTGTTTCTGTCATTTCTGGAATGTCAGAAGGGGTTTGTTGGGGTATATGGAGGGAAAGAAGAAGTGAGAAATGAGGCTGAACAGATAGGCAGGCAGGGGTTAGCTGCTGTGGAGGGAGGGTCTTGTATGCCATGAAAGGCAAGAGTTAGGTTTATTCTGCAGATGTTGAGAAGAGTGTTGAGGAATTTTGAGCAGAAGAGTGGTCTCATGAGGTCTGCATGTTAGAAAGATTATCCTGGCAGCTGTGTGGAGGATGAATTGGGGATCACAACCAGAAGCAAGAATTTACCAGTAGGGAGATTATTTGAATAACAGCAATGCATGAGCACCTGGGCTGAGGCAGTTACAGTAGGAAAGGGAGGAGAAGACAATAAGAGGTGAATACATTTGCATGATGATGTTCATGTATGTATATATTTGTCTCAAAAGGATTTAAGGCAAGTTAATAGATGCATAAAACTTAAACCAAAACAAATGTTCAATAAGTGTAGAAGGAAGCAGGAAAAATAGACAAAATAGGAATGATGAGATGAGACCATGAAAGAAGTCAAATTGTGGAGTGATGTCAGCAAAATGGCCAACTGGAAGCTCCTAATATACCTCTCCATCACAAAAAAGAAACCCCATGAATAAACAACTTTATTCTGACCAAAATGAAGGAGAGCTCCAGAGAATAACAGAGAAGCAACAGAAATTCTGGACAGCACAAAAACCTGGAATGGATGCAAAGAAAAGAGGAGAAAACACTTTGCCTTTGCCACTCCATCTCCCTAGTTGATATCAGCTTGGAACCAGGACAGACTCCTTCCTGTAGTGAAAAGAAAAGCAAGAGTACCCAGCAGCCCCCACTGCCAGTGCAGACACTTGCAGTCTTCACTATCAGGAGATTCCTATAGTCCACACAGACTCTGAGCCCAGCTGAGGGACAGGCCCAGGGTCCACAGTTAATTTAATCCCCAGAGTACGAGCTGATGCTGCCCTGCCCCTCTCCCAGTGACCTATGCTGCTACTGTGCCATGCCATCTTGAAACTGGAGCCACTGCTAGAGTGTATTCTGCTCTGGGGTGAGCAGTCACTGCACCACTCCATCTCTGAGGCTTTGCTGTCCCTGCAACACACCCACCTGGAGGCACATTATCCCTGAGCTGAGCTGCTGCTGTGCTCTGTCCCCTAGGGCCAAGCTACTATAGAGGTGCCAAATCCCTGCCATTCCAGTCACTGTGCACCCTCCCCTGAGGGCTGAGCTGAGTTGATGTCCATTCCCTGAGGATTTCAGGTCTCCTGAAAGCTGAAGCAGTTGAACCCCTCACCATGTGCAGCACCCTTCCCACAGGGACTCCAAGCCTCCAGCACACTAGAACAGTTGCAACCCCTAGTGTCACAGCTGGCATGGTACTCTGCCCCCACCAGTGATCCAGAGGCTCCACCAACCTGTGTAGCCATGATTTCTGGGGCCAAGAAAAAGCAGTATTTCACATTAAAGGGAATTGGAGCCTTAGCAGAGCTCTGCCCCACCCTCCAGGCCAAACAGACACAGTGACCCACCTACCTGAAACTGGACTAGTTCCCTGCTGTCTGAGCTACTGAGGTGCCTCACCTCTTCCAGGAGTGGAGTTACTGCTGTGTTGCTTCCCTTCTCCTGACGAGCAAGCCCCCGCAGCATCTTGCCATTCCTGGGTCCTTGCTGATGCTGCACCTGGCCTCACAGAGCCTGGACTACTGCCGTGCCCCACCATCCTAGAATCCAGAGTCACCACTGTGTAGTACCTCATCTCCCAGAGCCTGAGATGCCACCATGCTCCACTGTTTCTGGGTGCTGAATTGCAGCTGTGCCCTGCTTCCCAGGGCCTGAGTCTCCAGAGTACCCCTTTTCCCCCAGAGCTGTGTCAGTGCTGCACCCTACCCCCAGGGTTAGTCTATAGTTATATCTCAGCCCTCTGAACCTGAACTTCTGGGCTGTTTCTCAGAGCAACACACCCTGGCTTAGTGGGAGAACTACAACCACTAATGTCTTAGAAAGTGAACCCGTACCTCAAGTCCAAGGCATTACAGTAGTTTCATAAGATCCTGAGCCCAGGAAACCAGCTTCATAGCTGCTCTGGGCAGTTTTGCCCTGGATCCTAGTGCCACTGTGGCTGCCTGTGGGCTGTGTCAGACCTAACCCCAAAAGAGATCCCCTCACCAAGACTCCCCACTCTGGGAAGACAAGAACAGGAAGATAAGTAAAGCCCCTGACCTAATAACCTACATAGCCCCTGTCACTGCCATAAACTCCTGCCACTTAGACCACGAAGGCACTCACAGTCGTTGCTAAAATTGATCACAACTGAGGAAGCTGAATGGAGGCTACATCAGTGTGCCAACATGAAACCAGAGCCACCACTTCTGCCCAACTAACACCTTCATGTCCCTCTGCTGATAAAAGTCTTCTCCTGTGAAAGTCACTTTAGTTTTGAAGAAGTAATTGCACCATCAGAGGCACAGACATCAATGCACGGACACAAGAAACATGAAAAAGCAAGGAAACATGACATCATCAAAGGAACACCATAATTCTCCAGTAACTGACCCCAAAGAAACAGAAATGTATAAGTTGCCTGCAAAGAAATTCAAAATAATAATCATTAGAAAACTTAGATAAGAGAAAATACAAATAGACAATTCAATGAAATTAGAAAAACAATGTATGATCTAAATGAGAAATTCAACAAAGAGATAACCATCATTAAAAAAACAGAAATCTTAGAGCTGAATAATTCAATCAATAAAATAAATACAATAGAGAGATTCAATGACAGATGATATCAAGCAGGAAAGAATTTGTGAATTCGAGTGCAGGTCTTTGAAATGACTCAGTCAAAGGAAAAAAATTAAAAAGAGTAAAGACAGCTTATGGGATGTATAGGACACCATTAAGTGAACAAATTTTTGCATTATGGGAATTTTAGAAGGAGAAGAAACAAAGAAAGGGACAGAAAGCTTATTTAATAAAATAACTGCTGAAAACTTTCCAAGTCCTGGGAGAGATATGGATATCTAGATTTGTGAACCTTGAAGATCACCAGACAGATAAAACCAAAGAGGTCCTCTCCAAAGAATGTCATAATCCAACTGTCAAAAGGCAAAGATAAATAATTTTAAAAGCATCAAGAAAAAGCATACAGTCACATATAAGGAAATTTCCATTATACTATCAGATTTCTCAGCAGAAATCTTGAGGGGCAGGAGAAAATGAGATGATAAAGTGCTGAAAGAAAAATAACTGTCAGTGAAGAATACTATACCCAGCAAAGCTGTCTTTCAGATATGAAGGAATAACAAAGTCTTTTCTAGACAGGCAAAAACTGAAGAAATTTATCACCACTAAATCTGCCCTACAAGAAATTCTTAAGGAAGTTCTTCAAGTAAATATGAAAGGATAGTAATTATTGTAATAAATACATATGAAATTATAAACTTGCAAGTAGAAGAAAACACATAGTAAAATTCAGAGCACTCCAATAAGTCACACATATTCTAATATGAGGCTTAAAGTTTAAAACGGTAAAAAGAAAAACCTAAAGCTACAATAAGTTGTTAAGAAATACACAATATAAAAAATGTAAACTTTTATATCAAAAATATAAATTGTGGGGAGAATAAAAACCTAGAGTTTTTGTATGTGACAAAAGTTAAGTTGCTATCAGCTTAAAATAGTTGATTATAAGATGTTTTATGTAAGTATCATAGTAAACACAAAACAAACTACAGCAGATATACCAATGATAGAGAAAGGAATTAAAGCTTAGCACTACGGAATATTATCTTTTTTATTATTTTTTATTTTCATTAATTTTTTATGGGCAAATAGAAGAGAATTATCACATCACAAAGGTAGACAACAAGAGAGAAACAAACAAAGAAGCTACAAAACAACCAGAAAACAAATAACAAAATGATAGTAGTAAGTTCTTACCTATCAAAGATAATCTTGAATGTAAATGGATTAAATTCTACAGCCAAAAGGCATAGAATGGCTAAATGAATAAGAAAAACAAGATCCAACTATATGCTGCCTATAAGAGATCCGGTTAAACCTTAAGGACACACATAGGCTGAAGGTGAAGGAATAAAAGAACATACTCACGGCTAATGGTTACCATGCAAACAGTAACCAAAAGAGAGCAGGGGTGACTATCTGGTAAAATAGATTTTGTGTCAAAAACTGTCACAAGAGACAAAGAAGGTCATTATTTAATGACAAAGGGGTTGACCAATCAAGAGGACACGACAATTGTAAATGTATACGCATCCAACATTGAAGCTCCTAAATACATAAAGCAACTATTAATGGACATAAAGGAAGAAATAGATAGCCATACAACAACAGTAGGGAACTTCAGTACCTCTCTTCAACAATGGATATGTCAACCAGACAGAAAATTAATAAGGAAATATTAGACTTATATTGTACTTTTGACTAAATGGACCTAATAGACATATATAGAAGTTTTCATCCAATGCCAGCAGAATACACATTTTCCTTTAGCACACCTGGAACATTCTCCACAAAGACCATATTTTAGCCCACAAAACAAGTCTTAACAAATTTAAGAAGATTAAAACAATTTCTAGTATTGTTTTAGACCACAATGTCATGAAACTAGCAATGAATAACAGGAGGAATCTTGAAAAATTCACAAATATGTGAAAATTAAACAACATGGTCCTGAACAATCGGTGGGTCAAAGAATAAAACAAAAAAGAAATTTTTAAAATCTTAAGATAAGTGACAATGAAAACACAATATACCAAAACCTATGGGATGCAGCAAAAGGAGTTCTAAGAGGAAAGTTTATAGAAATAAATGCCTACATTAAAAAAGAAAGATTCTCAAATAGTCCAACCTTATACCTCAAGAAATTAGAAAGATTTAAAAAATTAAAAATTGGCAAAAGAAAGAAAATAATAACAATCATAACAAAAATCATCAAATAACAAACAGAAAAACCATAGAATCAATAAAGAGTTGTTTTTTGAAAAAATAAACAAAATCGACAATCCCTTAGCTAGTCTAAGAAAAAAAACTCAGAGAAATAAAAAATTAAAGAAATTACAACAGATAGCTCAGAAATAAAAGAATCATAAGGGACTAATATGAACAACTATATTCCAGCAAATTAGATAGCCCAGAGGAAATGAATAGCTTTATAGAAAAATATAGCCTAACAAAAAATTGAGCCAGGAAAAAATAGAAAGCCTGAACAGTCCAGTAAAAAAGAAATGTTATTACTTTTAAAACCTCTCAACAAAAGAAAGCCCAGGACCAAACAGCTTCACAGCTGAATTCTACCAAATATTCAGAGAATTAATACCAATACTTCCTAAAGTCTTGCAAAAATTTTATCTGCAGGGTATACTTCCAAACACATTTTACAAGGCCAGCATCACCTTGATACCTAAACCAAAGACACTGCAATAAAAAACACCATAGGCCAATAACTGATAAACATTGATGCAAAAATCTTCAATAAAATATTAGCAAACCAAATCAAACATATGGTTGTTAGATTATACATCAAAAACATTATATACCATGACCTAGTGAGATTTATCCCTGGCATGCAAGGCTGGTTTAATATATACAAATCAATCAATGTGACACATTACATTAACAAAAAGATAAAAATCATATGCTCATCTTAATTGATTTTTGAAAATCAGAAAATATGTTTTTGAAAATCAGAAAATACATTTGATAAAGTTCAACATTCTTTCTTGATAAAAATTCTCAACAGTTTAGGTATAGAAGGAAAGTTCCTCAATATAAGAAAAGATATTTACAAAAATCCCACTGCTAACATTATAATCAATGGGGAAAAACTGAAAGCTTTTCCACCAAGATAGGGATGAATTTACTAAGATGAGGATGCTCTCTCTTACCACTTCTATTCAACATAGTATTAGAAGTATGAGCAAGAGAAATCAGGTAAGAAAAAGAAAAGGCATTCACATTGAAAAGAAAGAAGAAAAACTATCCTATTTGCAGATGACATGCGAGAAATCCCAAAGATTCCACACAAAATATCTGTTAGAACTAATACATGAATTTAATAAAGTTGCAGGATATAAAATTGTGTTAGTCTGGTTTGCATTGCTATAAAGGGATATCTGAGGCTGGGTAATTAAGAAAAGAGGTTTATTTGGCTCATTATGCAGGCTGTTCAAGCATGGCATCAACATCTGCTCTTGGTAAGGGCCTCAGGAAGCTTACAATCATGACATAAGGCAAGGGAGGAGTGAGTATCACACGGTGAGAGAGAGCAAGAGAGATGCGGGAGGTGCCAGGTTCTTTAAACAAGCAGCTCTTGCATGAACTCATTACCACAGGCAGAGCACCAAGTCATTCATGAGGAATCGGCTTCCATGACCCAAACACCTCCCGCCAGGGCCCACCTCCAACATTGAGGATCACATTTCAACATGAAATTTGGAAAGGACAAATATCAAACCATATCAAAAATCAACATACAAAAATCAGTAGCATTTTATATAGAAATAACCTAACTGTAAAAGAAATCAAGAAAATAATCCCATTTATAATACGATAGTATCAAAGAATACTCAGTAATACATTTAACCAAAGAGGTAAAAGATCTGTACACAGAAAACTGTAAAACACTGGTAAAGGAAATTGAAGAAGACATAAATATCAGTAGAAAGATACCCTGTTCTCATGGATTGGAAGAAGAATATTGTTAAAATGTCCATACTACCCAAAGCAATATCCAGATTCAATGCAATCTCTATCAAAGGTGCAATGACATATTTCACAGAAATAGACAAAACATTATGGAAACATTAAAGACCCTGAAAAGCCAAAACAACAATGAGAAAGAAAAACAAAGTTGGAGGCATCAAACTTCCAGA
Source organism: Homo sapiens (assembly GCF_000001405.40). NCBI lineage: Eukaryota > Metazoa > Chordata > Mammalia > Primates > Hominidae > Homo > Homo sapiens. The sequence goes on along the minus strand of NC_000006.12, from coordinate 40,200,838 downwards.
TTTAAAATTATATTACAGAAGTATAGTAATCAAAACAGTATAGTACTGGTATAAAAACAGACACATCGACTAATGGAACAGGGCAGAGAGCACAGAAATAAATTCAAACAAATACAGTCAATTAATTTTTGACAAGGGCACCAAGAGGACACAATGGGGAAATAATAGTTTCTTCAATAAATGGTGCTGGGAAAACTAGATTTGCACATCCAAAAGAATGTAGTTGAACTCTTATCTTACACCATAAACAAAATCAACTCAAAATCAATAAAAGACCTAAATGTAAGAACAGAAACTATAAAACTCCTAGAAGAAAACATAAAGGAAAAGCTCCTGGATATTGGCCTTGGCAATTATTTTTTGGATATCACTACAAAAGCACAAGCCACAAAAGCAAAAATAAGTAAAGCCATATCAAACTAAAAGTCTTCTGCACAACAAAGGAAACAATTAACCAAAAGAAAATGCAGCCTATTAATTGGGAGAATACTTGTAAATCATATATCTGATAAGGGGTTAATATCCAAAATGTATAAAGAAGTCGTACAACTCAATAATAGAAAAACAAATAACCTGACTTAAAAAATAGGCAAAGAATCTGAATAGATAATTCACAAAGAATATATAAAGATGGCTAACAAGTATATGAATAGGTTCCCAACATCATTAATCATCAGAAAAATGCAAATCAAAATCACAGAAGATACTCCCTCACATCTGTTAGGATAGCTATCATCAAAAAGTGAAAAGACAACAATGTTTGCAAGAATATAAAGAAAAGGGAACCCTTGTACAATGTTGGTGGAAATGTAGATTGATACAGCCATTATGGAAAACAGCATGGAGGTTCCTAAAGAAATTAAAATAGTACTACTACATGACCCAGTGATACCTCTTCTGGGCATATGCCCAAAGGAAATGAAATCACCACCTTGTGAAGATATCTGTACTTTCATGTTCACTGCAGCATTATTCACAATAGCCAAGATAAGGGAAATAACCTATGTGTCTGTCAGTGAACAAATAGATAAAGAAACTGTGTGTGTGTGTGTAATGAGTTATTATTCATCTCTAAAAAACGAATAAGATCTTACCATTTGTCACAATATAGTGAGCCTGGAGGACATTGTGCTATATGAAATAAGTTAGACATAGAAAGTAAAATATTGCATGGCACTGGGCGTGGTGGCTCACACCTGTAATCTCAGCACTTTGGAAGGCCAAGGAGGGTAGATCATTTGAGGTCAGGAGTTTGAGACCAGCCTGACCAACATGATGAAACCTGGTCTCCACTAAAAATACAAAAAAATTAGCTGGGGCGTGGTGGTGCACACCTCTAATCACAGCTGCTAGGAAGGCTGAGGCAGGAGAATCGTTTGAACCCAGGAGACAGAGATTGCAGTGAGCGGAGATCACGCCACTGCACTCCAGCCTAGGCAACAGAATGAAACTCCATCTCAAAATAAATAAATAAATAAATAAAAATAAACCAGAAAATAAAATACTGCATGATCTATCATCTCACTTATATGTGGAAACTTAAAAAATAAAAGCAAATATACTGAGATACAAAAACAAAACTGTGATTACCAGGGACCGGAAAGTGGCACGGGGAGGAAATAAGGAGATGTAGATGAGAGGATACACAGCAGCAGAAATGCAGGGTGAACCAGTCTAGAGCTCTAATGTACAACATGATGTTTGTAGGTAATAAAATTGTACTGTATTCAATATTTATGCTAAATGAGTAGATTTTAGCTGCTCTTGCCACAAAACGAAAAAAGAGTATGTAACATGATAGATATGTTAATTTGCCTCGCTTAAGTAACTTTTTTTTACTATCTGCATGTATCCCATAACATCATATTGTACAACTTAATATACACAATAAAATTGTTCCATATGCTTAGCAACAAAAGACAGGTAACAAAACATACCAACAAAAAAGAGGAAGTTCACACTGGGATAGTCAGATCCTTATGCTTGCTAGAGGTGGGCCATGAATTCAGCTGTTGACTTTCTAACAGTCAGTACAAAACAGGAGGCTCAATCCAACACTTGATTCACAGAGCCTGTAAGATAAAAGCACTCCAGCTTCTTGGGAGGAACATGGTGAGTATTGGCTCTGGAAATAGAGACATTTCTCCCACAGAGCCTCAAAAAGAAGACAAGAGTTGATGTACTGAACAAAAACCTCCACCTCTCAGGGTGAGGGGATTTTGTTTCTCCAAGAAATGATTGCTCAGGGTGGAGATTCAAGAATCTGACTAAAAGATGGACCCTGGTCACCATCTCCTCTCAATGAGCAGGGTGGCAGATCAGCTTCCAGGGTAGGCTGTTTTCTTGGCAAGTATCTGGCTTGTCAGGGAAGGAGTAGAGACCTTCCTAGAAATAAAACAAAAGAGCAATACATACCAGGGAGGGTCTGTTGGAGGACAAACCATAGCCAATCAGGCATGAAAGATGGTGAGACTTCCCATGCATGCTCAACCATAAAGGGTGGCGACTTGCTTTCTAATGAACATAAATAATAATCATAGAAGAAGATGAAAGGTGGAACAAAGTACTTGATGGCTCTGGGGGAAAGAGGGATCAGTTAGGAAGTTAAACCAATGCTGAGGCATCTGCCTTGGGTCAATGGGTTAAACAGTTATTTGAAAGATGAGTGTAGGGAATGGGGCAGAAGAAGGGGCAGATTTGGGGGCAGATGGGGAGGAAAGTTGCAGGTTCACTTCGGGGTCATGTTAAGTATGATGTTCCTGCAGACAGCCAGGTGGAAATGTAACCAGTGTTTTCTGGTTTAGTTTTGATTTGGTTGTTCTGTCAGTGCGTAAGCATACCCTCTTGGCCTACCCGAGAGATCACCCATAAACAGCTCCCTGGCCACCCAGGGCTTTCTGCATCTCTCTGCCCTGGAGTGTGGTCTCCTTGCTGGAGTCAGGCAGGTCAGAAGTGTTAGGAGTTAATGTCCCCTCAGTGGCCCTCAACTAACAATGGACAGGAGTTGATAAATACCATAGCTTCTTGCCCCTCTGGATAAGGAAGCAGCATTCCAGATGGTACTTAAACATCAACTTTAAGGACTTTACCGCTGCTAAAATATCCCGCAGACTCCTCAGGAGACAATTCTGAGGTGTGTTCCTCACTGCGTCTCAGAAGGGCCCCAGCAGGACTGAGTGCCCATTGCCCACAGGGGTAGCGCGCTCATTAGTGTGCTCCTGGCTGCCTTTCTCCCCTCCCTGCCTCACTTCCTCTCTTCCCCACTCCCTCCTGGAGCTTCCTGGGATCACTTTCCATTAACCCACTAAGCACTTGAATCCCCATCTGAGACTGCCACATCACATCAGTTTTGATGGTGCCCACATACCTGCCAGCACCTCCCTCACAGTGGTTCCTAAGAAGCAGAGCCTGAGGTGGATACTGTTCAAGTGGTTTGCTGGGGATGTGGTCTTAGGGGAGGAATGGGGAATGCAAGAGGGAGCACGGGGTAAAGAGCAAAGCCAGCATGGTGTGTCTGGTAGAGACTCACTTCAGCCTCAGAGGGGCCCACCTTGAGGCCAGGAGGCCAGCCTGCTCTGCCCCCTGTGTCAGCTTGTCCTTGGCTCAGGTCTGAGGAGGTGGGGAGGAGAGAGATCCTCTTCTGGCCAAGCCCTCCCTCCTGGTCCATCTCCCAGTAGAGGCCCCCTTTTGTCTGGGGACAATTCTCCTGAGAAGGGGCAGCTGTGAGTTGCTACCAGCCACATCCCCTCACCACTGCAGAAAGTGGCAGGTATAGGGGCACCAGCAGTGCTCGGCCTGTCCATACAGGCGCAGTGTATTACATACACAGGCTTGGGATAGCCGTTTTCTGCAGAGGACTCCATTCATTTCAGTGGAATCTGCCAGATGCTGTACTGGAGAAGGAACTAGATAAGGCCTGATCCCTGCACTTGCGGAGCTTACAGTGGAGGGAGGGAACCAGACAGGAGAACAATTACCAAGGGAACAAGAAATTCACACTGCACAGAGGTGAAAGCAGTGCTGGGGGAGCTTAAACACAGAAGGTGGAGAGAAAATCTCCAGCTGGGGAAGGACACGCTTACAAGTCTTGACGAGGAAGCAGCATTGCAGATGGTACTTAAATGGCATCTGTAAAGACTTTGCCAATGCTAAAATATCCCTTACACTCCTCTGTGGGGCTCAGACCACTGTTAAGAGTTTCATTCACCAGGAATAAGTGCGACCCTTCCCCCACTCCACCCCCACATAGCCTTGCTCCTAAAGTTGGAAAATTGGGCATTTAGCTGGAAAGTGTTTCTATTATTTCATCAAATTTAATTTTTTTTCCTCTTTAAAATATTAGGTCTTTTTTCTTTGAGCTTAATCTTCTAATGTGCTTTTGAGGTTGCTGCCAGTACCCTCTGCTTAGCCATCCTATGCTAGGGTCCCCTTCAGAGCTGGACACACCCATCTCTCTGTGGGTACTTAAATACATACTTGCCGTGTCCTCCACACCTCAACCACCTGGGCCAGGAATCCTCCCCTGGGAGATGGGGCGAGGCTGGGTTGTCAGTCAGCTGGGAGCTCCATTCCTCTGTTAAGAGGTGAAAATCATGACGAGTTTTCTCCATGCCCTCTCCCTGCCTCTGCCCTGTGTGTTCCGTAATGGTAGCACTCCCTAAGCAACAAAGTATTAATAATAGGTTTTCCCATCAGTGCTCAATTCCAATTTCCTGTCTGGCCCCAAGCCACCTTATCCAGTCCTTAATAAGGTCCACCTTTTAGATCTTACTTAAAGCCTGTGTTTCAGGGGCTGCTGGCAGCTTGAGACTCTGTTATAAGAAATGGAGTTCTTCCTTCATTGTCCCTTTGCACCCAGCCCTCCCCACTCCCAGTCCAGTGGCCCAGGCCGAGGAGAACACACCTTTGACAGCGGGTGAACAAATGCTCTGGGAGCTGGGGGCTAGGAGTTCCAGGGAAGCACAGGGATCCTTGGGGAAGGAAACACAGATTCGATCTCAAAGCTCCTCTCCATTTACTTAATCGCTCAAGATTTCAATCAACCAGCCCTTACCTGACTAGCTCCACAAACGAGAGAGAAATCATGTTTCCTCTTGAGTGAATCGTTCATTTCACACAGCACAGCCGCTGCCTCCGAGCCTTCTCCAGTGGCATGGATGGTCTCGAAGTACTTCTGTTTCCCCCAGTCTCCCCCGAGAACACTCATTTCCTCTGGTAGCTCCCTCCCTGGCCATCAGCTCTGCACCGTCTCCCTCTGTTAGGTGCCCAGCTGCCACTGCCTTCCAGCATTTGATGTAGTGGGAGGATGGCAGGGGTGCTCTCTTCAAGGAACAGTGGAGGGAGGGGAGATGGTTCCCCCAGTCCTGTCCCCTAGGGGGTTGTCCTGCTATCTCCCAGAGGACAGAAGCAAAGAGAGAGGGAAGGGATTCAGGATTTTCTACATGCCTGGCATAGTCATAGGCATTTTATATATGTTTGGTCCTTTAATTCTATTATTCTCATTTTTCAAACAAGGAAACTGAGTTTCAGAGAAGTTGCCAGGGCCACACAGCCAGTAGGTATTGGCGCAGGATTAGACAATTATACGCCTGAGTCCAAAGCCTGCAGTCTTTCCACTTCACCTCACTGATCAAGCCATTGGGGGGTTATTTTGCAAATATTATAGAATCTCACCTCAAAGTCTATAAGGCTATTTCTCCCTCTTCCAGATAGAGGGGTGTAGGAAAGCAAGGAGGAGACAGGGAGGGCCAATCTCACTAGCATGAGACCCAGGCCCGAAATGTGTTCTTTCTTTCATAGGGTGCTGGGCTTTGCTGGCTTAGAGACCTTAATGCCAAGGGGGAGGTGTTCTACCAGGGGATATGACAACTGGGCCAAGAGAAATATGGCACCTGCACACCACATGCCTCCCTTCTGAGGGCCCCACAGACACACACAGGGGCAAAGGGAGCTCCTCTCACTGCTTCCTGTGTTTGTCAATATCCAAGCCAGAGCTGCACACAGCAGGCCAGCTGTAGTCAGACCTCCTCAGTTTTCTACATTGCTTTCTATTTTGAAGTGCATTTGTGTATGAGATTGGATTTAATTCTCACATTACCTATGTAAGTCATGCAAGCCAGGCAGGTGGCGCTCCCCTTTCTACCAATGTGGTGGTTCTGTGATGAGTCCCCTAGGTCCCCTTCAGGAAGGAAGGAAGAATTCATCTCCCTACCTGCCAGCCCCTTGAGGATTGCCTCAGCTGAAAAGAGTGCCTTCCCCAAGGGTACACCCTTCCCAGAGCAGCACACATCCAGTGACGGATAGATGCAGACCAATCCTAGCTCTGCATCTTCCCACAGGGCTGGCTGTGGCTTCCATTGATACTGCATGGCAGCCCAACTTCCCCTCTGCCCAACTGTGCTTCCATCCTTTCCCTTCCCCAGGTGTTTCTGCTGAGAGAACTCCCAGTTAAACCTCCTACCCACTAGCCTGTACCCTAGAATCTGTTCCCAGGACCCAAGCTGAGACCCAGAAAGGTGATGTCTCAGGTAGTAGATGATGCATCAGGAGCCCTGTTTTCTCTTTTGCCACTAACAGTCCATGTGATCTTGGAGAAACTATTTGACCTGTCAGTTTCCCCACCTGTCCCAGAAGGGTTTGGTCCAGATCATCTCAAAAGTCAAGAAAGTCTAAAATCACTTGACCTTAAGCAATTTGTTCAAGAACTATGATTAGAACCCAAAACTTCTATCACTTTCCAGAATCTCCCTACAAATCCCTGACTTTGTAGCAGGGAAAGGAGGCTGGAATTCCAGTGTCCTTTCGGTGTGGTCCCAGGCCTCCTAGACAGACCATCTCCTAGATGCAGGCTGGGAGCTCAAGAAATTATTCACCAAGTTTTACCTCCACTTGATTTCTGCTTCTCCCCACATAAGCTCTTCCCCAGCCTGGGGGAAGTTTATTTTATTTTATTTTGAGACAGAGTTTCGATTCCTACCAGGCTGGAGCACAGTGGTGTGATCTCGGCTCACTGCAACCTCCACCTTCTGGCTTCAAGCGATTCTCCTGCCTCAGCCTCCTGAGTAGCTGGGACTACAGGTGCATGCCACCATGCATGGCTAATTTTTTTGTAGTTTTAGTAGAGATGGGGTTTCACCATGTTAGCCAGTATGGTCTCGATCTCCCCACCTCGTGATCTGCCTGCCTTGGCCTCCCAAAGTGCTGGGATTACAGGCATGAGCCAACGCACCCAGCCAGGAACTTTATTCTTTAACCAACTCCCACAGGCTTAGCAGTTCACTTACTGACAGGGTTGTGTCAGCAGCCAGCAGGGGCTATCACCTTCTCTTCCAGATCATAGAGAATCTAGAAGATTGATGAGAATGTTTAATGATGCCAGGACCCAGTGGCAAAGCAAGAAAACAAGCCCCTTGATTATACCTTTATGTTCAGAGAAGGGCTTCAAGAAGCCCAATCCTTCTTGTCTCTCTAGGCCAGTTCCCCTCCCAGACAAAGAGAAAGCTCTGTCCCCAGTCAGAAAGAAGGTTCTCTTAGGGCAGGTCTGGCCTCCTTGGCTCTCCAGGGAATCCCTGAAGTGTTTATTAGGCACCATGCTTCAGTGGGGAGAGGAAGCTACAAAGATAAATGAGACACACTCAACCTTAGCCCAAGGGCCTGAACCCCTCTGAGGCTTCTCCGTAGGAGGGAGGGAGGAAGGAAGGGAGGGGTCTGATTGAACGAGGGAGGTGGCTCATTCTTGTAGCAGAACTCAGGAATTACAGATGTACCCTGGTCTGGCCCCAGCCCCTCCACAAGGGCTAGGCTGACTCAGTAGATCTGGGCAGACCCTGATGCTTCAGTAGTCCATCTCCCATTGCCTCCCCAACAAATTGCCCCCAAGACTGGTGTCATCCTTTGCCCTATTTCTTATAAGTGGAAGGTGCTGGATGCCAGGGAGAGGCTAGGTGCTGTGCTGTGTAATGTATGGATTGATTTATACACGTGTATGCTGGATATACATGGCAATGAGACTCCAAATGTCAGGCTGTGGGTCTCTTCTGCACCCTTTCTCCTGTCCTTCTCCAGGACGGCCTTCACACGGCTGCCAGATTGTTCCACCCCACAGACATTTCTAGCAGCCTGCAGAAACAAGACTGCCCACTCTCAGCACCGAATCCCTGACCTGTGCCCCAGGCATGCTGGCCTGCATCTTCCCCCTCACATTAAGAGACCATGATCCCTCTCCACACCTTCATCCCTCCAGGGTCAGCTGGGCACTGACCATTTGATCTTTAGCCCTTGGCTTGTTTCATACAACTTAAGCATAATAAATAGAGAAGCAGACATACTTGGCAATATCCTGCAAGCCTATGTTGCAAACTGACCATACAAAATGATCAGCCTATGAGCAGAGCATCTGTGAGCCACTTAGGCTGATGGGCTGCCTGAGAGCAGAACCTGCCCTCTCTATCAGCTTCATGTGGCTCCCCGCAACCTTTGACTCCACAATGCACAAATCAAGACTTGGGGCATTGATAAATCCCTTTCTCAGCACTTCTAGGCTTGGCATCAAGAATGATTGTTTGCAACACTCCCTATACAAAATCAGACTTTCTCCAATGCAGGTTTCATCTCCCAAATCAGACTGGGGCTCCCTGAGGATGGGGCTGTGCCTTCCCTCAGACCAGAGCTCCCTGAGGAAGAGGTTGCATCTCCCCACAGACTGGGGTTCCCTGAGGATACGGCTGCATCTTCCTCACACTGGGGTTCCCTGAGGATGGGGCTGTGTCTCCCTTCAGACTGGGGCTCCCTGAGGATGGGGCTGTGCCTTCCCTCAGACCAGGGCTCCCTGAGGTTGGGGCTGTGTCTCCCTCAGACTGGGGCTCCCTGAGGGTGGGGCTGCGTCTCTCCTCAGACTGGGGTTCCCTGAGGACGGGGCTGTGTCTCCCTCAGACTGGGGCTCCCTGAGAGTGGGGCTATGTCTCCCCTCAGACTGAGGCTCCCCCTCATACTAGGGCTCCCTGAGGACAGGGGAAGATGTTGAATGTGGGGGATTTTGTAGTGAGGCCAGACAGACACCGTCTCTGTGGAGCACAGAGCCTAGGTGAGAAGGCAGATTTGAACACATACTCATCGGTGTGCTCAATATCATGAAAGGGGAGTATGGGTCTTGTGTGGTGTGTGACAAGGGAGCCTAAAGTCATGGCTAAAGTGGGGACAATTAAGTAATATGTCTCCAATAAAATGACTTGGGTTCTCCATGGAAACTGGGCCACTCAGTTAACTTGCCTGAAAATAGAGCCATTGAGTTCTGGGTCTGACATGTTCCCTACCCCCCTCGCCCATGTATACGCTTTCTCCTAATCCCAGGCAACCCCACTACTGGGGATGTGTTCCTCAATTTGGCCGCAAACCGCTTGGTAGACCAAAGACCCAGAGAACCCCATTTCCCTTCAAGAAAATGCTTGATGTCCCTTTCCAGGTTTCTTCCTGCATCTTTCCTCTGGAAATCAGGTTGTCTTCCAAAGACCTTGGGCTCCTTTTCCTCTATTTCCCTCGTGTGAACCTCTCCAGAGTGTGTCAACTGCCCTTCAGAATGCATGCTGTCCCTATCCTGGAGGAACTCACAGGGTGCTAGGTAGCTATGAAGAAGCTGCCTGAGAGGAGATGAGCCATTGAATCTGCCTTCATTCTCTATATTCAAGCTTGGGGACTGTCTCACCTCCTAGTTCCAGCCCTTCTCCCTCATGTCTAAGCCAGCCCCTTCTCCCTAACTTCTCTGGCTCCTGAAGGAGCAAATTCATTTTGGATTGGCTCCAGATATTCTGCCCTCGCACTCTACAAGATCTCATTTCTGACAACTTGCATGGAGAATGCTCACTTACTGTTGCCCTCAGAAAAGTCCTTAAAAGAACATCTTCCCAGGCACCATTTCACTCCAGCTCTTTCAGCTGTGTTCTCAATAGCCTTACTTTCTGCATTAAATCACTTTTCATTATGTTCCCTAACTTCCCTTACAAGTTTGAAAAAGTCAAGGTCGCTGGCCATCAACAGATGGTAAACTCAAATGGGGAGATCATTGGAGAGACTATTTGCAAAGACATGGCCAAGGCTACAGTACGTTGCAGTATCATGGTGCTAGTTAGTGACAGCAGGGTGCTCTTACCTCACCTGAGCCTAATGGGGCAAAGGGAGAGAACTGCAGACAGCAGCTTTAGGGAAAACTGTCAGACAACAGCTGAGGCCTTTGGTAAGCTTAAGCCACTAAGCCACAGTGACCCGACAGAGAGGGATCCAGGTACTAAATACCCCATTTCACTTTCCACTCATTCTTTGACCTGCTGCTGGTAGTTCCCATTCACTGAAGTCTGAGAGCAAGGCAGCCCATTGATGTAGCCCCTAAGCGCCAGCCTCTCCAGGGCAGAGCAGAATGGAGAGGGATAGAGAGTGAGTCTAAGAACACAAAGGAAAGATCAGGACAGGTTTCTTGGTTTCTGGCCTACAGAGAAGTGGAGTGCACTCTCTGACCAGTCCACTAAATCCATTCATTTTTGTGTACTCACTATGGCAGTACAACTCTCATCTGCTAAGCCTGTGGTAGACCTCAGTGCATAAAGAGAAGACACCATTCCTGCTCTCCCGGAGCACATAGCTATTATCTTCCCATCACAGGGCTCCAGCTGCAGAATTTGCTAAATAAGGAGTAGAAAGGAAAATTAACTTACGAACTCAAAACTGTTAATCACAACCATCAGACAAAGATCAGCACTTTGCTACATGATTTTTCTCATGTTATTTCATTTACTCTGCCAAGTAACCTCATCATCACCATTTTCATCATTCTGCAGACAGCAAAAAAAAAGACACAAGCTCAAAGAGGTTATGTGACTTGCTCATGATCACACAGGGAGCAGGCACCAGAATCTCCAAAGCCAATGAACACTCCCTCCTAGCCTTGCCTCAGCCTCACCATCTGCCCTTTGTGGAGCTTGCCTCACTTTCTACCTTACCCTATTAGTGACCTGTGCTCATGCTTTACCTCTCAACCAGCAGGCTGCATGACTGACTCCCTTCCCTGTGCCCCACCATGCCCAGAACACAGCATACAGTCTGCTAATACATGAAAACCAAAACAAGCCTTCAGCAATCAGGCCCCAAATACCTACAAGCCATTCTCAGACCACACAGTGAAAACCAGGGTTGAACCTGGACCTGGCATGTAAGGTCAGAGCTCCCTGGTTCTTGTTGGCAATAAGACGTGGCAATCTTTGCATCCTCATTGTGTGGATGACGAAAGAAGTTTCTAAGAGATTAAGCAAGTAGCCTGAGGCCTGGCATCTAGCAAGTGACAGATCCAGGATTTGAACTGCCGACCACCTACTTCTCAAGCCTTGGTTCCTTCTGTGCTACATAGCCTTGTGGAGTAGGACTCTTCATTGAGGTGAGGAAGGATTCCCAAATGACCCACTACAAACATTTCCCTTCATATCCCCCACCACCCACCCTGCCCACCCCATCCTGTGTCCCTATGCCCAGTGGACTTCAGTGGGCTGAGTCTTGTTGGAGAAAAAAACAACATAGAATAGTGCCAGGAATAAAATGTCAGGAAGTTATTCTTCAGAATTCCTGGAAATGGAGGGTTTACTGCTCTCTCATTCTCCTTTCTTTCTTTCTGCCAGATTTTCCGGTATTCTAGAAGCACACCAATTCTCACCACCCCATGATCCAGAGAGCAAGCCCCAGGGCTACACACATGGCTGGCTTTTCAAAGGCACTGTTGTTCTGTCCCCTTGTGGGCAAATAAAAACAAAATGCTACTGCTAAAAACAAGTCCATTTCACATTTTATTTTACTTGAGAAAATGGAAAATGCTGAAGCAATGATTTGAGGTCAAGTTCTCCTGGAATTTTTGCAGAGAGTCTCAGCCACCTGCACCAACCAACTCATTATGCCCCTACTGATTACTTTACAGTCATTTATTTTTCTTTGCATGCCTGGCCCAGAGCACCCATGAACACACACCTACATGTATCTATAGACCCCTTCTATTCAACCCACACTCCAGAGTCAACAACACAACAGACAAATGGAGGCAACTTACTAAATCCTAGTACCTTGTCTGGCCTCTAGACACCCATTTCTAATCACATCTTCAAGCCTTGAGCGAGACACAGCGATAAAACTAGAAGGGAAGGCATTCATTTATACTGTGCCGAGTTTCAATTTTTCTGAGGTTTTCACACAATCATCTTTTATGAGCTATAGTAAAACCACATGTTTATACAGTCTCTCTCCCTAAGTCCCAAACATTTTAGCAACATTATCTTATGTAACACCTGGGATTTGAGAAACAGGGCCTGAACAGCCATACTTCGCTTATGCAAACAGTTTTGAATTTTCCAGATGTATCCATTTCCCTTCAAGTTAGCAAAAAGCTTATTTGGAATATATCACCTCCCCCCACTCACCATCCTTTCCCCTCCACCTGCAGGTAATATTTGCTTCTAAAAAGAATCTCTGCCTTTGCAGTAACATGGAAGAAATTTTTCTTATTTGTTTTGCAATTCCTGATGAATATCTTTATCTACTTTCCATTATAGAGCAGCAGGGAACTGCCTAAAATTAAATCACAAAGTCACTGCTTTCCTCCCCCCTACCCAGGCTCAGATCTGGGATCCACTTTTAACTCTTCTGTCTCCTTCATCTCCTATATTTATTGAACTGCCAGATACTTTTACTCTTTGTACAAAGTGGTTTTGCCTCTCTTTCATTTCTTATTGCTGCCATCCTACTCAACTTGTAAATTCATGGTTGGGCCATTTCATCTGGCACCCAACAATTCTCCTGGTTCAATCTACCCTGCACGTGATAGCCTCATAAATCTTCTCAGGACACTCTCCTCTGCAGAAACACTGCTCATGGCTGCCTGAGTCTCTGGCAGGGGTAGGCAAATGACAGCGGGGGTGGGGAGCTAAAACCAGCCTGCAGGCTGTTTGTCTAAATAAAGTTTTACTGGAACATAGCCACACCCATTTATTTACACATTGTCTGTAGCTGCTTTTGAATACAATGGCAGAGTTCAAAGCCTCAAATAGTTGCCATCTGGTCCTTTATAGATGAAGTTTGCCAGTCCCTTAGCTCAGCATGCAGGACTTCGCATGACCTGGCTGCTACCAGCTCTTACTGCCTGGTCTTTGTGCACATCGTCTGCACCCCCAAGTGGCATAAATAAACAGATCTAGCCCCCTCATCTTGTAACCAGCCTATCTCATGCCTCTCTACCGCAATTATGCTGTTCTCTGCCTTGAGTTCTCTCCTGCACTCCTAAGCTCTCAGCAAACACGGATCAGTCACTCAAAACTCAATGCAGGGCAGGACTCTTCAATAACACCATTTCTGCACCACAACCCCCCAGCCATTCTGTACCCACATGCTCCCACCCCACCACCACCCCCTCACCCCGCCACACACACACACTGAATTGAATGCTTTTATTTTTGTGCCCACACTGAACTCTTAAAAATATTTCCCACTACTTCTGGGTCTACATGTGTTTCTCCCTCTTTTGGTTATAAATCCCTGGAAAGCATATGTTGTGGCTTAATCATATTTGTATTCCCAGAGCCTGGTATTGTGTCTGGAATATAGTGGTATAGGAGACCAAACAGAATATGCCACCCCAAAATATGCTTTTTAGGCATAGGATTATTTTGAGCTGGTTATTTTTGGAAACAGCAAGCACAAGAGAAGCTCTCAAAAAAATATTACCCTTTTGTAAGGAAAATTTACATTTATAAAGAATGTCTTCATTTGTAAGAATGTTTCTTCCTCTGTACCAGAAAGGATGACAAAATCACAGGAAACTCTTATTAACGGAGAAATCACTGACTTAAATCTACATAACAAGCCTTACTCTTGTTTGCTGCTCTTTTCCTAGATATTTCCCCATAGCCTTCCCACACTCTTTGTTTCAGTGGACAGTAGTATTTAAGCCTGAATTCTAAGCCACCTCTTGAGATCTACTCTTTTCTCTGGGTATTTTTCATGTATATATGAGGTATACATGTTAAGAATCTTCTGTTTGCTTTTCTCTTGTTAGTCTGTCTTTTGTTACAGGGGACCCTGAAACCACCTTTGCAAAATTATGACACTAAGAGAAATCTGACATTGTTGACTCCATCTTGCTTCTAACCTCCAAGCTGTCCTTGGTCATTCCTGGGCATAGGCCAAATTAACTCTGGGAGGAATTTAATTTGTAGTTTAACCTTAAAGTAAGGATGTTAATAGCCCTTCTCAAAACTAAACTGCCTTTGTAAAACTAGTGAAAGTCCACAAGGTTAGGATTATGAAAGGGGCCTGAATTCTGCTAAGATGTAGGCATAATTAAACAATAACTAGTTATTCCAGTTCCAGTCACAAGATTTGTAACTTCCCCAATTACTCCTGTAGATAACATCACTATTGTATAACCTAAGATTGGCCTTTTAAGATGTCTTTCAGACTTTTGCATTTCTGACTACCAACTGACTGCACCAGGACCCAGACCACAACTTGCAACTCTGACCCAACTAGTCCTGTGGCCCCTACCCAGGGGCTGAGTCAGTGCACTAGGACCATTTTCTATACCCCTATGATGCTATCCCCAGCCAATCAGCTCTCCCCATTCCCTAGGCCCCTGCCCACCAAACTATGTTTGAAAACCCCTAACCTCTGAGACTTTGTGGAGACTGATTTGAGTAACAACTCCATGTATATACCACATGGCTAGCTTGCATTAATAAATCTTTCTCTACTGCAACAGCACAGTCTCAGTGAATTGGTTTTGTCTGCAGTGGGCAGGAAAAATCTGTCAGGTAATTACAATCCCAGCTAAGAACTAATGAAATATAGAGAGAAAATTATTTTTTCCTCATCTGCTGTTCATACTTAATACATGCTGAAAGATTGAATGAATGAAAAACCAACCCCTAATTTCCAATCTTGTTATTTCTTCTCTCCATGTACACTCTTTCTCTGGCCTCACAGGCCCTAACCCCACTCACTGATTCCAGCTCTAAACTTGTCTTGTCCTGACTACTCCCTCCTGGGCTCCAGCCCCTTCTCCTCCAGAGGCAGCCCCTTCCTGCTCCTGACTGAAGACAACTCCATCAGGTGGTGTGGCTCTCAGTGACCCTCACCCTCTGCCCTGCTGTGTGACTGATTGGTCCCTGTGGGTGTCTCTTGCCTGACCAGAGTGAATAGGGCTGGGACTGAGGAGTCCTGTATCAGAACTCAGGCTTCATCATTTTCCAGGTGAGTCACGCTTAGGTAAATCAGCACCTGTCTTCTGGTTTTCTCATCTGTAAAACAGAAATAATTAAATGTACTTCATTGAACTGATATGATGGTGAGATAATATGTGAAAATGCCTAGTCTCAATCTGGGATCCTGACAGAAGCATATTTATTCATTTATTCAACAAATATTTTATTGGTCATTTATTACAGGTCAGGAAGTAACAAGAGAGACAAAAAGAAAAACAGGTCCCCCCCCCAACCCCGGCCCCTGCCTCAAAAAATAAATTCCTGCCTTCAGATGGCTTACTTTTTCATGGAGGAGACAGATCATAAAGAAGACAAATATAGACCTACAAGGTGATGGATGCTTGGAGATTGACAAGGCATGGAAAGGGGTGGGGACTGTAATATTATTAAATGTAATTTATTTGAAAGATCTTTTCATCCAAATCTGAAAAGCTCTTTCTGATCACTCTTAGAAGTCATGTTATACTTTATCATGGAGGGTAGAAGATAAGCATCTAATAAAACTGCTAGTTGGATGAATAAAGATAGGAATGAGGAAAGAAAGGACGCCCTTTATCATTTGTTCAGCAAATACTTTTTGAACATTTCTAATACAAGGCTGGGAGGGTCATTTATGTTCAAAATGTTCTTTCAAGAGGATTAACTTGGTAGTAATCCTATCCTGATGGAGAAACTGAATCTGGATAAACCAGAAGTTAGGAGGCTCATCCACACATCTGGCCTGATCCAAAGAAGCAGTTGTTGGACCAGGACAAGGACTCAATGAGATGACTTTTCAGGAGAAATTTAAGAACTAAATTCAAGGTCGAGAATGGAGACAGGGATTTTTCTTTTTCCTTTTTTTTTTTTTTTTTTGGCTTTTTGTTAAAATTTTTTTTATATCCATAGGTTATTGGAGAACAGGTGATGTTTGGTTACATGAGTAAGTTCTTTAGTGGTGATTTGTGAGATTTTGGTGCACCCATCACCAAAGCAGTATACACTGCACCCAGTTTATAGTCTTTTATCCCTTACCCCTTTCCCACTCCTTTCCCCCTGAGTTCCCAAAGTCCATTGTGTTGTCAGATACAGTAAGTTTCTCTACAAAGGTTTAATTTCTGACTTCTTTGTTCTTTGTTCTCGAGATGAATTTCCTTGTCCCTTCTCCTAAGCTACCTGCTCTGTAAACAACTCCTGCCAGTCCCAATCTGTAACTCACATCTCTTCCTTATTTGGAAAAAGTCCTCTTTTACTCCTGGCTACCCATTCTGTAAACTGCCCCTCCCGCTGAAACAGCTCTTCCCACCAAAACTACTCTTCCTGCCTTTGTTGTGCCCTGACTTGCCCAGACATGTTTGGGAATGTCTTGTGCTGTAGCAGAAGGACCACTCCTACCCCTCTTCCTCCCTTGTGAGTCCTGCATTTACCCTATTTGGAAAAGTTTGAGTCTTAGCCAACCGGGATCAGCTTAGATTGTGCGGTCCAACCCCAGTCAATGGGGAAGGAACACAGAAACAAGAACTGCATTAGGGATAAAAACCTCCTCCCTCCTTTGTTCATTGTGCTCTCACAGCAGCCAGAAGTGCAAGCGGCACCCTTCTGCAGAAGTAAATTTGCCTTGCTGAGAAATCCTTTGAGTCCTCATTTTCCTTGCAACTCCAAGCTCTTGTTTCTAACAGCGTCATTCTTATGCCTTTGTATCCTCATAGCTTAGCTCCCACATGAGTGAGAACAAAGCAACATCAGTTAAAAGAGACAGAGGGACATTATATAATGATAAAAGGCCTTGTCCAACAAGAAAATACCACAATCCTAAACATATATGCACCTAACACTGGAGCTCCCAAATTTATAAGACAATTACAAATAGACCTAAGAAATGAGATAGACAGCAACACAACAATAGTGGGGGACTTCAGTACTCCACTGACAGCACTAGACAGGTTATCAAGACGGAAAGTCAACAAAGAAACAATGGATTTAAACTATACCCTGGAACAAATGAACTTAACAGATATTTACAGAACATCCTACCCAACAACCACAGAATTCCATTCATCAGTTCATGGAAATTTCTCCAAGATAGACCATATGATAGACCACAAAACGAGCCTCAATAAATTTAAGAAAATTGAAATTATATCAAGCACTCTCAGACCACAGTGGAATAAAACTGGAAATCAACTCCAAAAGAATCCATCAAAACCATGGAAATTAAATAACCTGCTCCTGAATGATGATTGGGTCAAAAATGAAACCAAGATGGAAATTAAAAAATTCTTTGAACTGAAGAACAATAGTGACTCAACCTATCAAAACCTGGGGGATACAGCAAAGGCAATGCTAAGAGGAAAGTTCATAGCCCTAAACGCCTATATCAAAAAGTCTGAAAGAGCACAAACAGACAATCTAAGGTCACACTCAAGGATCTAGAGAAACAAGAACAAACCAATCCCAAACCCAGCAGAAGAAAGGAAATAACGATGATCAGAGCAGAACTAAATGAAACTGAACCAAAAAATTTAACAAAAGATAAATGAAACAAAAAGTTGGTTCTTTGAAAAGATAAATAAAATTGATAGGCCATTAGAAAAATTAACCAAGAAAAGGAGAAAATCCAGGTAGGCTCAATTAGAAACAAAACAGGAGATATTATAACTGAGACAGGGATTTTTCTAATCACCACTTGACACTATATTTACAGGGAGAATTCTGGTCTGAATATCGCAGGGACTAGAATGTGATGATAAAGGTAGGGCAGTAATGGGGGAACCTAGCTTGGATTTCTGGACATTTCTCCTCTCCATCCCTTCTCTTTTCTATCCTGACACCCACACTCTTCCCCATTTGACTCTACTACCTGAGTTCATTGCTTATTTCTCAGTCCATCACATGAACTGTAGTGCCCAGAACCCAGTGTGACCCTGCTTCTTCATTCCTGGAAAAAAATAGTTACTCTTGAATGGGAGGCCCAGTGACCAACTCTTCAGTGCTCTAGGACACACAAAAAGCAAGAGAGAAAAGATCACATGTGAATCAGTGCAACATGACACATGGAAGCAGCTCCATAAAGTGAAAACAACCAGGCAGACCCAACGTCCAGTCTCAGCTCTGAGCTCTCCAGCTCTGGGACCTTCAGCAAAGTTTCTCTCAATTTTCTGATATGTAACATTAAAAGATAATTTTTAAGAGGTAAAATCATGACTCTTAAATATAAAGTGCCTACATGTCAAATATTTTATTTAACTTACTTGTTAACAATGGAACTAGTGAGATGTGACAACTACTTGAAGGATAATTCAAAGAAAATACATATATGGGCAATCAGGAATGCTAAAATAAATTTACAAATATTTGCAAAATTGATCAATAACCACTGGGCAATAATCAACTGTGTCTCCAAGAGATACACTTCACATGCATTTCTATGGCTGGGAATCATTTGCATTACTATCACTTTTCTAGGACTTACAGGGTTGTGAAATAGCTCAAAGTCAATGAAATGCACAGGCCCCAACAGAGTCAGATAATCTGGAAGGTTGTACTAGAATTTACACTCTTGGCAGTATTTTATTTTCATTTCAAAGTCTTTTACAAATTTTTCTAACAGAAATATAGGAATATTATCTGAATTTGAGAGGATATATTTAAAACACCCAGCACAGTTCTTGGCACATCATGGATACCCAATATCAGAACATTCCCTTTCTTGTTTTTCAGTCTAGTCAAATCACAGGGTTAGTTTTCATTTGAAAAAATTCTGTTAACAAAAATGTATAACAAGAGCTTCAGGGTTCAATAGGGAGAATTTTCACAGCTGACTGGGAAAGTCTTCTTGATAGAAGGGTTCAGTTATCCCTAATCCTACTTCTTACCCTGGCAGCACTTATCGCAGAAAGAATCAGGAAGCCACAGTACTCAGGCCACATTTCTCTGTCATTTAACAGCTTATGCTGTAGGGGCAGAAAGGTGTGATGCCTATCCACACTCATCATAAGGATCACAGCTGCCACTCCTATAACAAAAGACAAGTTAACAAGAGAAATTCATAACACAATTATTTAATCAAAGTTTTATGTGACATGGCAGCCTTCAGAAATGAAGATCCAAGGAAAATGGTCTGATTTTATGTTTAGTTTAGATGAAGAATGGCTTCCATGTAGAAATGTGATTGGACAAAAGGCATGATCTAATGGTAATGGGCTGGGGAGTTGGGAAACCCAGCAAGTCTTATCTGTTCAGATTCTTCTTGATCTCTCTGAATAGCATTCCTTCCTCCTGGGTATGGGGCAAGACCCCTCTTGAATGAAGGTCTTCAAGGGAAATGGAAGAAGGCAGAGAGTAACCTTTCTAGGTTTTACAAATTCCTTTGTGGGAGAGGGGTTCTAGTTTCTATGACCCATCTGGAAGAAGAGGAATTCTGGTTTCTATGACTTACGTCGGGGGCTGGTTGGGGGGAGAGGGGCGAGAGACAGGAGGGTAGGAGAAGGTCAGAGAGAAACTTTGATTCTGAGGCTGCTTCTGAGACCTTCCAGTCTCCTTTAGTTCAAAGTATTTAGCATGCCAAAGTGCCATACTTTGGGGTATTGTTTTTTGAGCCCCAACAATGCACCATGGCCACCTCCGTATCTTATTTGTTACTCACAACTCAGTGAGGTGGACTACCCACTAGTGTAACAATTTACATCTTACAGAAGAGGCAAGAGGTTCAAAGAGATTAAACAACTTGATGCTATGGTTTAAATGTGTCCTCCAAAGTTCATGTGTTGGAAACTTAATCTCTAATAAAACTGTTGAAAGGTGGGAACTTTAAGAGGTGAGTAGGTCATAAGGGCTTTACCTTCTTGAATAGATGAATGCTACTATCAAGGGAGTATGTTAGTTATAGAGGGAGTGTGTTCCTGATTAGAAAGGAGATGTTTGGTCCCCTTCTCCTTTTGCTCCCACCCTCTATTGCCCTTCGGCTCCCACCACGGGAAGACTCAGCACAGAGGCCCTCACCAGATGCTAGTGCTATGCTCATGGACTTCCGAGCCTTCAGAAGTATGAGCCAAATAAATTTCTGTTCATTTTAAATTACCCAGTCTGTGGTGTTGTTATAGCAGCATAAAATGGACTGACAGCTTGTCTAAAGTCACATAGCTAGTAAGTTGCAGAGCCAATATGGAATAGAATCTCTTATGTCACAAGACTTGAGGACAAGAAAAGATTTGTATCCAAGACCCCATGCCTTTCCCCAAGGCCTGAGTTTATTGCTGTCTGCTTTTAAAAGTCAAATTTAGCTTTTCTTGCACAGACAGGTTTAAGTAATATGTTTTATATTATAGACTATTAACCTATTACAGTGATTTCATCAGTCTATGAAATAACCATCTACATAATGTAAATTTTATAGCCACCTCTCCAAATCAAATCCACAAGGATTCCATGGATTCTGGGCACCCTGGGGTTCAGTGCCCCCAGAATACACAAGGGACAGTCTCAGGGGACAAATCTGTGGGAGAACTGTTTGCTGGGTGCTGGAGGAACATAGCTTCTACCCTGTAGACAAAACCCAGAACCTATCTCAGGCAAAGGGCAAAGCGGAGACCACTGCCTGCAATAACTGCAGCTCCCACCCCCAGCCCTTTGGACTCTTTCATGCCAGACTCTCAGAGCCTTCCTCCTCCCAGGTCCTAACTGTGACCTTCCCTCCACCCATCAGAGTGGAGCATCTCAAACTCAGACAAACTCCTAAAGATCATCTCCTAACAAGTCTCTCTGCTTCACTTCTTGCCTCCCTTCAGTCACAGCCTGTTAATATGCAAGTCATATCATGTCTCTTTTTAGCTGGGAAAAATCCAATGGCTTCTTGTTGCAGATTGAGTTTTCTGGAACAGACTATGCAAAGCAATTTAATGTGCAGAATCTATATTTGGGAGTGCCTTCAGATCAATATCTTTGGGGAAGGAAGAATACAAGATTGGGGGAGGGAGAAGTTAAGCTGCAATGCACATCCAACCAATGACAGCCTCAGCCATCTCCACAGAGACTCTGGACCATTGTCTTCAGGGACATCTCACTTTTTTTTTCGTCATCCTCCCAACCTCCACTATCATAGAAAGAAAGATGCAGACACAAGATTCACACAATTCCCTTCTTTCTCATTATCCCAGAGCTGTGTCACACCAACAGACAGGACAATGTGACTGTTGTCTCATTAATTCTCTGATTTCATGTCTCCATGTCAATTAAATGTTTTCATATTCCTATCTGACAGCTGAGGAACAATATCAGTTCAATGCATTAAGAGGAAAGTAATTAAATATTTGTTCTGGGGTAATTGTATATAAATTGTATGACAATTGAGCTGGTGATGTAATTAATAAATTTTAATTGGAAGCCCTTTTACAATCAATGTTTAATTTATTAACAACTGTTTTGGCTTAAGTGCAAATTAAATGCTTGTCATGGGTCATCCACACCCATGAGTGCAGAACCAGCCCACTTTCTGGCTGGCTGTTATAAAACTTCTCTGCTACCAGACAGCTATGTAAGTTCCAGCAAGTCTTGAACCCTTTGGGGGACTCAGTTTTATTATCTGCAAAATAGGAATGTTGAAGAATTGTAGTGATAACTAACATGAATCTGCTGTGAATTGAATACTGTTCTAAACACACTGTGGGAAACTCATTACATGTGAATAACTCATTTAGTCCCAACAACAATGCTATAATTAGGTGCTGCTTTTATTACCCTCATTTTGTAGAAGAGGAAACTGAAGTACAGAGTAACTTTTCCAAGGCAGTGGAGGAAAAGGGATTTGGCTCTGGAGCTCAACCTGTCAACGGGTAAGACCTACTATCTCTCATTATAATTTCTAGCCCCAGTCCTTCAGACACCCAAATCCTTTCATCCCATCATCATTATTCATCCCTGCCTGGCACAAAACCCTTTGTATAGTTGAATTCTTGGCTTTGACATTTTCTGACTTGCCATTAACACCAATAATGGCCTGCCTCACCAGCTCCCACAGACTCCCTTTACCTGTGAGTATGGGTTACATTATGCTGTGATAACTAGCAGTCCCAAAATATAAATGGCTTACAACAACACAGGTTATTTCTCACTGTTTCTTGTCCAGTGTGAAAAATTATGGGACTTGTAAACAAATGTTTTGCCCTGTTTTCTAAACTTACCACCACCCACTTGCACCTTTGTTCCATGCTGTTTTCACTCAGGATTCAGGCTGACAGAGAAGGCCTACATTACTGAACTCATAACAAAGGGAAAAGAAAAGTGAAAAAGCAATAGCTGCTTCTGAGAGCTTCTTCTCAGAAGTAACGCATAAGACTCTGGCTCATATTTACTGGTTAAAACAAGCCACGTGGCTACCCCATAGTTGAATACAGTGGAGATTTTTAATCCCTCTGCAGGGAGGAGCACCAAAAGCCATATCACCAAGCCTGTCAATGGGAGTTGAAGGGAGTATCATTTTCCACTGGGTTGTGGGGGGAGGAAGGAGCAAATATTTCAAACGATAATAGAACCCACCATACACCCCTTCATTGTGCATCCTTGCTTTCTGCCTTGAGCTACATCATCATCACCTTGCCAGTGGACTCCTGCAGCACTACTCCAGGGTACAAAATTCTTTCCTTCTTATTGAAATGCTGTCTGGAAGGGCTTGGGGAATAGCCCACTATGATGATCTGAAGTCTAGAAAACAGAGCCAGCTGTTTCTTTGTAATTCCCAGCATCTCCCTACATGATACTTAAGTGCCCTTCCCCCTGACCTCCTTCCTTTTCTGCCTTCTTCCTATTCCCAGATCCTTGCCTCCCTTCTGCCAGGGCCTGCATGATAAAGACTAGGAAATTTCCATCAATTCTTTCTTCATCTTGTCAGAGGCACACAGTTCTTATAGGCCCCCTCGGGAGAAGACTGGATGATCAGAGATTTTGTAAAGAAGCATCTGTCAGATCAGTAAATGTCTCTCTCAGTGAAAATGATGATTTTTCAGAGAATAATAAGCTGGATCCCCAATGATGGCTATATCACCTTCACCTCCTGATATGGTTTAGATCTGTGTCTCTGCCGAAATCTCATGTCAAATTATAATCCTCAATGTTGGAGGTGAAGCCTAGTCGGAGGTGATTGGATCATAGGGGTGTATTTCTCATGAATGGCTTAGCACCATCCTCTTGGTGCCGTTCTCATGACAGTGAGTTCTCATCAGACCTGGTTGTTTAAAAGTGTGTAGCGCCTCCTCCTTCCCTTTGTCTCTTGCTGCTCCAACCATGTCACCTGCCTGCTCTTCCTTCGTCTTCCACCATGATTGTAAGTTTCCTGAGGCCTCCCCAGAAGCTGAGCAGATGCTAGCATCATGCATCCTGTACAGCCTGCAGAACCATGAGCCAATTGAACCTCTTTTCTTTATAAATTACTCAATCTCAGGTGATTCTTTATAGCAATGCAAGAGTGGACTAAGACACCTCCCTTCCTGCCAATCAGGGGAGTATAAGAAGGAATAAAGCATAAAAAGGATAAAAAGGTCAGAGACCTCTGCCACCTGTTTCTCAGCTATTTTCTTCAGGCCTAACCCCAATTAGGAATTACCATATTTCTCCTCTCCTCTTTGCTTCTCTCTCTTTCCTTTACTATGGCTCTTCCCATTCCCTTTGATCCTATTTTAAGCTCTTTATACTCACTTCTCATTTTCACAGTTCCCCTTCCTCCATTCCCCATATCTGCCCTTCAACCATCTCCATTTTTTCCCTTCTGGTCTCTCTCTCCCTTCTCTTTATAGAGGATGATTCTGGGAGGGAGAATGGCAGAGGAAGAGAGGGTCTCAGTTCTTGCCTCAGCTCAGCCACTAACTCTCAGTGTGGTGCTGAGAAAGCTACTGAGGGAAATTTTAGAGTCTGTCTCATCCACTGCTATCTCCTAGCACCTGGCCTGGCATATAGTAGGTACTCAATAATTGTTTCTTGAATAAATGAGTATCTGAATGAATGGATGGATGGAGTTGCCTCTAAAAAGCTCTCCAAGGAGGCTTGTAGCTCTGAGGTTTCATGATTCTATAAAATTTCCACTTCCAGACTGTCTTTTGGAACTGACAGGGCAGAGATACTGACTCAAATAGCAGTAAATGTGCAAGTGATTTTATACCTAATTGACAAACTAAATGTAGATAAATCACTGGGACCAGATGGCGCTCGCTGGAGAGTAGTGAAGGAACTCAAGGGTGAAATTGGGGAATTGTTGGCCAAACGTGTAAAGTGCTCATTATAAAGGGACGTGGTGCCAGAGAGCTAGAGAGAGCGGCTGTGCCTCCACAAAGGACCCTGGAAAGTGTTGAACAGTGAGACTGGCTGTGAAACCCAGCAAGTTAGCCAAATTTAGAATAAAGAGTAGCATCACTAGCAAAACCAGCATGCCAGGGAGGAAGGCTACTTGGTTCTATAAGAGGAAACCATTCCGGGCTAAATCTAGAATTATATGTAGGGACACATATGGTTAGTGGCTGAAGGAGAGAAGGACATGCCATTTCGAAATATGCTGGATGGGCATATTGAGTATTTCAGGTTGAAAACATTGGAGAAATTGTAGTTTCAGAAAGGGCAAGCTAACTTGTCTCTTCCTGCATTTAGCAAGCTGTAAAGATTTCTCTGGGAGGGGTACCCTCCCCATGTCAGGGTGAGAAAATGGCCCTTATGACCAGAGACTGAGAATTGGGGGCTGCAACAGACCTGAATAGAGACACTTAATGACGTAACTCTTATCATCCCACTACTTTTCGACCTTCCCCCATACTTCTCCCACTGAGTCCTCTAGAAATGTATTACTATTAGCCAGATCCCCTTTGTCCTGTTATTTTTTTCTCAAATTTATTGTTCTTTGTCTAAAAAGTATAAAAGCATCTTCCTTTGGTAACTTCTTGAAATTTACTCTTTTGCGAAGATCCTCATGTACATGAAAAACTAATGAAATTTGCTTGTTTTTCTCTCTTCAATCTGCCTGGTGTCAATCTGGTTTCTAGATCCAGCCAAAGAGTTCACATAAGAGCTAAAGAGGTGTTAGAGGTGATCCCTGGCTCCCCTGCAAGGCAAAAGGAAGCCAGTGGAGGAAATACATTTAGGTTCTCAGAATTAATGTGCTAAAATCATTTTAAAATGCAAAACAAACCAAATCATCCAAGATTAAGATGATATCTTAGAAGAAATTCTGATTTAAGATGGGGAACTATATGGGATTAATTTCTTTTAATTTTTTTTTTTTTTTTTTTTTTTTTTGAGACAGGGTCTTGCTCCATCACCCAGGCTGGAATACAGTGGCATGATCATAGCTCACTAACCTCAAATTCTCAGGCTCAAGCAATCCTCCTGCCTCAGAGCCTCCCAAGTAGCTAGGATTACAGGTATGCAACAACCACACCAGGGTAATTTTTAAAAAATATTTGTAGGAAACAGTCTCATTATGTCACCCAGGCTGGTCTCAAGGTCTTGGCCTCACACGATCTTCCCACCTCGGCCTCCCAAAGCATTAGGATTCCAAGTATGAGCCACTGTACTCAGCCACTAATAATTATGTATAATCATAAAGGTTGCTTCGACTTCTCAAAGATACTCTTGAAAGGTTGAAATTTTCAAAAATATTGTGAAATTGGCAGAAAAAATTATTAATTGTAATTTGAAAATTGATACAGAGAAAATAAATGACACCCAAGTCACACAACCAACAGGTAGAAAGTCTTAAAACTAGAATACTGGTTTCCTAACTCCCAATTATGTGTTATCTTTTAAATGAGACATTTAAGAGCTTGATACCCACAGATCATTTTATTAAACGTTTTTGTTGATGAGGAAGTGGATGTATCAGTCATCCATTGCCACAACAGTGCTATGTAACAAACAACTGGAAAAACTTAGTGGCATACAACAATAAGCATATATTGCTTATGTGATAAATGGGGTCAGTTGTGGGTGGGCTGCTTCGTTCACGTGTCTTCTGCAGCTGAGGGGCAACTCATCTAGGCCAGGCTCATCTGGTTCAGCACTATTATTCCATATGTCTCTCATTCACCTCCTGTAGTCAATGGGTTAGCCTGGACACATTCTCAAGTTGATTGCAAAGGCACAAGAACATATGTGAGAATACACAAAACTTCTTAAGATCCAGGCTTGGAGCTGGCACACCATCATTTCTGCCTTATTCTCTTGGGTAAGGCATGCCACCAGGTCAATCCCAGGGTCAAGGGGGTGGGACCGTTTATTCTACCCAATGAGGGAAGCCACTGCAATGTTACATGGCAAAGAATAAAGACTTGGGGCCATTACTACAAGCAGTCATAGAGGGCAAGTGCAGCATCATCTCTGAGTCTATAAATGACTCTAAGCTATCAGTGAGAGTTAAGTGCTAAGCAGAAAACTATATTCAGCAGGATGTGTGCATCTTCTGGATAGGGAGAAAAGTAACTAAAACTTTAGTGTGAGTATATTAAGATTAGGTTCAGCTGAAAGTAATAGAACAACCCTAAATAACTGGCTTAAACAAGATGGAATTTTAGTTCTCTCATGTAAGTATGGAGGTGAGTATACTAAGCTGGTATGGGAGCTTTGCTTCATGAAGCTTTTAGGTTCCTTTAGCTCTCTGCCCCACCATCCCTAGGATGTAGAATGCTCATACAAAAATACCCATATCTCCACAAACTTGCTTGCCATTTTAAATAGCCAAAGTAGCAAAAAAATGCATCTATTGCTACCTTCCAAATCTCACATAAGTGCTTCTGGTAGGAGGTGCAGGGAATTAATACACATCCAGAATCTTGGTTGCAAAGGAGTCTGGGAGAAGTAGTTTTAAGCTTTCTAGGATTTGCAGTAAAGGAAAATACTAGAAGTTGAGAATGAATGCTGAGAGCCACTTAGCTGAATGCACCATAGTTTGTAAAGAAGGAAGGGACATTACAAGGGGAGGGAACAGTTTTTGAAAGGATGGAGTTACAAAAGAGTATCATAGGTTTGAAGAATCACATTCCCCTGGATGGCTGTAAAGTGCCAAAAGTTGGGCAATTGCTGCTTTCTCTGCCTTTTCCTCACCACAAAATATTGACATTAAGATTCGTTTCATTGAGAAGTGGGGGAGATGGAGGGTGGCTTTCTTGTCACCTATTATTCATGTCCTGGAGGGCTAGGGAGAGAACAGATAGGGCTAGGGAGGTAAAGAACAAGGAGTTTCATTGAATCACTGTGATCTTCCCTAACCTGCCCACGTGGGGCTCTCTGTACCTCGGAGAGGAACAAATAAATGCAGAGGTACATACATTATTAAGTGTAATTACATTGTTACTTATAGGTTCAATTAAATACTCTGGACATTTTTATAACAATTTGAGGTGTGATGCATGGAGTAATGGCACTAACCTTTAATCATAGTTCTTCCCCTTCAAAATTCAGTAATGACCCTATCAATTAGTAATGAAATGATTCAATAGGAATAGAAGGCACCAGCTGATGCTTCCTTTTACTTGGTCATCTCCCTAGATTTAAATGTGGCCTTTTGACCTTCCTCTCTAAAGGAAACACATCTTGGGGTGTGGGTGTGGGGTGGGGGGATGGTGGTGAGAGGGAAATGCAGAATTTTCTCCAGCCTCCTCTCTCCCAGGGGCACAAGGCAGAGAAATGGATAGAATGAGTATTGTGTAATCTGGTATATGCAGTGTTCAATCCTGGGATGTTTATTTGCTCCTTTGGTTATTGATAATTTTCTCTTCTGGGGACCAGTATTTGGGGATGCAGGGTGATAATGAGTTATGCAGTTCTGAGCAGCTTTGGGGCCTTACTGGAAGCAGCCCAGTCCTGACCATCCCTTCTACTCATTGCCTGCTCCCACCTCCCAATGCCCTCCCAGAATCTCAATGGGCTTTCAGAGGCTGCATTCACCCTCATACGCTGTGATGTCTGAGGCTGACACACTGTGCTTCCACATGGTCATCCATCTGCTCTTCCCTATAGTTTGATCTAGGTTTACTGGGGTCCCATCTGTGTCCAGAACTATGAGAAGCACTGAGACAATGAAGGCAAGTATCATTGTCTTCAGAGAACACTGTCAAATTCACCCATAAACTGTGATGCAATAACGGACGGACAATTACTATAACATAGAGAAAAATGGGTCTAGAAGAAGCTGAGAAGAGAGGCAGCTGCCTCAGCCTGGTGGACAGTTTCATGGAGGGCTTCCTGGAGAAGGTGACACCCAAGCTGAGTCTTTTAGGTTAAGTGAACACCTGAAGAAATGGGCAGGGGCAGGTATTCCAAGCATAGGATACACTGTGAGAAGTGAAACCGCCCCTTGATGCTCCTCTGTATCATTAATCCAGTGTAGTGCCCCATACATTGCCATTCACCATAGGCTCACCTGTACACATGGAGATCACCCCAGAGTCTGCTTGCTTGCCACTCTCCACCCCAACCCAGTTCCTGACTCTTGGATCTGGCTTGGATTCAACATCTCGCTCTGGCCCCTGTAGCCTCTGTGCCTGTATCAGAGTTCTCTGGTCAGGAACCTGTGGTTACAATCAGTGACTCCCATCAGGGTTCTCCCTACCAGCTTCCTTCCCTGCCCTGCTTCCTTGCGTGGTTCACCTTCTGTAGTTCCTGCTCCCTTGAGCTGCATCTCTAGCTTGGGCTCACCAGTTAGCCCAACCAGCTACCTCCAATTTGAAGAGACAGGACCACACCACAGTATGTCAGCCCACATATATATTGTGCCAAGAGTCCATTTAGCCACCCAGTTGCCCCTCACCCCCACCCTATACCTATTGTAACTCCTTGGCCTGACATATCTCTGGCATATGCCCTCTTTTCAATTCTTCAGGATGGATCAAACTTACAGAGCTGTCTTGGTATTAATTAAAATACACGTGTAGCTGCTTGAACTGAAAGACTGACTAATAATGGCTTAAACAACATAGTTGTTTATTTTTCTGTCATGTAAATGTCTCTGTGACTCATCTAGACATCTCTGTGACTCCTCTAGTGCTGGCAGGCTGCTCCATAGTCACTGGAACCAGGCACCTTTTATCAAGCTTCAGCTCCTGTCTGGTGGGTCCAGATGACTGCCCCAGCTATGCCCTCTCAGGGAATGCAGGGCCACTCCTTTTAAGGACAGAGAAGGTAATCTGCTCACATCTCTTCTGCCTGTACATCAAACATCAGCACTGAGTCATAAGGTGCACAGAGGCTGGGAAATATATTCTGGTGGCCGAGTGTGCCCAATTATACATTTTATGTAAAAAGAGAAAAACGAGTTTGCATGGACAAGTGGTAGACTCTGCCATCATCTTTATAAATCTGCAACTCTGGGCCTCCCACGACTGATCAGGATCCAGAAGCCCTGATAATCTTTTGCCTCCAGCCTCTCAGTCTCTCTTCTCACCTTCAGTTGTTCATTCATTCAAAATATATCCACAACTATTAATAGAAAGTGCTAGGCCCTAGGGTTTGGTCATTTCCCTGAAGTTACCCATTGCTGCAAGAACAGACAAGTTATGGATATAATTGCAAAAGTTGTCTAAAAACGAGTTGTCCCACTTCATAAAAAGGGTACAGATAAAAGCCTGCAGGAATTCAGAGAATGGAGAGTTATTTCTGGAAGTATCAGGGACCTTCATGGAGGAGGTGGTGGTTGAGTTGGGCATTAGAGGTCAAGTATGATTTGCAGGCTCATGCATTGGGTTGGGTGACACTTCACTTTTCTTGATAGAGCTTTTAGCAAGGATGCAAGGAACATGTGTCTTCCCTGCAGTTGAGAAACCAGGCACGGCAGGGAGAAAGACAGCCACCCCAATAGGCTCTGGTGCCTGCAACAAAGCCATCTGTTACTGAAGGAGTTCAAGGAAGATCACAGAATTTGGGCTAAACCCTATGCTAGGCTCTCTGCGGACCTAGGCATAGGCCCTGGCTTCAAGCTGTTTATAATCTTAGGGTTTACAGTGGCAGCTGGATAATTGTTAGCTGTTCTTATTCATTATTATCATCAAGGAGAAGAAAAGAAGAGAGAACTTTTGTTAAGTGCTTAAAAAAGGGTATAGCTACCCTGGAAGAGAAATGATTGTTGTGGATTGATGTGATCAGGGTGATAGAATCTCAGATGATCCTTGAAGGATGAGGATTTTGAAAAGTGAAAACGAGTCCATGAGGAACTGTGAGGCAAACAATGCTCAGCGGAAATGGATGTTGTAGCCCCAGGAGTCACTTGTATCTTAGTTTGGATTCTCCAAAAGCAGAGACTGAGAAAAGACTTGTGTGCAGGGAGTTTGCATAGAAAGTAATCCCAGGGAGCAGGAGCAAAGGACGGGGGAAGTAAATCAGGGAAGGAGGGAAACGCATTAATGATGTGCTGCTCAGTGGGCCCTGCTGCAAGTCTCTTGTCACCGGGCCCTTATGCAGTGCATCTCAGCCCCGCACAGTGGGCAACAAGAGGAGGAGGCCTTGATTCCTATCGCTACTGGTCAAGGGTGTTAATTCCCCAGGAGCTGTCAAGTTGTGCCCATCAGGGAGCCCAGTGGTTCCCCGCAGGCATCCCATACCTCAGCACCAGAAAAGCTGGAGGGCAGGAATCCAGGGTGTGCAATGGAGGCAAATGTGAGGCAGTGTCAGGGTGCACAGACACGAAGGTGCTCTAGGACTGCATGGAACAGGCCACTATGGCTGGGGCTGGGGTAGGGGTGGCCAAAGGAATAAGAAGCGGTGCCCAAGAGGTATTCAATTCCAGAAGCTGGAGAAATTCCTCTGAAATGAGAGCATCTCAAGTGTCTATAGATTGGGGACAGTAATTCAGCTTGTACAGACAACAGGAGCAAGAAATAGGGGAATGACTGGGGAGAAGAAATGGAAGAGGTGGTAATATATGTGATGTGCCACCACCCCTCCATGATTTACACTAGACCACCTCCAATGAGAGGGCTAAAGTGTGTGACTACAGGGATGGTAAGGAAAAATGGTGGTAAGAAAGGGGGTGCTGTACCCCTCCTAGGCACATGCCCAGAGACAAGGAAAGCCCTAAGGGGCAGAGAAGGCAAGGCTGGCATTAAGAGCCAGAAATAAATACTGAACAGTGGGTGAAACTGTAGCATTTTCTGACATGAGAACAGGTTGGGTTCCCTTTCTGGGGCTCAGCTTCCTCACCTTAGAGGGGTTGGATCCATGTTCCATTCTCACTTCAGAATCACTGACATAAATTCTTCAGAGTTCCTGGAGCCAATACAATCAGGAGATATAAGCTTTGAATAGAGTCCAGAGCCATGTGTCTTGAACTGATCTTTATATAAAATTACATTGATATGATTTGCAAGGTGGTAGGAGGGGGTTCACTTGGTAGGAATAATATTTCATGCAAAAGTTTGGAAGTTTAAGGAGGAAGAGGATGGCACATTAATAAGAACTAACAGTGATTGCACTTACTGTGATCCAGACACTATTCTGAGCCCTTTATATGAGTTCATTTTCTTAAACCCTGCGACAACCCCATGAGGAAGATGCATCTGGGAGGTGTGCCTGGAGAGAGGGAAGCATAGAAAAATAAAAGAATTGGATTGTATTCCTCATTGGGTGATCAGATAGCAACTTGTTTCTTACCTCTGGGTCTGTTTCCTAATGTGCAAAATACAGCTAGGTGCACCACTGGTGAAGATTAGTACTCCTCTTCAGAACAACATTTTCCAGAGCATCTGGCCCATAGTAGTTGCTCAATTAGTGGTACACAAGCAAGCAAGTGAGTGAGCAAGAGAGACACTTTGGCTACATAAATATTGAAAGTTCCAGGATTTTTCAATGCTTGACTGAAAGTAAGAGGAAGAAATGTTTAAAATCAGAACCATCCTCAACTCCAAAATATATTAGCTTAGGTTGCCCATAGCATTTTATGTATTTATCAAACAAATATCTATAGGGTGCCACACTGTGCTAGCTTCAGGGAAGGCAACACTGAGCCAGGCAAAGTCACTGATGTCACAGAAATTAGTCTTTATGGGAGGTGTCATTAATCAAACAGCCCTGTATGTAAATGAATAATTGAAAACTAATGTGTTATGAAGGCAAAATTTACGAGTCATGGGAGGAGACTTAGAGGAAACTGTTTGGTGTAAAAGGGGCAGGGGACAGTGGATACCCAGAGGAGGTGACATGAAGAATGAGTTGGAGGTGCCAGGTAAAGAGCTGAGGGGAGAGGAGGGTATTCTAGGAAGGAGGGCAAGGTCAGGTTTTTACTTCCACCTAAGAGTTGTTACAAGAAGTGAGGATAGAGTGGAAGTCAGATCCTTAATCCTGAGTGTGTGGGGAAGCCACTGAGCAAGTTAGGTAGCTAGGAGAGTTGGCACTATCTTTAAAATGTCACCCTGGTTTGAATGAGGAGAAAGATTAAAAGGAAAGCAGTGAGGATAGCATGATTTTGCAAATCTTTGGGCAAGGCACAATTGTGCCAAATATCATCTTTTTGCCGCTCCAGATTCACTCGCGACCCTTCTGTGTCTTGGGAAGCTGACCTTGACTTCCATCAATGGGCTCCTGTCCCCTCTGGCTTCCACTTAGGTTTGGTCCAGAGGGAGCACCAAAACGCAATAGGAGGGAGTAGAGTAAGGTTGAGGTATTTATCCCTCACCTCAAGTCGATGCAGGCAGGCCATGTCCCTTGCTTCCTTAAGCTAAGGTTGCAGCTTGGAATTACAGCTTTGTAAATTGTCCCTTTGTTAACTTCTCAACAAATTACCCAATTTGAGTGTGTCTTCTAGTGTCCTGCCAGGATCCTAACTGATAGTGACGGGGGATTGAACTAAGGTGGTGACTGTGGAGTTGGAGAGAAGTGAACAGCTCAAGAGGGAGTTAGGAGGAAACTGAATTCTGTTGATCAGTTGGCTTACATCATCATTTATAAAATAAATAATGGATGTTGTTTCTTTTGTCAGTTTAGATGCTCTGGGAAGCAGACATCAACATAGAAGTGAAAGATTTTTTGAGGGGAAACTCCTAGGAAAGATGAGAGAGGGAGGAGGCATAGGCAGGGAGAGTTCAGACTGTGATGGATGTCTGACCCCTGAGGAAGAAGAGTGGAGAAGGAAGGAGAATCAGGACGAGACTCAGACTGCAGTGCACCTCCCAGGTGATGGTGAGCCCTAGAGCCTCCCTATTAAGGAAGTCCCACCTTGAGCAGAAGTGGCCCAGCTCCAGTACTCCTGCCATGTGCTGTGGACTGGGAGCAGCCTGGGGAAGACTGTGACCTTGGTGTGAGCCCTCCCATGGATCCCAAAGGCAGACTCTTGCAGCAGGTTCTAGAACTTGAAGAGCAGCATACCACCATTAGAGACTGCCACAGTTCTCCAATGGGACTATATCATCCTTAGGGCACTGAAATAGTGCAAGGTATATCATGGGAACTCAGCCCTGGAATGAACTCAGCAAGGGATGCAACTTTACATACCTATGGGGAGATACAAGCAAGGGCATGCCCTGTGAAAACCAGTCTGTGGAAGTAATGTCACCAAATCTAAATTTTAAAATCCTGCCATAGCTGATTGAAATTGGTTGAAGCTGGTTTAGCTCTCCATTCAGTGCCAGTACCACTTATAAGGACTGTCATCATGGGCTAAGGGTCACCCTGTGGAGAACAGACCTTGTTTTCCCCCACAGAAGGTCAGTCATGTATGTACATTTTGCTTGGTGGCAGTGGAGATCAGACAAACCTGGGCTTACCTTTCAATTCTGTTACTGACTAGTTATGAGCTCCTAGGCCAAGCTGACCTCTCTCATCCTCAGATTCCTCATTGTAACAATAATTTATTGAACATCTAATATATGCTAGACAATAGTCCATTCTGGGAGTGTTATAAACATTATATAGTTAACCTTCGTTTGACAGGTGAGGAAACAGTTTCAGAGAGGGTCAGTGACTTGCCAACAGTCACAGAGCTCAAAAAGGACGGGATTAAGAATCAAACCAAGGTCTGTTTGATGACAAAGCCCATTCTCCCTATCTCTCTACTGTCTCCAGATAGATTCAAGACAAGCATCAGAATCCAAGGCTGTGAACCTCTCCATGGGCTTCCAGTATCATTTTCTCAACTGTTTTTCTCATCATCTTTGAAAACGTGCCTGGCATGTGGTAGGACACAGTGAATGCTACTCACTTCTCATTTCCTTGCTTCTCTCACTCTCCATTTCTCTCTCCTCTGTGGTTCCTTGTCTTTCATTCACCTCCTCACAAAAATCTTCATTCTTTTGCCCCCTCATCCTGACAATGTCCCTTCCTCATCT
This sequence comes from Homo sapiens, assembly GCF_000001405.40. NCBI lineage: Eukaryota > Metazoa > Chordata > Mammalia > Primates > Hominidae > Homo > Homo sapiens. The sequence continues at coordinate 40,166,295 of NC_000006.12, read as the reverse complement.
CCACCACTCCACTCCCTCTACCCTCCCCCTTGCTGGGCCATACTCTTCAGACATCTCATTAAAGTGTTGACCTGAATTCCTATTCCAATGCATCTCTAATTATGCTCCACAGGAAACTCTAGGGGATTCAAAACAGACTCTTAATCTATTCCACATGGATCAAAAACAACTCCCAAGAAAGCAGTTTAATAGCCACGATTAACAGAATGCTGCTTGGCTGTCCATGGGAGATGTTCCAGCCCAGCACTGCCCACCTCCCTGCCATTAGTGCTCAGAGACATCACAGGTCCCCTCAAAGATGAATAAGGCGTTAGGGTTTAATTTAGTTTTCCCAGTTAATTAACTGGATCAGAAGATAGCTGGTGAATTTAGTGAAAAGAGTTCCTTTGTTTTTTCTCTTTCTCCTCTGGGCACGAGGACCCTACTCAGGCCTGGCAACTTTGGTTTGTCACTCACCTCAGCTCCGAGGTCAGTTTTGTCCACAAGCACGAATCATGTCTGTTTGTGAATATTGCACCATGTTAGCGGTGCAAGACTGGAGAATTCCCTTTATCTACATCCACTTTCTGTTAACCCCAAGAAATCCTTCTTTCCTCTCTCTTTTCCACAAAATGCCCACCCTAAGACTTCGCTTCATGGATGCCAGTGTCTGGTATTGCAGGAAAGCTCCATCAGCTTAGGTGATCTAGCTGCTCAGTCTATGGAGGGTTCTGACAAGGGTGTGGATGCCAGCACCTTCTGCCAGACAGCCCCTGAGCAAAGGGTTTTTCCCACGGTGAACCTGGAGGAACACACCACGGTATTTAACCTTTGCTCTCTCTTGGAGCATTTCTGATACTAGGGTGGGAATAACAAGTTCTCCTGCCACAGCCCATGGTGCACAAAAAGCCACCTTCTGTGTATTCCCACAGTCTTCTGGCTGCCCAGGCCTGCCCAGTGAGGCTCTGAAACTTGCTCGTTCCACACCCCAGTTCCCTCCTTTAAAAGGCTTCTGCCTACACTATCATCCTACTCAGTCTGGAGATTCACTTTAGGGTCACAAACCGATCCAGCTGAACAGGCTGATAATGGACACCCCACACACATCTGTGGCTCACTGGCTGAGGAGGTGGTGGGGTGACGGTGTACTGCGAAAATCAAGACTAGCCAGCCCCCTCTTAAACTGTTACATTTCCCCTTCCAGGAAAAACTGCTTATTTGTGGGAGCTGCTGGAGAAATTCAACTCTAAAAGAGCAACTAACAGAGAATATTTGGATAAACGTAACAGGGTAACAGAAGCAATTTCTTGGAAAGAAACTTTTGAATACCAGCTCTTTAGTATTACGCCACCTTACCCGAAGACACAAATCCTGGAGGTGCTTATTAAACCCACAGACTCCTAGGCCCTCCCCCAGGACGTTCTAAATCATTATTTCCAGGGAAAAGCCCTGAAACTCGCGGATTTTTAGGCACTTCAGGTGATTCTTAACAGGGAAGTAGGGCGAACCCAACGGATAATGATATATTCTTTTCGGTGAAAAGGCTCAGGCTCGTTTTCCAATCACTGCAGCTGCCGGGGGTGGGAAGCTAACTTTCTTTCTCGGGCTGTCTATAGCCAGGCAATAAACCTCCACTTCTCCTTGCTGCTATTGGTCATGTGGACCAGGAAATGCTTGGAGGGGCTGGTAACTAGCTGTTGATTGAGAGCGAGAGAGCCAATGAGAAACCAAAGGAGTAGCTGCTCACCCAGAGTGCTTTGAGGCAGGGGGGTGGGACTTAGCCTTCACCGTCTAGAAAAGGGCGAAGGGCGGCACCAGCTGTTGCTGTCTGCAGTCGGAAGGGCTTGTGGCTGGTGGAAGCTGAGTGGGCGGTTGTGTGTGTTGGGTGCTTTCCCTGGGTTGTAGGGAAGAAAGTAGGGAGAAGCTGGGGAGTGTTGTATAAAGCCTTTCTTTCTTTCTGTCTTTCTAATAGAGGAATGTTGTGGGAAAAGAGGTGGGGGGCAGGGCGGGGAATGGTGGTTTCTGAAAGCCGACCTCTCTGAATTTTCCTGGGTGGGAAAGGGAGTTGGGGGGCGGGGGTAGGGGAGAACGGTGGTCTCTTAAAACCAACCTCTCTGAATTTTCCTGGGTGAGTTTCTTCTGTTTGTGTAGTAAGCTGCAGTACATGAAGCAGCCTCCCTCTGCCGGCCTCATTCATGTGACTTGCAGGGCCCTAACGTGCAAGCTGGCTGATTAAAGGCAGGAGCCCTTATTGGGGTCTACTAGAATCCTGTCCTTTATTAAACCCCCTGCTTTTTTGTCTCCTTACTTACAGGAGAAACTGTCGTGGGGACTATATAACTGGGGAAAATGCCTAAAACTCCCATGATAACTAAAAGTGTACTAAGGAAAGCTTGCTTTCTCCCTCCCATGAGTGAACCTTCTTTAGGAGTGGGTTGCTTAGGATAAGTGGCCCTATGGAGTGAGGAGGCTAGCTCTGCTAGCGTCCTTAAAGCTATAAGATTTTCTAGGCAATAGGAAGGGGGTGTACAGATAGGCCTGAACTACTGCATAGGAACTTGGGGTGACTTGCTGTCTCCGACTCACAGAAACAATTCAAAAGCTTCTAGCAGGCAGTGACTTATTGGCATCTTCTAAGATGACAGATGAGACTTTCCTGCTCTCACCAACATCCTTGTACCCTTGAGCAAACCCGTAGCCTGGCTTCTGTGACCAGGTCTTGGGGATGGTGGCCCCTTACTTCCTTTTCTATCCCTTAAGCCTTTTGATACACTCCCTCAGAAACGAGCAGCTACAGGGTTGCTCTGAAGAAATCTTGTCCTAAAATCTCTTCCCACCACTGATAAAAATGGGAACAGGTGTGCTATTGCAAAAGCCAGACAGAAACGTGAATTTGAATCTGCCAAAAATCTCTTAAACCTGAAGACCCACGTCTCCTACAGCTGAAGATAATAAATACCTAATGTGGGTTGAACTGGAACACCAGATGATAGTTACAGTATCAACCTTTAAGAACTACGGTTTTCCCTTATGGGTGTTGCTCAAATCCCTTCCTCGGGCACTGCCCTGGGGATGGATCCTAAGTAGGGACTGGACTGACAGGAATTTCTCTAATAGAAGCATAACTAAAAAGCTCCCAGAAACTCCCTGATGGCTTAGGCCTGAGATACCATACTCGCCTACCTCACCTAAGGGGAGTTCGGAGCCCACAGCTGTGACAGTAATGGCCTGACATGCCATCCTCTACCTGGATGAGAGTTCCTCCACTAATCTAGAGCTACACGTGGGTGCTCTCCCTGGCAGTTCCCAGGGATGGGCTAGAGTGCAGTACTTAATGCAGTATATTGGCAGAGACAAAATTCAGGTGCACTAAGGGTCAGAGCATAGCTAATCTGGAGGGGGGACCCATTATCAAACTCAAACAGGCTGAAGGCTTTAGAGAAGCAAATAAAGCCTAAATACGCACAAAGGGAACGTTGGGGAGTTGATAGGCGGCTGGCCTGGGAAGCAGGAGAACCAGGGGCCTGGAGGTGGCTCAGCCCACTGAACTGGGAAGCTGTGTGGGAAGTGTTGGACTGCCTTGAAAACTGGGCAAGGGGCAGTCAGTGTGGAGTCTGCCTAGCCATGATCTAGTTTAAGGGCCACGAACTTAAAACTCCTTAAAATATCTCTTCTGGAGGCCATTTGAAGTGCTTCGGGAACAATTACTTTCAGATTACAGGTAGGAGTGCCTGAGTCTGGATTCAGGATTAGATCTACTTCTGTCATGGAACTACTGTTTGACCAGGGCATCAATCTCGGGTCCTGTATGTGGAAATAACTTCACAGCAGTGTAATGTGATAGTGGTTGGGGGATATGAGCTTGAGTTCACCTGGGAGCTATTTAATGGCTCTAAACTCAGGTGAGTAACAACTGGAAAAGTGGCTTAAGCTGAGGATTGTGATTACACAATTGTGGATATAGTGCAGCGCACATTTTAGTACGTGCTCAGTAAATGTTAGCTGGTAGAGTACTCCTACTCTGAGCTTGTCACAGGTGTCTTAGCACCTGCACTCTTCCTGCAGCATGGCACTCCTGCTCAATTGGTAACAAATATGTCACTCGAACCTAAGTGCCTTATACCTCCTTGTAGCCTGGCAGGCTCTAAATCTAGCTGTGGTGCCCGATTGTCTGCTTAGCACTCACCTATCCAGACCTTACACCTAGAATCGTATGACCCTGTTCAAGTGTCTTCAGATATCAAATGTCCTTTCTTTAAGGCATGGATGAAAAGTTGCTTAGCTTCTCAGGGTTCCCAAAGTATGGCTGGTGATAAACAATCTTGCAAGGTCAAACCTGGGCCAGTAATCCAGGACGGTTCACATAAACTGCATTAGCTGCTTTAATGAAAGATTCCATCTAGAGGAATAGAATTACTCTCAGGTTGAGGAAGGCTTGCTAATTAGTCTACAGGTGCTACTCGCTGCAACATTGAACTGTTGGCCTCACGGTTGTGTAGCCATGGCTGTAACTTATGAGTAAGGGCTGGGGAGATGGCCAGGAATTCATACAGACTTTCAGCTCTAACACTTAATTTAGCAGAAGTTCCTGGGGACAGGCAAAAAGGCAAGGTGGAGGACAAGTGACAGTGACTTAAACCCAGGTCCCTGTAGGTGCCTAAAATCTTACATGGCTGAGTCTTTGAGCCTGGAAGCTATGATATGGATATGGAACCATGTCAGGTGAGGGATGTTGGGCTCTGCCAAGCTCAAATATGAAGCTCACAGAATTTGAGAGTTCTAGTTCTGAGGGTCCCGGCCTGCTCAGCTGATATATAGAATGTGTTGATTGCAGAAGCAGACTTGTGATGCGGGTGAACTTAAGGCTGTTGGTTGTTGCTCTGATAATGAGCTAGTTAACCCAATTTTCTAGGCTTTCTGTATCCTATTTTATTCATGCCAGAAGAACTGCTGTCAGATGGCTCCAGAACTAGGTAGAACACAATTTCTGGACTTTCTACAGGGAAGCCACTCATGACAAAGCTTGGCTTCCAGCCTTTCCCTAATAGACCCTCAGTGGCAGGGAAGTGTGTGATGGGCCATATGGCCAAAATGCTCAGGTCACACGCTTTTGGGGCCAGATATAGCTTTGGCCTGGATCCTGCCACATTTCTTGTCTTGGATGAGTTACTTAAGCTCCTCCAAAAGCTGAGAATCTGACTTGTTAAAATAAGTATCTCTGGGCCATGAGGCTTCAGTGGTGATTAGTAGGAAGCTGGGCATACTGCCAATTCTGTAACTAGCTAACTATTGACTGATGGCCCTGTACTCCCTCCACTGCCTAGATCACTTGGCTTCAGTTCCAGGTATGGTGGTTTGTGGGAGGCTCCCCTCTGCGCATAGCCCCATGCCTCGAGTGTAAGCTGTCCTCAAGGCTTGGCAGCATCTTCCTCTTCCATGTTTGTTCCTAGTGTCCCATCCTTTGCCACTAAATTGTGTAGCCTTTGGGTAACTCATACTTGTCCTGGAATTGAGTGAGCAGCAGTGGGAAAAGGGGGCTTATATGGCTGGCTCTCCAAGTGGAGGCCTCTGGCAAGAATGTTCTTGGAAGGCCCTGGCTATAGGGACTCCCACTCCTCAGCCTGCTTGTCACAACCCATGTGTTCCTATAGAGATGGCCAAGTGGCTGAACACTTGGCTACTCCTTTCCTTTCTGGTCCATCAGACTCCCTTCGTGGACCTGGGGGTAAGGTTTGGACTAGCTCATAGCCTGCGTAGCTTGGCCTTTCCCAAGAACTGTAGCACCATGATAACCCAAGCTCTGGGCAACTTGAAAAGAGTATAGAGTCTTTCATAAAAGTCTCAATCTAAAAGGTAGCCCAGGGGAAGAAATGGTGCCTTCTGCCATACTTTGAGTTATTTCTGTGAGAAACCTTAGGTGAGAGCAGACCCTGTCTTGATTCACTGGACTGTTCAGAATCACTTGTCAGTCCCTGATCCTGTCTACTGCTCTGGGATACCCCAGAGTCACTTTCCTTTGCAGAAGCTCTGCGGCAGGGCTTGATGCTTTATCCTAACCACTTTCCAAGAGATCAAGTGTCTCCCAGTAGACATGAAAACAGAGCTGGCCTTTTCCAGGTCCCCATAATCTCACATACATGTAAACTTGGCAATCGTTTATTTCTGTGTTCTCATTAAGAAACCTTAATTGGCAAAGAATAAACCCATAGACAGATCTTTTACTTCAAGATGAAAACCCCAAAGAAGTCTCAGTTCCCTACAATGGCTGTATTCATAATTTCAGAACAAACGAATTTTCCTACTTCAACTCCTGAACATTAAATTTTTCACAATCTTGTCTAGAAAGGAGCATATTAGGGGATGTTCCAGGATTTCTACTCATCTTACCCTTAATGATAACCTCAAACTAAAAGCTTCATATCCAGACTGCCAGTAGCTTGCTTTTAAGTTGAATTTCACTTTAGGAAGGCCTCCTTTGGTTAACAGAATGAAACCTGTAGGACAAGTTTAGGCTTCTATCTTAAAGGGAAACTTAATCTCTAAGTTTCAATGACAACTTGCTGAACCATCAACCTTACTGACTTCTTGATGCTCTTATTATAAATTAACCTTAACTGGACTTCTGTTTTTGTGCCCTGACATAGAGAGAGCTTTATAAGTTCACTTCTGACCTTCAAGATAAACCAAATCAGATCTTCCTGGATCCATCAGAACTTGGATTATAGGGAAAACTTCTCTCCTGAAAACTGGAGGGACAGGGCTACAGGGTTATAGCTTTTCAGAAACAAAAAGCCTGGCTGGGACCAGCAACCAATCAGTAGAAGGGTCTGGGGCCCCCAAGAGAAGCAGCCAGCCCAACAGGGCAATAACATTTTCTGGGAGATCTATCTTGCCTAGCCAGGAAAGACAAACCCAAGCCTTGCTTGCAGGAAAAGTAGGAAAGTGTCAGCCTAAGGACCCATGAACCTCACCTGCCCTTATTCTGTCATCATTGCATATGGCTGGAGTGGGATGGGGAAACACGATCAATGAAGGGGGCACTACAAGAATTTGTTCTGAAAGCTCTTATAGAACTTGGAGTGCACTTAGACTTCTTTCTATTGTGCTTTGGGCAGTCAGTTCTGTTTCTGGTTTCCAACTAGTGGTCTTCCATGTTCTCTTCTGCCTTGCTACATAAGAAAAGTAGAGCTGAAGTTTTTAATCCTCAAGTATAGTTGCCTTGTGTTGCTGGAGTAATCTTGAATCTTGGATTTCTATTCACCAGTTGCTACTGTTTGGATAGGTGAAAGTTGAGCACAGATCTTCAGCATAATTTAGAAGTTTGTCAAAGCTCTTCAAGACTAAGTTCTCCCTTCTGGCTCACTGCTTAAAGTTCTTTGTCCATTGGAAGTCGTGTGTATTACCTGACCTGGTCCCTTAGACTTGAGTCCTCCAGGGAGGAGACATGGCCTCTTCAAATACAGATCACTGATACCTTGCCATAGGTGTAAACTTTAATTCCAATTCCTATGTTTCAGAACGAAATGCGACTGACTCCTAAATGCTCTGCCTCAGCTTGCTGTTCGGATAGTTCACAATAAATGGTTTTCACTGGGAAGATTCCATTAAAGGGCAAGGTTTCCCTAACCTGCCCGATTCACCTAAGTCAGACTTCTAGTGACATTTGCTTAATGGGTAGGAATGGTAGGGAAAGGGGAGGAAAACGAAGTCATATTCCGTAGTGAATCCTGTTAACTTAAACAGCCACACGTCTTGTTCCTGAGCTGCTACCTAAGGCCCGTTTTATACCTTTGACATACATGATCCCCTCTTCCTGGTCAGGAATGCTTATCCCATTATCTAGGCAGGGCTTGAAAATGGGACAGCTAACAGACTGAGGAGCCAGTCCACCCTTTGTCTAGTGACTATCCTAATGATAGGCCTGTCATGGTGCCATGTTCCTCATGACTTGAAGGAATTAAACTTCAGAATAAACCAAAGGACCCTAAAGATGATATGACTGCTTTCCTTCCTAACAATGGAAGACTCAATTATAGGGACACCTATGCAAAGACAGGCCAGATAGCAAACCCCATCTTTGAACTTTCATCGATAAGGGGATCTTGTAATCCTATGGCGTAGGGTAACTTCTGTAACTCCTTAAGGTCCATATTTCTCAGCTAAGACTTAAAAAACCAGGATGATTCTGGCCTATCTTCACGAATAAACTTTCAAAGGCCCTGTGGCAGCTTATGTTTGGGGGGTTAATTGGAGCAGGGGATGGGGAGCTTTGACTTATGCTCCTCAGAATCTCACAGATCTCCTGAAACTTAATTTTATTCCTCCTACAGAATTCACTGACTTAATCCTTACCTTCTCTAGAGAAGAGGAATCTTCCTGACACTCGGGAGTAAATGTAACCCTTACTTCGATGTGCTTAATCCACGCAAGGCTTCAGTTCAGTTTTTTTCTTTTTACTTCCATTTGCTCACCATAGGCAAATATTCTAGTTCATATATTGGCATGTAAAATGTGATGTCGGATGCATGTTCGACATAAGTGGACTTAGATCTTGTCCGGTCTAGCTTAGCACATCTCCCTACTTACATGCTCCTTGTGTAATGGACACCTAGGCTGATTCCTACTGCCATAGGTAATACAATAATGAAGTAGAATGGATAAACTTCCTTTCTCAGGCAACTTATAGTATCCTTATGGAGGGGCCTAGCTTTTCTCACTTCTCTAGAGTTGCTCAGTTCGACCTAAGTCTCTTGAGCCATCATTGCCTTAGGACCTCATGTGCACATACATACAAGGGTAGGCTCTGCTTACTGTCATTCACTACTAGTGCCCAGCATTAGGCACTAAAAATAACTGACGACTATTGAACTATGTTGGGATAAATCGACTCCCCCCGCTCTACACACACGCACCCCCTAAGGCTAGGAATTCCTTTTCTCTATGCTTTTTCATACTCAGCCAGAAAAATTAACTTTATTTCAGCCATCTCTTCCAGTTTAGCTACACACATCTTTTACATAACCTAGAAATGCAGTTTTGTCTTCAAGAGGCAGATGTTTACACTGACAAAAGTATGGCAAACTCACTTGCTGGGGTAGCTGCCTAAATAGGCAAATCAGTGGCCTTTACACATGCGGGAGTCTTCCAAGCATGCTTGGAAGTAGAGCCAGTGTCCCTTCTTTTGAGGGACCATATATGGGTGGAACCCGCTCTGATTTATTGGAGTGGGAGACACTGATTGCTAGAGAACATAGTTCTGCATTTAAACTTCAACTCCTTAGATACAGGATACATGTGCAGATTTGTACATGGGACCGTTATGATAGGTCTACAGGACTACCATGATGCTGAGGTTTTTGAAGTATGAGTCCTGTCATCCAGGCAGTAAACATAGTACCCAGTAGGTTTTTCAACTCATCCCTCTAACCTCTAGTCCAGCATGTGTTCCCATTTATGTCTGTGTGCTCAAGTCTAGCTCTGGCTTATGAGCAAGAACAATGCAGTATTTGGTTGTCTTCCTGTGTTAACTGGCCTAGGGTTATGGCCTCCAGCTCCATGTTGCTGCACAGAACAACATTCTTTCATGGCTGCATAATCAATGGTATATACTGCATCTTTATCCAATCTACCATTGATGGGAACGTGAGTTGATTCCATGTCTCTGCTGTGAATGGCACAATGATGAACATGTAAGTGCATGTGTCTCTTCAGTAGAATTTCTTCTGGGTATATACCCAGTAATAGGAATGGGTCAAATGATAGCTGTTCTTCAACCTCTGGGCTGCTTTCCACAGTGGCTGGACTAATTTATGTTGCCACCAAGTGTTAAGCATTCCCTTTCTCTGCAGCCTTTCCAGCATCTTTTATTTCTGTGGGATTCGTTAAAGATCCTCAGACTACTATGAAAAACTCTATGCACACAAATCAAAATCTATAGGAAGTTCCTGGAGGCACACAATCTCCCAATAAACCAGGAGGAGACAAACCCTGAATAGACCAATATCAACTTCTGAAATGAATCAGTAACAAAGTACCGACCAGAAAACCCTGGACTAGCTGGACTCGGCCAAATTCTACCAGATATGCCCTCCCCTGCCTCCAAAAAAATACTAATCATGAAACTTGCAAAAAATCAAGGCACGGCTTCTCCAACTCATTCTACGAAGCCAGCATCAGACCGACACCAACATCTGGCAGACACAATAAAACTTCAGACCGGTATTCTTTAACACAGATGCAAAAATCCTCAAAATACTAAGCAAACTGAATCCAGCAGCACATCAAAAAGCTAATTTACCAAAGTTAATTCACCAAACAGCTAATTCACTATGATCATGTAGGCTTGATTCATGGGATGCAAGACTGGTTCAACATACGCAAATCAAATGTGACTCATCACAAACAGAATCAAAAGCAAAAACCATGATCATGTCAATAGAAAAGCAATCAAAATCCAACATCTTTCAATAACCTTCAGAGTGGGCATCGAAGGGACCATACCTCAAATCAAGCTCTGACAAACCCACAGCCAACATCACACAAAACGGGCAAAAGCTCGAATTATTTCCCTTGAACTAGAACAGACAAGGATGCTTACTCTCACCGCTCTTACTCAACATAGTACTGGAAATCCTAGGCAGAGCAATGGAGCAAGAGAAATGCATCCAAATAGGAAAAGTCAAACTACTACTTTGACATGATTCCATACCTAGAAAGTGCTAAAGACCCTTTAGAACAAAGGGCTTCTAGAATTTTAAAAACTCTAAAGCTTCAGGATGCAGGATGTACAAAAATCACTATTTCTATATGCCAACAGTGTCCAGGCTGAGAGTGAAACCAAGAACACAATCCCAGTTACAAGTCACAAAAATGAGATACTTAATGCTACTAAGCAGTGAGGTGAAAGACCTCCAGAACTACAAAACACTGCTGAAAGAAATCAGATGACACAAATGGAAAAATATTCTGTTCATGAATTGGAAGAACTAATATACAAATGGCCATACTGTCCAAAGCAACTTAGGAATGGCATTGAATCTATCAAACTACCAATGTCATTCTTCAGATTTAGAAAACTTTTCTAAAACTCATGGAATTGGAGCCCCAAATTGCCAAGGCAATCCTAAACAAAAAGAACAAAGCTGGGGGCAGCACAATACCCAACATCAAACTCTCGATGCTTATACCCACAATAACCAAAACAGTTTGATATTAGAACAATGGACACAGACCAATAAAGAATAGAAAACTCAAAGCTGCACACCTACAATCTGATCTTCAAGGCTGACAGAAAAGAGCAATGGGGAAAAGACTGCCTATTCAATAAATGGTGCTGGGATAACTGGCTAGTCATGTGCAAAAGATTAAAGCTGGAAAACCCCCCTTTCACCATATACAAAAACTAACTCAAAATGGATTAAAGGCTGGGCATGGTGTCTCACGCCTGTTAATCCCAGCACTTTGGGAGGCCAAGGCAGGCAGATTGCATGATAGGAGTTTGAGACCAGACTGGCCAACACTGTGTAACCCTGTCTCTATCAAAAATACAAAAGATTGGCCAGGCATGGTGGTACACACCTATAGTTCTACTCAGGAGGCTGAGGCAGGAGAATCGCTTGAACCCAGGAGGCAGAGGTTGCAGTGAGCCAAGATCTTGCCACCGCACTCCAGCCTAGGTGACAGACTCCCTCTCAAAAAAAAAAAGTTGTAAGACCTCAAACCATAAAAATTCTGGAAGACAACCTAGGAAATACTTTGAAAAGAGGTGGTTGTAAACTAAAAGCACAGTGGGGAGAAGTGTTAAAGGGTCTTCCATCTTGGCTGTGTAACCTTAAAATTTGGTTCTTAAATTCACAGGATGAAGGTCAGGCTTGTTGGCATTGTCTTAGCTCCAACTGCTACGTAAATAACTATACCACCTGCAAGTCTGGGACAAGCAACAGGGAAGGTAGCCATGCAGGTACGTTTGAGATTAAAAAGGATGATATGAACTGCCTATTTGAAGGGAATGTCCTCCAAAGAAATGGTACCAAGCGCCAGTAGGCAGAGGCAAGACAAAGCTTATAAGTGGAAGAGTGGATTGGGTCAGAAACTAGGGGTCTAGGAAGGTTGGAATGGTGGCTGACGGAAAGATTGGGATATAAATGCCTCAGTCAAATACGTAATAACACAATGGTGCTCAGAGGGGCTCCCTACTGTGGTATTGGTTGTGCAATGATGTGTACTAGGTTAAAAGGATCTCACTAAATATGGAATGTAAGATGCACAAGTGGGAAACCTTTAGATCAACAAAACTAAACTTCTTGGATGTTTTGAATCAAAACTCAGACCTGTGTCCTTCTCTGAGCAAATCTGGGGACCCTCTCTGTACCTATTCTGTCAGCCCTGGGCTGCTAAGAAGTGGAGCCTGGGCAGGAACATCCCAGGCTTCTCTTAACCATCCACTTGTGTCTGTGTACTCAGCTCTTGCTTGGTCAGACTCAGTGCCTCTGCTGATATGAGCCCCTACTTATGTTCTAGCTTCTTCCCCCCCATCTATCTTCCTCTACTCGATTCTTTCTCTTCTGCTGACTAATGGGTCTGAGCAAAGTGTTCACTTATTTCAAGCTTGAAAGACTTGGAAAGGTGACTGTCAGGACTAGAAAGTAACATTAACACTTCAAGATGGCTTATGAGATTTCTGTGGGGAAATAGATTCCTTGAAACTGGCAGTGTCTGGGTATACTTTTATAGGATGGTTATCTTAGTTCCCTCAAATGAATATGCCTTGGACTTAGCCTTTGGCATGCTTCCTTTAAAGCTGCTCAAGCCTTAAGCTCAATCCTGTGAGAACACTTCTAGAAACTTCAGTTTCACTTTTTGACACCCTGAGTATGTGCTCAGTGCTCTACCAGAAGAATCCGTGCATGTCTAATGGGTATTCACCAGTACCTCCATAAGTAACTTAGCAGATACAGATTAAGATGCTCTATGAATAAAACTTGTGACTGAAGTTTTAACTCTCATGTTATCTTTGAGGGGAAGGATTGAATATCGCCACAGTGCATTCAAAGGCTCGAATTGCACAGAAGTTGGGTAACTGAGCTATTAATGCCTACTCATGCATAAACTAAGGCTCTGCACAGAATTCCATAAAGAGAAAAAAATCTTATATAACTAAACAGAATATTCATCGGCTGCTTGGTCATGCAAGATTCCATAATGTCTTGCTGTCAGTGAAATTCTGAAGTGTAGGACAGGAATGATGGCAGTATGTAAGCTGAAGTTCAGGATTGAAACATTCCATGTTGAAAAGGGCCACCACACGCTGGTACTAAGGAAGTTAATGGGTAGTTAGGAAAAACCCAGCGTATTTCCTACCCTCACAACTGAATACTTCTGACACTAGATGTATGTAAGGTGTTTTTCAACACCAAGCAGCTCTCCATTGGACACTAGCTGAGTCTAACTCAATTCCATTCTGATGTTATCTGGAGATATCCTACAGATCAAGCACTCATTCCCGTAAGACTGCCCCCTGCTTCAGATGCCATTGCACATAGTAGGCTGTCATGTATGCTTCTGACTAATCGGCTATAAACTAGTGTTCCCACTACACTCTCGAGTTCAACTTGCTAGAACGGTTCACAGAACCCAAACTTTGTCCATGGCAATGGGGATAGGGCAAGACCTGTGGGAAGGGGCTTCCATACCCTCTGGGTGTGCCACTTCCAGGCACCTCCATGTGTTCAGTAATTTGACAGCTCTAAGAACCCAGTTCTTGGTTTTGTAGAGCCTTCATTACATAGGCATAACCAAAATCATTGCCTACCCATGATCAACTCAGTCTTAAGCATCTTTCCTCCTGAATCATGCTTTGGTCTTTCAGTGACCAGCCCCCATCCTTGAAGCTATCTAGGGACTCCAGCCACTAGTCATCTCATTAGCCTACCAGACATGCCTATAACCCTGGAGATTCCAAGGGTTTTTAGAAGCTGCATGTCAGGAAATGAACAAGACCAAATGCATGTCATTATCACAGTTCCATCAGTATATCTTCTAAGACTTCTTGAAGTATCTAGATGGGCTTAGGCCCTCTTTCATATTTGCCCACCACCAACCCTATCTACCTCAAGACAAACCTGAGGTTTGTGAGGCAGTTATGTCAGATGGCTGTGCCTCATAGGTTAGTCTTTCCTTTTTAACCATTCCATTTCTGCTGTTGAGCTCCAAAAAGGCATCCTAAATGGCTTTCAAAAAGCCTCAGGCCTATGAAGATTGTGATATGGGAAAGCTATAGGATGGTCAGTTAACCAAGTAAGGAAGAAACCAAAGACTGGAGAAATCAACTCAGAATTGATCTCCCAATCTGAGAGTCCCCTTGAGTGGTGAAGTGCTGAAACTAAGGCTAAACCTGTCTGTAGCTCCTCGAGGATTAGAACACGGGCAACTGACTTATGGTGGTGTCCTCCTAGGACTTTCTTCCAAGCTAGACGTGATTAGACATTTCACATGTGTCTGTGTAATGTTGAGATATTATTAGTTGATGGAAATAGAGGGTTTCTGGTGGATAATTAAGTGACTTTTAATTTCATCCTTTACTTAATTATAGACATATTCCTCAGATTTGGGCTGAGATGAGGGGCTTGTACCTCATCTGGCTGGGTATGAAAGGTTCTTGTAGTCCGGATTCCCTTAGAAGCAACCTGACAGGAGTTTGGGTAGTTAATATGGATGTGGTACTGATAAGCAGGGGGAGACAGGTAAGAAAGTGTTCAGAGTTTCTACTGGTAGTAGAGCGGGAAGGGGCACTTAATTCTGCTGAGATCTCCCAGATGTGCTCAGTTAAACTCAGATGTTCCTCTCAAGCAGATAATTTCTATCAGTTTCAAGTTGCTTTAAAGCCTAGTAAGCTCAAAGTTAAATACATTAAGGTTAGAACTTGTTAGAATGGCTATAACTGAATTCTAGAAACAGTGGAATCCAAGATTACAAGGCAGCTTGATAACATCTAAACAGTACAAATATTAAAAGAAAACAGCATTGATGCATGTATGATATCATGAGTCTTAGTCAAAAGACACATGTAATCAGGATCCCAGAACGAGGGTAGTTGTGGGTAGGGAGTGGTGGACAGGAGGACAAAAGATGCATGGTGACAATTGCCAGGAAGCTTACAGATTCAAGGAGCTCTGCAACCCCCCCACCCACCATAAGAATTTCTACACCTAGGCACATCATACCAAGACTGCTGTAGATCAAATATGAACTTAAAAAGCAGCCAGAGGTAGGGAAAAGCATGTTACCTTGAAGATTAACTGTGTTCTGACAGAAGCCAACAGACAAGAATGGACATCTCCAATGTGCTGAGAACAAATTCCAACCTAAAACATAACTAGCAAAAAACATCAAAAACAAAGATGGACAGTCTCTAAAGGAATTACATCCCCAACAAATATTAAAGGATCCTCTGGGCAGAAAAGTCTTGCAGGAAATCACAGAACTGAAAAAGCAAAACCAGCAAAACATATCAACGTAAGTGCAGACTGACATTAACTGTATAAAACAATCTTGAAGGGTTTAAACATGGGAAGTTAAAATGGCAGCAAAACTGCAAAATGCAAGAGGGTCAGTGGACTTTGTTTAAAATGTAGAACACCATCACAAGTAGAAAACTTGTTTTGGACACCAATATATCAAGAAATATCCTCTAGAGTAAATACTAGAAAAGTGTAAAGAATAAGAATACTGAAGGTCTGACTTTCCTCAAGTCAAAGGAGAGACAAAATAACATTGAGCGAATGGGTAAAGTAGAAAACAACACAAAACAGGATACAAAGGTAACTACGTCAGATATAAATGGGTGAATATTCCAACTACTTCCTGCTTTAAGACTCAACTTTCAGCTGTTGTGTCCCTATGCTTAAAGAAGGAAAAATATATATATACCATGCAAACACCAATCAAACCAGCATACTACCAGAGTTCCACCGAAAACACTGCAAAAGTGACACTTCGTAACAATAGCAATCCAATGATTCAATGTACACAACCTACCCTCAAAACATAAGTGAACATCGAGAAACTAGGAACACAAAACAGTAAGACCAATGTTCTAAATTTAATGAGTAACACTTGTAAACTTTACAATATCATACTTTGCATTCCTGAAATGGGGTCACTGTACACACTTTCCAAAGCTTAGTAAGCTCCTGCCTGCATCCTTGGTATCGGAGCCCTGGAGCAGAAAGCAAATGTCGGAGAGGGGGCTCACTCTAGGCAGCCCTAAGTGCTGTCAGCCTGAAGTGAGTTGATGGGTAATGACCCAGAACATGGCAGAAATCGGAAGTATGACGGAGCATGAGAGTGTTGGGACACCAGGTATGCCAGCTACAAACTCGAAGGTTTGTTTACATACGATGTGAGATGTCAAGTGGTGAGGGAACATGGCCCTGGTGACCTAGTTACATTGGAAACAACTTCCAGGGGATTTGTCACTTATGCAAAATGGGTTAATTGTATAGGGCTAGAGTTCTTAAAACACATTTGCACAATGTCCACTTCCGGCCATATTCCTTCCCTTTTGCCAGACACCTTTCTGATGTTGACTAATACACTTGTGTACCATTAACATTGTTTTCAAACCTCAGACAGTGCTATGCTAAACTAAGCAAGTTGAAGAAAGGCATTGTCTTGTAATCTTTCTTAATACACTCAAGTATAAAACAGTCACTAGACTTTCTTTTCTCAAATAATCCCCAGCAGTTTCCCCAAGCTGAGATGTTGGTGCCTCCTAACAGGATAATGCCTTCTTAATCAGGATTGACTTATTATCCAATCTAACACCATCAGAAAATGGAAGTCACTAACCTCCCTGGTAACAGGACTAAGAAAATGATCTCATTTGGGGAGCAAGGATGTGTGGGAGCTGTACCAAGCCTGGAGGCAGCATGCATAGAACATCTAGGTAAACGCTGACAATGGTGAATTCCACAGCTGGAGAGGTCTCGACTTCCTAGCTCCATGTGACTGGGATTTCAATCCATATTTTTGGATGAATGTTAGAATTCTATCTCCAAACCAGTAATTCTGCTATGAATCCCCACTTAGTTATTGAGAAAGTCAACTTGTTCATTTTTTTGTCCTGCTCCAGTCCAGGCTTGTTCCAGCCTGTATGGGACTTAAGATTGGTTACAGACCCCTGTACCTTGTCCTCTAGGAGTATTGTACAGGTTATCCCCTTCAGATTCTCACTTCCCCATTAGATTCTCACTTCCCCATTTGTCCCCAGATGAGCTGGTTATTCTCTGACCCTCCCTAACATCTGTTCTCCACTTTGTTCTGTGCCCCAGTAGGGTAACTCTTGTGGAATACATCACCCAGTCTCCCTTGGAAACTGATATCCAGGTAGGTTTGGAGACACCCTGATTAGGAGAGAAGGTTGGTGGGAAAGAGTTTTGGGTTCTGATTCCTGACTCCCTCTTGGCTTCAAAGCCGTGTCTTAGATAGTAACTGTGTCTCTGCAGATCTGGTCCTACCAGATGGGACCCTCTTCCATAGTTCCAGCCCTCATTGGGTTTTGGGTATCCTTTTCCTTCCTTTGGTCCGTGGTCGTCAGTAGCTGCTTGTTGCTAGACCCTGATTACCTCATCCTTTGTTCTCTTAATCCTTGATGTTCCATGAAGGTTTTCCTTCACCAAATTCTTCCCCGTTTGAGTTTAGTTTTCTGCTGGGACCCTGACTGATACATGGAAAAGACTGTAAGCTTGGAAGGCAGCAAAGTTGTTGTATGTAATAAGGGAAGAAGAACCCCACTTCTCCCCTCATCTGGTAGATCCTGTGTCTTGTTTTGGCATCTTGGGAGGTGTACTTGACAGTCTGAAAGAATAGGGTGTTTCCATGAAACAAATCAGAAGACCCTTGATCCATGACACAAATAAAGAAAAGGGATGGACTAGGGGTCATCTTAAGTTATAGCTGATACAGGATCTGAATGTTGTACATAAAAATGCATGTCCTTAGCTCTGAGGAATCACTATACTGCTTTCCACAATGGTGAATTTATACTCCAACCAACAGTGTATGTTTCCTCTTCTCTGCAACTTCACCAGCGCCTGTTCTTTGACCTTAATAGCCACTTTGACTGGCATGAGATGGTATCTCGTCGTGGTTTTAACTTGCATTTTTCTAATAAGTGACACTGGGCTTTTTGTGTGACCACATGTATGTCTTTAGAAAAGTGGATTCATGTCCTTTGTCTAATGTTCTTTTGTTGTATGTTTCTTATAGATGTCCAGTATATTAGACCTTTGTCAGATAGCTTAGCAAATATTTTCTAGCTTGCAAATATTTTTCTGTTATGTAGGTTGTCTGATGTGAAATCCATACTGATAGTTTGACTATGCAGATGCTCTTAATTAGATCCCACTTGTCAACTTTTGCTTTTGTTGCAAATGTTTTTGGTGTCCTTGTCATAAAATCTCTGCCGGTTCCTATTTCCAGGATGGTATTGCCTGGGTTGTCTTCCAAGGTTTTTATAGTCTTGGGTTTTACACTTAAGTCCCTAATCCATCTTGAGTTTACTTTTGTATAATACATGGTTATAAGGAGAAGGGGTCAAGGAATATAAATCATTCTACCATAAAGACATAGGCACACAAATGTTCATTACAGCACTAGTCACAAAAGACATGGAATCAATCTAAGTTCACCAATAACAAATTGGATAAAGAAAATGTGGAATATATACACCATGAAATATGCAGCCATAAAAAGTGGTCATGTCTTTTTGTAGGAACGTGGATGGTGCAGGAGGTCATTATCCATAGCAAGCTATTACAGGAACAGAAAACCAAACACTACATGTTCTCACTTATAAATGGAGAGCTAAATAATAGCTTATGAACACAAAGGGCGTAACAGACACTGGGACTTCCTTGAGAGTTTAGAGGGTGGGAGAATGGAGAACAGAAAAAATAACTGCTAGGTACTAGGCCTGGTACCTGAGTGAAATTCATACAGCAAACCCCTGTGATATGCCTATATAACCTGCATATGTACCTTAAGTCTAAAAGAAAATGTATGTCTATACTTAAGACTAAATTTGGAAGCTGCAATCCAAATGTCACAACTACTTGAAGAAAGCATACTCTGCTTCTAATGACACTTGTGGTCAAGCTTGAGCTCCCCAGTTGCCTAACCTGGATATCTGGTTCAGAATCAAGTGTCTGTTCACTGCTTCCGGAGGGACTACAGGAGCCAAGCACAAGGTTAATATTCAATAAGATTCTGAGCTTCAAAAGCATGAAAGGAACAAGATCTGCACAATGCAAGCTCCCATAGGTTTATCCACTTTCTCCCGGGGATTCTTATCTCTGGTTTTTTACAATCGTTTTCCTTCTAAGCCCATGACAACCTGCATAAGCCACTAGTCATTTTCCCAGTATCTATATGTTCTTGTCTACTTCACCAAACAGGTGACCAAGTATAATGCTTGAGTCCCTACCCACTGTGAGGACACCCTTTCACCACTTTCAGGGTCATGAATGAGGCTGCACTGTAACAGCAGTCCATCTCTGGCTCACTTGTCAATATCTAGCCAACTATCTTGAACTATAGGCAGGCTGTCCTTCCAGCTGACTAAGGAAACACCCACAAGGCCTAGATGTGTGAAGGAAAGTTATTGTAGGTGATGTGGGGCTCTGGGTCTGTTGAACTCTATCACTTCCGTTGTGGAATGAATTCCTGAGGGTTCCCAGCCTTGGGTCTGAAATACCATGCACAAAATGGTAGCTCTAGTTACATGGTCATGTAATAGTTGACACCTCACCTCATTAGGGTCGGGGAATAAGGTGTAGGAGCTGCTTAACAGCTAATAGTTCTGTTCTGTAGAATCTGTGTCGGAGCCCTGTAGGATGTCTACCTGCCACAAAATACCTCCAACACCACTGGGATGTGGAGGCATAGTGCCCAAACTAGAGGCTCAGATTGAATCCTGGACTTGCTGCTAAAGGGCATCAGTCACTTGTTGCTCATCAGGTTGAACATTTTGCCATTGATATGGACTAGTGTGGTGATCTTCATAATCTCCAGACTATAAAAGTCACTTAGACAACTGTGGCAGAGAAGGAAAAACTTCCAGAACCTGAGAGTATGATGAATGTATTGCTGCTTTATTTGTGTTGAATGTGAATGGCTTTCAGCCTCCTTGATAATGGTGGTAAAGAATCAGTTTGCCAGGCCAATAGCTTTAAAGGGCCCAAGGCAGCTGCTGCTCAGTAGCAGACACCACCTCTGGCACAGCAGGTATGACTTTGAGCTTATGGTAGTTCAACATATGCCAAGACTTGCCTTATTCTCTTAAGAGCCATCCTAGTGAATCAAGCAGGTGATAGGAAGCCCCCATCCCTGGCACTACCACTCTGAAGATGTGGTGTAGCTTCTGACTTGACTTCTGGCTATGCGGGGTTTGGGGACAATTTTAGAGAACTCTGCTTGGCCTTTCCTGCCGTGATAGCTTTTTTTCCCATGGGTCAGGGAACATGCGAGGGTTAGATCAGTTGCTATATTTCTATCCTGATTAGGTACTTACTCAGATCAGGAAAATGTCCATAGAGGTGGTCCACAGATCCATTGGAGCCATTCAAAGATGGCATTGTTCTCATTTTGTCACCTAGACTGCGCACACCCCTCCCCATTCTATTATGAGGACTGATCTGGCTGTGGAGGTCCCTATCACAGGTCTGAATGTTCCTCTCCCCATTTGTCTAATTACCCAGGTAAATGGGCATGGGTTTCCATTGGAGGGGTGGGAAAATTGAGTATCTGCTGTGACACCACAGGGCATCCTTCAAGGGAACTGTGCATGTAGCCCCTTCAATCAATGAACTGAGTCTAATAACTTAAACATAAAAACTGGGTGAGGGATTGTATCAGGCAGGGTTCAACCAGAGAATCAGAAGCTGCAGGATTGATATATACATCCATAGGCCAGTTCCTTTTAGTACATTCATCCTATGTGACTGTGGAGGCTGATGCAAGTCCAAAATTAAGTCTACCAGTCAAGGAAAGATCACAGGTAATCTGGAACTCAGACTTGGGCCCAGGCTATCTATCCTCAGGAAAAGGAAGGTCATGAGCAGAATTGAACTTCCAACTGATCAAATAAGACTATCCTATATAATCAGTAGGGGACCAAGTCAAAGTCATGACTAGGCTTTAATTCCACCTCATTATACCTTCACACACACCTAGATCATATTTGGAAGTATTTGACCAGAACTGCAAGCCTAGCCACACTGACATCAAAAGCTTATCATAAGGATCATGACTGACCGTGTAGTAGCTGATCACTTTCTCACCTGTTCTTGGTCTGATTATACTGACTAAACAGTATCTCTGCCTGCCCATCTATCTCACCCCTAGGCACACCATGGTTGATCAGCTGTTGCTGGACTCCTCTGGATCAAGGCCATTCTGCCTTGCTACCTGCTATGGTTGCCATGCCTCAGTTAAGTGCAGCCCCTTGGCCCCTGCTCTAGACTCCCATCATCCTCACTGACACCAGAGTGCCATTCCATGGCAGCATGTCCTATCAGCTCTGGCCCATGTAGGACAGGCACCACTAGGCTTCTCAGAGTAGCCTAGTGACCTCCACTCTTGCTTTTTGCTGTCTCTTTAGTCAAAGGAGCGATGTTCCAGAGAATATGGTCAGGTGGTAGGTTCTTTGATCTCATTGTCCATGCTACCATGGTCATTTTTGAGTCTAATTCCTTTTGCGATACTGGGAATCCTCATTTACCACAGGCCACTACTGTGTGCAAGCATCGAGGAGGCATCTCAGCAGTGTTGGTAGTTCTAGGAAACCTTGCTGAGCCACACAAAGGTACTCATGATCAACCTTCTTTCGTATAGCCTCATTCTGTCCTTTCCAGAAGTGTTCTATTTCTTATGTTCTATAGTTCTGGGGAATCTGTCTCCCATTGCAGAGACATTACTATGCATTCTATGCTGTGACCTGACCCTGTTAACTAAAACTTCTACCTGACTTTAATCCTGGGTGTTAAGATAGTACAAAATAACACATCTTGGTTAGCTGCCTGGGCTGGCCACTGGCTGTCTCCTGGACATGCAATGAAGGCCTGGATTTAAGATTACTTCTGTTAATAACTAAGAATCAAGCCTGCAGGGACAGGCATTCCTTGCATCACCCATGTGAGCTTTCACAGAACAAGTTCAACATGGTCCATGAAAGGTCTCTGGGGCTTTCTACCAGCATCTATCTCAGCAGTTTAGTTGCTATTCATGATAGCTTGGTTTAGAAACTTGTCCTCTATGAAGTTCAAATAATATGATACAAGAATTACTGTTCAAAGCAAGAATGTCCAAAGTAGCTGACTTTTATACTGTTCATCTGTTGGCATAAACCATTGAAGGTCAATTCTTGTTAGGTCTTAAAAGAAGTTAAAGGCATGGGTAGGGAGAATACTATGGTGAACTTCACTGGAGCAGTCAAACATCGACTTTTAACTGGAGTAGCCATAGTTCAACTGTGGAATAAGGCATGAACTCTTCAAAACAAGGTACAATCCCAGCATTAGCAGGGGCAAATACAGAAATGTGCTCACAATGGGATGTCTTGGAACAATGTACTGAACAGGGGGACCATCAGAACATGAACATGACTCATTGTGATCCAGCTTGATGACTTATCTAGCATTGGCATAAACTCACATGTTATCCATCTACCAAGAGGTAATTTCCAAATGCTTGCTGTGCTGAACACTATGGATAAGTTCTAGTGTGGCCCCTCTCAGGTCAGGTGCTCACTTGCTGGAATATTTGCTGAGATAGGACTTTGACCTAACCCAATGGCCCAGGTGGATTTAAGTGTGGCTTTTGCATCTAGTTTAATCTGCTTAACCAACTTTGTGGATTATGTTCTCTAATTTCTTCCTTCAGGTTGAGGGTCCTGGAACAGGATCTTAGACTAGAGAGGTCTGACGTGAGGAACTAGTTTCTCACTGAAGCCTGTCTTAGTTAAGATCCTTATGCTGGATTCAAAATAAATTCTAGGAGGTTTTAGGCTGTCTATAGCTATATGAGCCAAGTTATTCTAGATGAATTAGGATGGTTTATTTTCTGATAGCCTGGTTCAGCAAACTCTCCAGGATATCCTCTTGAACATTATTTGTCCTAGTTAATGCTATGTGTGCTCAGTCTCTGCTTTCAGGTGGAATACCCAGTTTGTAGCTTTCTCCTTTAATTGCCAAGCCATAACATGTCAAGGGACCCCTTAATTGCCTTGGCCTACTAACCAGGTTCGTTGAATCTACAACCCTACTCTTTCATTATGAAAAGGCATTTTCAAGTCGATTCTGATCTCCAGGGAGGTGTAGGACATGGTGACTCAGACTCCAGTCCTCTTGATGAACATAGAGCATGATATACTGATGTGGCTTACTCCTAGGACTTCCCAAATCAAGCTGGTGACTGAATAAACTAACTTCCTTAATCCATAAGTGGCCCATTGTAGGATCACTGTCTACTTGAATAATGCTCAGCAAGTGGGTACGGAGTCCTCTGGATTTGTGAAGTTCCTTTGGGGCTTCCTTGAATATGTAAGCCTAGGTGCTTCTGAGTATTAAGGAATAGGGATGGCTGAAGCCAAGAAGTGGTCTTAACTATGGAGTAGCTCTTCGAATAACTTAAGGGAAAGAGGTTTCCCTGTAGAACAGAAGTTTGCCACATCCTTGATGGGCTTTTCCAAAGGTGATTCTAGTCAGCTGGAATACCACTGTACACTGACTATCCAAGAAGAAAAGTGGAGCATCAACTTTAGAATTCAAGCATCTTTGATTCATGATAAAAACTGTCTTGATTTTTTGACTCAGTTAAATAGCCCTGTTGGAATATTTGCTGGGAGTCAAAATCAAGACAGCCTTATGAATCCAAGATGAATTAATGGATGTTAGAACAGAAGAAAACAGAATAAGTGACGCACAACAAACTCAGACAGATCTAACTTCGAGTCCCTGCTGGCTCTGAAGCCTTGAGAGCCAGCTGACTCAGACTTAGCTTGAAGGATAGAACTTCGAAAGGTATCCTTGGCCCATTGACACTTGTGAACATGCCCTATTCCTACCAGAAAAGCAAGCAAGATGACCACCTATACTCCTGTGTGGCTAGTCTACTTGTACACTTTCACTTACCAACTTGTAATCTGTTCTATTGACCTACTCTTGTCTTAAAACATGAAGCCAGAGACTATCCCTCTATGTAATATATATTGTGAAGGGAAGCATTGCTACCAAATGGATAAATGATTAAGTAGTGGCATGAAAGATTGGCAACCACAGAAGTTTTGTTATCTGCCTCTTGTCATATTTTCTGATAGTTTAAAGAAGGAATTCTTAATGTCAGACCAGAATAGCTTCCAAGACCTCAGACACATGTTTTTTACTTCACTATCTTTGCTTGGGAAGCAAAATCGCAATCTTAACTCTTGTGCCCTAAAATAGTAGCAGTGTTAAAACTCCTCAGGATTGATCTAAGATCCTATATAGGATAGGCATAAACCCAGTGGACATGTGGCCAAAGATAATGGCAGACTCACCTCTACAGCTTTGGAAGGCTACGAAAGAGTATTCAAACTCATAAGATTAAGCAAGTATAGAGGGGTGGTACCATCTATGCTCAGTGGAAGATGTTCAGAGGTCAACTCTACTCAGAATTCAATTGGTCCTCTTCAACTTCAGTGGCATAAGTTTATCAAAATGCTTCTTAGAGGTTATGGTACCTACAAATAGTCCTTTGACCCACCTTAATCTCTCTTAAATGGAGGTGGTGGGGTTGGAGAAAATAGGCAAAACTCTAATGAAGCATGCACTGTGACAACAAGCTGGCCCTACCGAACAAACAATGGTGGCATCTATTAGACTTATCTAAAACTCGGAATAGAGAAGTGTGTACACTTGACTAGGAACAAAAACAAATGTGCAAAATACTGGTGTCAATTACACTAGACTTGAACTCCTTTGGAAAAATTTTTGTAACCTAATCTAGGCTGGCTGACAGTGCTATCTAAACTGAATAGCACTAACTAATGGTCCTGATAATGCGGGGCATGATTTATTCTCAGGTCTGAGACTTAAGAAAACCTTGGCTTGCTGTTGGATATTCAGATGGATTCTGTTGCCAAGATACCAAGTAGTTGTCCATCCACCACTGGGGCTCCTTGTCAGTTCTAGCATCTGCTCCCTTTGCGTCTTAACCACACTTTCACTATACTGCCTTTTTCGTGTAACCCTCACCTATGGCACACCTACATGTTGGTATGCAGGCTCTGTTTCTAAATTGTGGCTACTATTCATCTTACATGGCATCTAAGGCCATGAATCCCTGGACCAGAATCCTGAGCAACTTTTTACCTTGGGCTTCTCAAAACAATGCTCTGATCAGTTTGTCTAGGTTTATACTTGGCTCTTGAGGGTTATTTTGTGTGCAGTAGGCCCTGAGGGAATTAAGAATACATTTGCATTATAACAGTCAAGCCCAGAAATCCCATGGATAAGGGTGCCTGGGGAAAGATTTGGGTGTTGCCTATATCTCCTTGGCAAAATCTCATTTAAAAGTAGTTATGTGTATTTAAAAACCTATGCTTTAATCTGTTTCTAGAATATACTTTGGTTTCTAGTCTTGGATCTTTAAGCCTGAATTGAAGGGTGAGGGGTAAAGGAAGTCACTTCATGAGCTTGCCATAAAAACAGGTGACCAAGTGTCCCAGTCATCCTGGGAACAGGGTACTTTCACTAAGAGTCTCAAACTGGGACAACTTTACATAAACAGCAGCTATAGATAAGGCATTTCTTGTGAAAGCAGAATATCACTTGCTTGACTGTCTGACTGTAGCTGTACAGATGAGCAATTGGCATTCAAACTCATGGTACAAATGAACAAATGTTGGCACTGTCAGCTAAGATTCTCCCTTGGCATCTGTCACTAAACAGTAGATGCTTTGGACTGACTCCTGATATCGGGGTCTTGTTGAGCTTCTCCAGATACTGACTCATACCTGGGCTGGTGTTTGGTTTCCAGTGGACTGGGGGGAGTTTAACAAGTTGCTCACATGTTGGTGGGTGGGATAGTGTCCAGATGCCTCTACAGGTAGCCATGATCTGGGCTGAGCTTCACAGACCTAAGGCAAGACAAGTAGTTGCTTAGTAAGTGGAACTAAAAAGTAAAAAGTCAACAGAACAAAATAAAAGCCCATAAGCTTAGGGAAAATCTCTGGAAAGGCCAGAAATAACTTGGTGACAGAAATAAGGGTTTAAAAAAGGCAAAAAGCATAAAGGAGTAACTGTAACTGAACCTATTGCAACAGGTCTAAAGTTCCATGGGTCAGCAGGCTTATAGTGGGCTTGTCTTAGCCGGATTTAGGGATGAGATTGAGGTGATATGAATGGGAATCTCAGTTATGCCATTAAATGGGAATGTCACACGGAAATGTAAGTTTCCCAGGCATTTTGGGCTCAAGCTCTGCATATAAGCAACTCTCCCGACAAAGACAACAAAATGGCAATGGGATATGACAGGATATGGGCTGGCACTGACAGCTTTTGCTGCAGCCTTCAAAGTAGGTAGTAGTCACAAACCTTTCCTTGTCTGAATACTCCAGGCCATTCCTATCACTGAGAACACTACAACATGCAGTCAGTTTGAGCCTGTGTAGGCATATGAGATAAGGTAAATTGAGAGGCTTGTACTTACAGTTGAGGCCAGCCATGAGTCTTCCAAAGAATGGGAAATGATCATTAAGGTATGTCATCTAGCTTTCAGGGATGGGTGTTTGACCCTGGTTGCAAACATATAAAGCCAGCTCACTATTGTTTTTGCCCACATGAGCACTTCAAAACGTCGTAGTTACTGTCAAACTAGATTCTAAGTAGAACTCCAATTTTGGGAGCTACGGTAATCAAGGCTGGTTTGTATTGGCCAAAAGCTGGAATGTACTACACTCAAGGGATGGTCTACTCTGGCAGAATTATGCTTGGCATTATATGGGTTGGAGTAATGGATTTTCATACTCGTTTCACTTTCATCTTAGATGAGTGGTAACAAGCTCTTATCACTTTAAACAGACCCAAAAGCATTAGTCTTAACTATCACCTAAGCTGTTTCTTACACCTTTATACCCAAAAGAGAATGAATATGTTCAATTCATACATCCTGAACTAGTTGTTTCCGTCTTAAATTCCAGCTACTATGGAAATAGGTCGCATTCGGAGGGGGCATGGGTAGGATGAACTTAAAGCAGAAGTCATCTTCTAATCTTCCAGAAAATTATTTGGAGTTGATCTAGAAGTATTCCAAGGTTCTCTCCCTGAATTCTGTGCTTTACTGTCTGCATATCCTAATGTAATCCCCATTGTGCAGGGAGAACCTGGCCTCGGGAGCCTGTAAACCCTATGGAGAGTTCTCACTACTACTAGGATAACGTTCATTCCCCTGCTCCTGTAGCAGGACGAGTCGCAGACAAAAACCCCTCAGACACCAGATTAAAGAGGAGGCTTTATTCAGCTGGGAGCTTCGGCAGACTTGCGTCTCAAGAACCAACCTCCCCGAAGAAATAGTTCCTGGCCCTTTTAAGGGCTTACAACTCTAAGGGGTCCACATGACAGGGTTGTGATAGATTGAGCAAGTATGAGGTATGTGACTAGGTGTGGGGGTGGTGAGCAAGGCAAGTATTTCTCCATACTGTTGTCTGATCTATAGATAGCACAAGCAGGTTAGGGTGGGGGTTAATCTTTAACCTACAGGCCTGGCCAGTGGCACCGATCACTCTTGTTATTTTTCAGTTTTTACTTCCTCTTCTTTGGAGACAGGGGACAGTAGGAGAAATGGCCTCTCTCCTCACTCCTATGGGGAACTGAAATGGCCTCTCCTCACTCCTATGGGGAACTGTCAAATTCCCTGTAAGACCACTCAAATGGGGAATCAGAGGCAATGACTATCGTGTGAATGTTTTTAGTCCAGTGTTTGGTCGGCTTTGGAAGTAGTAGGGGCTTCCATTCTGTTACTAAGAAGTCAGGCGATGTCAAGGTGACTTGAAACCCAAAAGAATATCCATGCTGTATCAATCCTGGCAGAGCCATGCTGTAAGCAGGGATAGCCTCACCAAAGCTGGTCAGGTGCTGGTGGGGCGGAGGGTGTTCTAGGTGAAGAAATTTCAGTCCTAAGCAAGGCTGATATCTAAGGGCAAAATCAGCATTGGCTAATGAGATTCAGAATGAAATGATTTTAGGTCTTGTGCTGGCAGAAGCAAAGATCAAAAACTTGAAAAGAAAAATCCCATCCAACTTTATTTCAATGGCCACACTTGCAAAAAGATGGACAGAGGCTCATAATCAAAAGCCATATCAATAGTGTGGAGACAAGAATGCATCTTTGTAAGGTGTGAATTTGTGTATCCACTACATTGAGACTAGTGAATCATTCTTTTCAAGCCTCTTAGAGCTTTTATTTTGAGTCTAAGTTTCTAGGAATTCTCACTTTATACCCTAAACATAGTCTATAATCCACTAAGATACACTTCTAAAAATGATACCATTCTTTGCCACAGCGCTTTTGGTCTTATTTCACTTTGCTCAATTTTTTTTAACCCCTCTTAGTACTTACCAGGTATGTTTTGGCTAATCCTGTTATTTCCAGCCTTTCTGTCACTATTAGTCATGTTTCTTTAAAAAATTAAGTAAAATCCAGTTGAAGCCTGTGACTAGAAAATGTCTCTTTATTCTGGTACCTGGGTGATTTGACTTGCATGTCTGTCTTTTTTTTTTTTTTTTTTTTTGAGACGGAGTCTTGCTCTGTTGCCCAGGCTGGAGTGCAGTGGCGCGATCTCGGCTCACTCCAAGCTCTGCATCTCGGGTTCATGCCATTCTCCTGCCTCAGCCTCCCAAAGTGCTGGGATTACAGGCGTGAGCCACCGCACCCAGCCGCATGTCTTACATTATTACATTCCTTTCTCATGCCATCTGGTATGCTTGTACCTCTTATGTGCCACTTCAAATCCCCTCTTCCTCACTACCTCTTCCCATTTGCAGCTGCTGGTGTAACCCAACAGCACTTCAACTCAGTTTTATACCAGCTACCTCCCAGTTCCTGTCCCAGGATTTTCCTCCAATTTGGAGACATGGAATGTTCTTGGGAATCCACTGGGCTTTCATTTCCCCCTGGAAGTATGGGGGGGTGTTAGCACCTAGGGACAAACCTTGATGGATAGGAGCTGGGAACCAATGGATAATGCATCCCTCTATCTTTCCAGTCTCTCTGAGATGTTTCCTAAGGCTATAGCTTCTTGGGTGACTCTAGAGTTGCTAGTAGTGGTGGCCAACTCCATAATGCAGACTTATACTGGCCTTCCCTCTGTCCTAATTCATTTTCCTTAGGATTATGTCCTCAGACTAGAACACAAAGCTTTTGCTGGTTTCCCTGAAAGAGTGAGATGCAGTGGCTAGATCAGCTATCTAGTCTCCTCTCCCTGTTACTTTGAAGCTTTCATTTTCTCCCTTCCTTTGGTTAGGGTTACCTTCCCACTTCTTATGGTTACCTCCAATCTTGTACCTACTTCAATAGTCACCAGGTATATCTGCAGGTATCAATATCAACTCCAAAACATGGTGTGAAGTGGAAAGTGAAGAGAAAGCATTCTTATGGGATAGTCCTGGGATAGGAGGTGGATGTCTCAATCACAGGACCAGGTGCTATTAGCAGCAGGCTCAAGTACCTTAATGGAGCCAGCATTAAGGCCAAGTGAACTTTCTAGTGAGGTCAAAATTCTCAGTTGAATCCTAGCTACTCAGGAGGCTGAGGCAGGAGAATCACTTGAACTCAGGATGTGGAGGTTGTAGTGAGCAAAGATCACGCCACTGTACTCTAGCCTGGGTGACAGAACGAGAGTGTCTCAAAAAAAACAAACCTCAGCTGAGTTGTGAACCACTGGCTGATCTGGGGAAGCCAAACTTGAGCTTGTTCTGATTGTTAGTGTGTCCTCTAGAAAGTGAGACACTCTTATGTTGGACCCCTACTAACTTAAGTAGGGATGGTACAAGGTTTTTATTAGTCTGTTTTCATGCTACTAGGACATACCTAAGACTGGGTAATTTATAAAGAAAAAGGCTTAATAGACTTGGTTCCATGTGGCCAGGGGAGGCCTCAAAATCATGGCGGAAGGCAAGGGAAGAACAAAGGCATATCTTATGTGATGGCAGGCAAAGAGAATGAGAACCAAGTAAAAGAGGAAACACCTTAAAACCACCAGATCTCATGAGACTTACGACCACGAGAACAGTAATGGAGGAAGCCACCTCCCACGATTCAATTATCTCCCAGGTCCCTCCCACAACAGGGGAATCATGGGAGCTACAACTAAAGATGAGACTTGGGTGGGCACACAGCCAAACCAAGGTTCAAGAGGCCAAAGAGACCAAGAGCCAGCAAACAAAACATAGGGTTTGAGGGAACTTACAGGGCAGTCCAGTGGCAGTTGGCTGGAAGGAAAACTTATTGCAACCACATGTTGTAAAGCAGGCAGTTTATAGCACTTAGCACCCTCCCTTCAGCAGCTTCCACGTGGCACCCCTCACTTATTGCTGTCAGTTGTGTCTGCCATAAGGATCAGTCTCAGGGTATGCTGGTTGCTGTCAGGTGTCTACCATGCACCTCCACCTAGCATACCCTTGAATAGCCCTCATATTCTTAGGACATTCTTCCGTGACTTTCCTGGGGCCAGGTATGTGAAAGAGCATTGTGGCCAGATGCCTCAGCAATACGATGAATGTAATCAGACTACAGAAAGCCTTTCCAAGCATTTGGAAAATGATGAAACCATGCAGTTCTATGGTGGCTCACACCTGTAATCCCAGCACTTTGGGAGGCTGAGGCAGGTGAATCACGAGGTTAGGAGTATGAGACCAGCCTGGCCAACACAGTGAAACCCTGTCTCTACTAAAAATACAAAAAAATTAGCTGGGCGT
Organism: Homo sapiens; assembly: GCF_000001405.40. NCBI lineage: Eukaryota > Metazoa > Chordata > Mammalia > Primates > Hominidae > Homo > Homo sapiens. The sequence continues at coordinate 40,135,306 of NC_000006.12, read as the reverse complement.
AGTGGCAGGTGCCTGTAATCCCAGCTACTCGGGAGGCTGAGGCAGGAGAATGGCTTGAACCACAGAGGTGGAGGTTGCAGTGAGCCAGATGGTGCCACTGCACTCCAGCCCGGGTGACAATGCAAGACTGTCTCAAAAAACCAAAAGATGTAAACAAAAACCCACAACCTATGCAGTTCTAGGGCTGTAAGATTCTAGGGCCCTCATGGCCTGGGTTATATCGTGAGAGCAATTAGGGATGTATATACAGACAAGCCAACTTCAATGCATGCACAGCCTCCATCCTGGGCAGGTTGAAGTCCAGGGCTATGTGGCTTTACAAAGAAGGGTACATGACCGACTACCCATGTCTCTGCAGTATCATCCACCCTAGCCCACCATGTATAGCATACCCACAGTGGGGATAACACTAACTTGCTTCCATACTAGGTGGAAAATATCATCCCATCTTGATTGTAGACTGTTTTGTTCTGGAGGGAGACCACCTGTGCCCAAAGGTTGGCTGCATACCATCTATGGGTGGAAGGTGAGATGTTTAGTCAAGAAAGGGCAAGTCATAACCATCTAGCAAAACACAAGAAGTTGTGTTGAGAAAGCACCACCTCTGGCAGCAGCCTGGTGCCCAGTCTATAATATCAGATGGATTGGCCGACCTATGACATGTTGCAGGAGGCCAGAGGAAGACGATGGGGATATTTCATAATGAGGATCCTTCTCTAACACAAGACAGGGCCAAGAATCACTTTTGAAGTATGAAGGGGGAGAGTAAAGTATAAAAACAGGTGTGACCTGTATATCTTGTTCTAGGCCCTTCCCTGCTGCCAGAGTGAAAAACGAACCATGGGGGGCTGGCTTACCATTTCCAGAGCCATGTAATTTGTTTATTATTACATGGGGGGCTGGTTTACATGGTTGGGGGGTGGTTTACTGTTTCCAGGGCCATGTAATATGCTCCCTTGAGGGTGGGGCCTGGTTTACATGGTTGGGGGGTGGTTTACTGTTTCCAGGGCCATGTAATATGCTCCCTTGAGGGTGGGGCCTGTGGCAAGGGCAATAACAGCTTGAGTCCCAGCTTGGGGCAAAGGCGCGCCGTCCCTTGCGCCGCCGTCCCTTGCGCCGCCGTCCCTTGCGCCGCCGTCCCTTGCGCCGCCGTCCCTTGCGCCGCCGTCCCTTGCGCTCCTGATAGTGAGATCAGTTCCTTGCATCAGTCTACATGTGCCAGAGATGAGAATTCACATATTTAGGGTGCAGATGGCAACTGGTAAGCAGTGTGTCCAGAGCCAGAGTGTCTCCTGGAGTTGCTTCCATAATCCATTCAATCGGCCCTACTGTAGTAGCATTGTACAACTGGTGGAAATGCCAGTGTATATCCAGGGACTCCTCTCTTTTCTGCACCTTATCGATCAAGGTGCATGCCCTGGTTACTGCTGGGGCATTGTAGGCTGTACATAGCTGCTCATCCTTTTATGGTAGTTATCTTTCTGGCATGCTTGCTGGAATATACCTGCAGTAGCCCCATGTAGACGTCTGCAAAAGTCAAGGCATGATGGCAGCCTCAAGAGACAAAGGTTCTATGTAGCCTATCTCCCACCATTGCACTGGGATCCGACCCTAGGCGGCCTGTCTGGTCATGTGGCAAGAGCTCGGGGTGTTGTTGTGCTAGGGTAAGACACTAAGAGGCATATAATATGTCTTCACCTCGTAGTGGCAGGCCTCAACTCTATGGCCCAAGGATATGTTGTCCCCAATGTCCTGTCCTACATAGCCAGAGGGTTACATCTTCTGTGACTTCCTCAATGAATGATGGCAAACTCCTCTGCTGGTTTTCCAGGTGGTGTAGATGTGGTGTGGGCATCCACATGATGGACCATTATGTATCCCCCAGATGCAATGGAAAACATCCTTCTATGTGTCAGCACTCCAAAAGGGATGGCCCACTACCATCTAATCCTGCACTTCATATTGTAGTAGCCACATGCTGAGGCCCTGGAAGATGACCCAGCTATTGGTGCACAAGGCTACTAGGTCTGCCTCAGGACCATCCAGGCAGCTTGCAGCTCAGCCCTTTGGCTACTATGTCCTTTACCAGTATGAAGCCAGATACTATCAGTGGACGGCTGGGTGGCTATGGCTGTCCAAGTGTAAGGATTGCCTTGTGATGAGCCATCTATGTACTAGTCCTGGTCAGGCACTGGGTCCTGTCCCTCTTGTACAAAAGGGGGCATCTGGAGGGCCAGTAGACCTCTGTCAACAATCTTCAGTTGTCACATAGGTGACAGGGCCAAGCCCCAAATGGAGGTCGGCACTCAAAGGCCTATTAGCCAATGTGCTCCTGTTACAGGTATGCGTCCCACTTGGCCAGTCTGTGTCTGGGCATTCCCAGGCTTTGGTTTCTGGAAGATCCTTTAGCCAACCTACTATAGGATACTTGGGTGTATAATAGCACTGGGAGCCCTTTAGTAATGTCCTCCACTTATTGTAAGGCATAACATCATAGTGCAGAGTTGTTACTCTATGACACTATGTATAACTTCACCCACTTCTGTAGTTGGGACCAGAATCCTAAAGGCACATATTTTTGTCCTTGCGTTTGCCATAGTTTATACCCAAACCCCTCAGGTATCTGGCTACATCCAATTCATAAGGCTGTCCCTGCCCTAGAACTCCCAAAGCTTGTATTTCAGAGACTTATTCAAAGGCTTCATTCTCCCTTGTGGGACCAGTCCCAGTAGGCCCTCTTCTTAATTAAGCTGTATTAGGGGCCTAAGGAATTGGGCCAAATGGGGAATAAAAGGACTCCAATACCCTAGGAGGCCCGAGAAGGTTTGCAACTGCTTCACTGATAGGACATGGGTAGGCCTGCACCCTATCCATAATGGCAGGCAGAATGACTTGAGCCTTACCCGACAAGATGACAGCCAAGTATTTGTGGAACCTGGACTTTGCATTGACTCTCCATCCTGTTTGCCAAGTAAGAGCAAGGTGAGGGCTGCGGCTTGTAAGCTTGTAAAAGACTTGGAAGTTAGCATGATGTTCTCCATGTGATGGAGAACAAGTACCCTCCAGAGTGGTCCATTCACTGAGGTCTGTGGCCACTAGACTGTGACAATGAGGCTATGTAACCATCCTTGGGGAAAGATGGCAAAGGTCCATTGTTTTCCTTCCCAAGTGAATGCAAATGGGGCATTGGGGGTGCTGAAGAAGGCTTTGGCTAAATAACAAAATGGTATGAGCCAAGCACCTCTCCTAGCCCCTTCAGGAGGGTGGTAATATTGGAAACAGCTGCATATATGGTGGGTGGGTTGGGGAGAGAGAGTGGCTTATTTAATTCCTAGTAATCTATCATCCTCCATGTCTCATCAGGCTTCTACACTGCCCATACAGGGCCGTTGTGTGGGCTGTGTACTGGCCTTATGCCTACCCGGGTTAACTCCTTGTCTCTGGGATTTCATCATGCCTTCCCAGCAGGTGGTATTGCTTCAGTGCTGCAGCAATACCCTACTCACTGCAGGGCTGGCAACTGTACCATTTAAACCATTTCATGTTTACCATGATCATATGCTTCACCACCCTAACTCCTGGTCAGAATTTCCCAGTTGCCATTTTAGAGGGTCAAGCCTAATAAGAGATCCATTCCCAAGATATATTCTCAGATGGAATCGGTGTATGCTAAACAGGATTTTGGTGGCAATCTCCCAACTTGTAATATTTAATTCAGCCTGTCTTTCATGGCCCCTGTATAACCATCTATTGCTATTACAGGCCCTTGGAACCAATGAATGTTATGCGTGCATTCAGTTCCAGTAGCCAATGGAGCAAGCACAGCCTAAGTGAGCAATATGCACTTCTACATGTGGCCACCAGCCCCCAGACACCCTAGTCGCCATTGCTGTTATTGGGATTCTGGGGCCTTGGCCTACATCCTAGTCTAAAGCGGTTGATGCTGGCCATCCCTCTGCAGGAAGGGCAGTGGGTTGAACTTTTGAGGCTCCTTTGGTGAAGTGCTGTTCTGGCTTGAACTGCTGCCACAGTCCCACAAGAACAGCATTAAGCTATTTTTGCAGTAGGTGTCCCTGCCAATATCAGGTCATACCACATTTGTTGGTGGGTCACCCTGATGGGCCCCTTGGCTGTTCCCTTTCCTTTGGCTCCCTTGTCTTTTACCCCAGTAGTACACACCCCTCAGTTTCTCCACTTCCTCAGAGTTGGCAGCTGCTTAGGCTGCCTGAAACATTGTCTATCCTACCAAGAAGCCCAGGGTAGACACCAGCATGCCATATCATTGGGTTGGGTGCTGACTACAAGGTGGCATCTTTTGTTCTGGCAGTGAAAAGCTCATTGTTGGGACCTCTAGTGCTCAGCAGAGATAGCATGCTCCATCCTCTAATTCTGAGGATGTTCTGCAGTTTCTCCAGTCTGTCACCACAAAGGAGACATAAGGATGTCTCCCTCATTTGACCAGGCCACCTTGCAGCCCACAGCCACCTGTTGGGATGGCCAGATCCTCATTATTGGTGGTACCATAGAGGTGCCTGCCTCAGGGCCAGGTAGTTCATGATGGATACCATTGTATGAGTCCAGCGTGTAATACCCTCTGCCCCCATGTTTTATAGATGGATACCACCCCGTGACTGACTCTCCCCTTCTTCCTGTATCTATTTCCCAGCTCCAATTCCACAGTAGTGCAGCTCCACACAGGTGTGCTGCCGCCTTTCAGGTGCAAGCTAGTCTTGTAGTGCTACCTTATGTGGGTACAGTTGGTCCACTTTTATTTTGGTGAAAACCAGATGCAGATAAGATCTATGGATTCATCCCAGTCCTCACTCTTCTCACTAGAGCTCTCCATGGGGTCTGAGGGCTTAGGGTCTTAGGACGACTTAATCATGGTAGCCCTGACTCATCAATATGGCAGTCAGTGGCCCTTCACATGGTCTACCCACCAAACCAGGATCTCCATTCTGTTACCCTGTTCCCACCTGTGGGAACATTAGAGTCTCCATTTCAGCTTGAGCTAAACTGGCATCTAATTGTAGTTCACTTTGTAACTGATGCATCCTTGACTGCACTTCAGGTAGCCACTGAGGTGGAGATTCTAGCACAGTCAAGAACATCCAGCCAACTGTAACGCCACAGCTAAGGCATCTTTCACTTAGATCCAACCCCTAAACAGCTTTCAGACCCTTCAGCATTTTTGTGGGGGCATCCCCATACTCACATTGGGTCCGATTAAGGATAGTGGCTCTCAGGCCCCACATAGATGTGGATGGCCAGCCCAGGACTTCCACAGATTTCCCCTTTCCTGATCCCATTGTCTTGGTACTCACAGGATTTTCTTACCTCCTGCAAACGATACATAAGGCATATTTGTAGGACCTTACTAGGTCTAGTAGCAGGCTGGACAGAACTGCCACTGCTTGTTTAAAAACAGCATGCAATTTGTACAGCACTTTCACTTAGCACCCTTTCCCTGGCAATATCCACATGGCAACCCTTAAGTTGTTGCTGTCAGGTGCAATGACATTAGGGTCATTCTTTGGGTGTGCCAAAGTTATTACTGTCAGGTGTCTACTGTAAGACTCCAAGGCTCATTGGTATGGCTAAATAAGATGGCTTATCCTGTGGATGACATTTTATTCAGATTCTAGCAGGGGAGGTGAGCATCCAGTTGTAAAGGGGTGAAGTATAATGGCCTACTTGGGACTTTGATGTGCTGGTTCTAATATGCGGTGGTATCCCCGTACTGGGATTTCTTGGCACTCCTCGTAGTGAGCTTTGGATGGTTCTTCTGAGGAATCTTGAGTCTCAAAAGGTGTCCACCCAACTAGTTTCATTACAAATCACTGTATCACCCAAACTCGAGCAGCCCATTAGTACCAGCTCCTGGGAGCCTGTCTGTTCAGAGTTTTGCCCCTGGAGGAGAGAGGGTTCCACATTTTCCTCATTTCCTGGAAGATGGACTCGTTATAGTAGCCAAGATGGTTTACTAATAGACAAACCTTATAGCAGCTTAGAAGGAGAACTTTCTTTTCTCTAACAGTCCAAACATGAGCAATGCAATCTGATACAGATGATCTGAGGTGTACTGATCCAGAAATTTTCTACCTTGATGGTCCAAAATAACTTTTCTTGCTTTTATCTGTTACAAGTCTACCAAACCGGGAGTGAAGAAAGGAAAAGCATACATTCAGGGAATGACTCAATTTGTGTTTAGAGATACATTAACCAGTGCCTAGTGGCTATGGCTAGCTGCATGCAGCTATAAAAAGGGTAGTCTTTAGTTATTACCCATCCAAAGGGGGTTGGCCAGCGTTCCATTGCTTGAGGCACAGAATGCCAGTGAGTATTGCTGAGACAAGTATTGTCAGGGAAGAAAGGCTTCACTGCGGGTGACCTCACCTGGGAGATGGGAAAATAAGTCTCAAATCTGCCCCTCTAACTAGAGTTGGGGCTCTTAAGGAGGGATAAGGAATACAGCTATATGTGGAGACTGGGATTACATGTGAGTTGTGTTGGAGGGTGAGGGTCAGGGGACCAGCAGGTAGACTAATAACAGGTGTCAAGCCTCCATGACAAATGGAAGATCTTGGTGCCATGGAGTCTGGTCAGTAGTCAGTTTCAGTCCCTTGATATCTTGAAAGCTAGTGGCCATTTTCTGGGAAAGGAGACAAAAAGCTAGAGTTAGCAAAAGTTAGATTACTTACCTCTGGTTTCAGGAATGTCCTGAAGCGTCTTTATCTACATAATGAAAGCATAAGTCCCCTTTCATGATCTCAACTCATTAGTTTTTCGGAATTGGCCATCTAGGGGCTAGGCAATGATTGAGGAGGGGATATGCAGAATACAAAATGCAAAGGAGTTTGATGGGGCCTATATCATCTCTGTGCCCAGAATAAATGTTACGACAGAAGAAAAGAATAAACATTGAGGCAACCACTAGCAGTTTCTGGCACACTGTTTGACCCTGACTTTGAGTGTCTTGCTCCTTCAGAGAAGGTGAAATATTAATTGACTGACTCATTTAATAGATATGGCAGTCAGGCTGAAATGCAAAGGTTCAAGATCAGGATTTGTGCAGTTGCCAGTAACCAGTCACTGACCTGGGTTTAAATCTAAGAGCATGGACTGACTTCTAACAAGGTACTTGACTTGAGTTCATTAAGATAATTTTTGTGTTGACAAGGATGCAAAGATACTCATATCTTGTTCTACTTGTGAACTTAGTTCCATCATTGGCCCATTTATCTACTTGGTTCTACCAAGATTTATAGACCTTATCGACCAGTGTTTGACTTTAAGTGTGGAAGGGAAGTCAAGTCTTGCTAGTGACTATCTCACCACTAGTTAATTGGAGATGTGCTGATGGCCTAGTAGAACTTGATAATCAAAGACATGAAAGGGACAAATGTCTAGATGACTTGCTGTGACAACTAAATCTCTACATCCTTTGAACCAGCAATTGTACTTCCAGAAACTCAAACGAATCTTACATAGAGAATGGCTTTAATAGCACCCCACCCAAGTGAGCAAAACCTAATATAATGCTGTTGCTAAACCATGGTGGTAGCTTTTCTAGAGAATGTCATTATTCAACATGAATTTGAACCATGTCACAAACTACTTTGCATTTTTTTCCTTTTCACATAGTATTATACATATTTTAAATAGTATTGAATAAAAATAGTATTACATAACTTCATACACAGTACTTTCATAGTTCTTGCCAGCAAAAATAAGGGCAACAACTGCAGTTACTCTTGCACCAACCTAAGTGGTAACCAAGCAGACTTAGGAAGGAGATTCTGACTTATTTTCATGGCCACCTTTAAAATTAAGTCTGGACCTGAAATCTGTTTCTGACATTGACACCCTAGTCTGAGACTCGACAGGCTGCCCCTGTCACTTACATCTTTAAAACTGGTATACTGAGAGAAGCATCAGATGCTTAACAAAATTACAACAGGATGAATGGGATGAGCTGCAATCCGTTTTTCAAGTTTGTCCTGATGTCATAACTAATACTAATCTCCCTCCATTACCCTCACCCACTTCACACTCCATTTATTTCCTGTCTGTACTTTTCCTGGTCTGTGTTGCTTGCCTGTTGGGATAACCCAAAGACTACTGTTCAAAGGAATTGGGCCCTGATATGTCTTCCTTCCTTATAGTCACTGCAAATACCTATTGAGTTATCCAAAACAGGTACACCAAGAAGCATCCTGTGTTTTCTGGACAAACTTATCCCCAGTATGCAGCAGCAACCTTATATAATGGTCAGCTATTCCTCCCAACATACTAAGTCCTTCCTTTTGCCTGCTGGTCTACCATCAGTTCAGATTTAGTAGACACCTCACTGTGCCTCCTGCAGAGACATTCCTTTCACTTCCCTTCCAGGGAACCAGAAGTTCAAGTCCAACAGAACTTAAAGGTGTATATGGTAAAGAAGTACAAATACTTCAGATTGGTCTAGTATGGTAGGAAGGGGATATTCCTTCTATAACTTGCCTCCAAGCCCCACAAAATGTAGTTATTGGGAACAGGCCTTCATAATAGCCATTGGTTTTAAGTATATAATTCATTTGTGGTTCAGGGTTGCAGAATTGTGTCCAAGTTGGCTCTTTGGTGTCTTACCTTTTTAAGAGACCATTTTAATATCTCGTTGGGCTTTCAGATCTTTAATCTGGTGGGACCAGTAGCTCCCTTCATCATGTGCCTGTTCTGTAGCTATTCACGATAGAATTGATTCCTTAGAGAAAATGCTACATAAGTGATATTTCATGTAACTTTAGTAAATCTGAGTCCTCACAGTGCTGCTGGCCAAAACATTGGGAAGAAGTGAGCCCATATTTCAAATATTTCCAATAAAGATGAATCACTGCTGCTCCTAGGGTAGAAGGAATCCAGTATTCAACTTGTATCCAAGAGGCTGTTCAATCTTACTGAGTAATGGTGCTATAGGGTTCCCTATAAAGATATAAACTTTTGCTGCTTATAGGTTATTCAGCAGTGGCAGTAGCTGAAAGTGTCTTGGTTAAAGTTCATGCTGTCAGGTCCATGCATAGCTTCCATTCCTGCCACTGTTAATATTTCATTTATGGGTCACTTGAAGCACTAAAATAGTCAAGGGCAGAGGCTGACTGGCTTCAAAAGGACAGGTGTCAACCTGTTGCTATCCTTGGATGACTTCCAAGTGACATGAGACAGATGATTGTCACTCTTATAGTTCCAACTACTTGTTCCTTCCCAGACCTTGGTATCCATTCATCCCATCTCATTCCTTCCAGGCACCTGAAGCAAAGCCCTCTGCCTGGAAGTCTCTACATATCCTCACCTCAGGTCACCTCTCTACAAAACTAACTTAGATACTGTTTGAAGCTCTGTCCAGTAGAACTTCCCCTTATCACTGTTCTTCAGGGATTGTTTCCCTAACGGAGCTGTAATGTAGCAACAGCACCTTCAATGGTCTGACACATCTGAAATTAGAGTTGGGTTTTCCCCTCCTGTTAGACTTCAGGAAACTTACGCCTGAGAAAATAGGTATGAACTGAGTGGAATGGATAAAAAGGTAGGTGACGTTTGACTGTAGGAAACTTTCATCTGAGACAATAGGTATGAACTGAGTGGGATGGGTAAAAAGGCAGGTGACATAAGGTCTGGATGCCTGCTTGTGTGTGTGTGCCCTCAAGACCTCATAATCCACTCAATGTAATGTGTCCATTTGAGTGACTTTTATTGTGCCCACCCAACCTTATGATTTGAGTCTGTCCAAATTTAGCTCAAAATGGACAGCTCTAGATAGTCACTTGATGACCCAAAGCCAGTTTTCTGTCTCTGCAAGGACCCAGGAGTATATTAGGTGTCTTATGACTAAATCTGTTACAGGTGTTACGACTTTTTTCCAGAAACTTGAGTGGGGGGGTCATACTGTGGCTTACTCATCTCCATATGCCACCATTAGTACAAAAGATCTCTGCAACATCGAACTGGTTGTTACATGGACAAAGTGAAAGAACAGATGGCACGATCTAAATTTCTTATGCAGCTTGTTTGCTTTGGGCCCCATTTGAAACAAAAAGCCTTCACCATAACCTGATAACTCACTGAATCTTGTACTTTCTTTACTGCATCTTGTACTGTCTTGTGCCATTAATCAGTTGCTAACCTTTAGGGATGTTATGAAATGTATCACGTGACTAGAATCAGTCTCAAATATGAGAACGTCCTGAATTTTTGTAGGGTTCCTCTCCCTTGGCATGTGTGTCTTTCTAGGGCAGGCAGAGAACTTGACACTCCTTTTTATCAGATCCGATTAGCATGACATCTTCAATATGGAGGATCAGTATAGTGTCTTGTACAAATGTGGTCAAGATTACCATAGTTGGCTGGCGTGGTGGCTCACACCTGTAATCCCAACACTTTAGGAGGCCAAGGCGGGTGGATCACCTGAGGTCAGGAGTTCAAGACCAGCCTGGCCAACATGGTAAAACCCTGTATCTACTAAAAACATAAAAATCAGCCTGGCATGGTGGTGGGCACCTGTAATCCCAGCTACTTGGGAGGCTGAGGCAAGGTAATCACTATTGAACCCAGGAGACAGAGGTTGCAGTGAGCTGAGATAGTGCCACTGTACTCCAGCCTGGGCAACAAGAGTGAAACTCCATCTCATAAATGAAAATAAAAATTAAAAATTCCTGTAGTCTACATAGTGAAAGCAGGAGAATTAAGACTCGCAAGGCTGTGAAGTTGTACTATTCTTCCCATGTAAGTATAAACTACCTTTAATCAGACTGGAAAGAACATGTTTGCTAGACTTCTTTAGTACTTTAAGCTCTGTGAAGTGAACATCAAATTGATATTGAAGATGCTGCATCTAGCAAAGCAGATACAATTGGGGATATCGGATCTATATTATCTGTCAATATTTGCCATGATGCATATTTGTACGGAGATTGTAAATGTGATAAAGGATCCAGTGCTAGAAGTTCCCATCCTAAGTGATAGAAGAATTTAATGTTACTCGGAACCAGTATTTTAGGAAGCACTATGTCCAAGCCCCTAAAGTTGCTCCTCCTCATGCCCTAAACTCAGGCCAAGAAACCAACTAAGAGTCCTGCCAGATTCAGTCTATCCATCCTAAGTGGAACTGAGGAACTTGAAACAACACTTCATGGGGGCAGGGAGATCAGGGTCTGTCTTTGGACCCATTGGACTCAGACTGCCTTAAGCTATATGTCACTTATCTGGCCCCTGTTCTGGAGAATCAAGATCACATTGAGTCTCTCTGGGCTTCAGCTTGGACCTTAAATCTGTGGCCTCTTATGGCTCCCCAGTATACATTTCCAGTAAATGAACACAGAATTCCTTGGGCAAAGAATTGATGGAATACTTGTACACTTGTGGTGGCATTCCAGAGCTAACTTTCAATGGAATCCAGTTTCTTCAAGCAATGGGCTCTGGATCTGAGAACTGATTTAGATCTAGAAACTGGTGTGAAAAATTGATTTCACATAGGGCTGGCTGACACTAGCCTTCTTACTGGCTCTTTTGTTTACAAGTCAAGTGCCTGAGTCAGCTGCCCATCTTCCTCACCCTCTATGAACATGGTGTTACTAGCCATGGTCAAAGATCCCTGATAAACTGACTACACCAGATAAACTGACTACACAAGACTCGGTTACTATTACAATTATAATCACCCTAGCCCCTAAATAAGTGCCAATTCTTGTCTCATCTCCATCTAGGGAGCCCTGTCTTGTGGCAGCATCTCCTATTGTCACTCTTGGCCTACAGAAGACAGCTGATGCTGAGCTTACATGATTCTCATTCTCCTCAAATGCATTTCTTACTGCCTTAGTGAAGGATATGTCCTCTAAGCCCACCCAAAGGAACATAGCTTGTGAGTTCTCTGTAAGAATGTGACGATTTAAGATCACTCCCACCCTATTCAGCATCTGAACTCCACAGTTATGCTCTGCTGATAGAGCTCTAAAATTTATACCTTGCTTGTAAAAACCATTGTAACATCCAAGCCTTGTAGTGGTGTTGGAGGGGGTAGAAATCCCAGCAGTGTAAAACCAGTCATCACTTCTGAGATGTTAAATCCTTAACCACAGAAGAGTGCCATCCCATTAAACTTTTGCTTATTCAGACTTATATTTAGGTTACCCCCAATCTAACACCATCAAGAGATACCTCCCAGTTACCGCTGGTATATATTAGGTCATGCAAGTCTTTCAGCAATAAGTTCCTCCTGAAGCAGATACATTTTCCTCCTCAGGCTGTGCTGAGAGCTGGCCCTAGTTATTTGCCTTGATGCAATGAAAGATTTTGTGACAAACGTCATCTTGTCTTCTTCAGGGTTTAGTGTGATCCTCAGTGGGCAGTGGCTTTCTACTTGCAGGAGGTAGAGGCCTGCTTCTTCCATCCTGAATGCCTCAGGGGAATCTGAGTCAACATTCTTGGGCTCATCTACTTAGGACTCTGATACCTGGGTCAGGGTTATCCTACTTTGTTGGGTCCTTGGCTTTAGTATAGAAGACATATTAATGCTATGCATTGTCTTATCTACTTTCAGCTCTGCTACTCTTCAGGCTCAGTCTAATTAAACCCTTTAGGTTTAGGACATGTCTCTTCCAAGGTTGTCATGGAGGCCTAGCTATCATGGCATGCCTTGTTTTGGTTGATAGTTGGCTGCTCTAAGTCTGTCATCCTCTTCCAGACTTCAAAAGCAGTTAGCAAGTATCAGCCAACTCTACAAAACCATAATTACCATTGAATCCAGGGCAGAACTATTACATAGCCCATGGCCGAAATGTTTTCCCTTCAGCCTGTGCTGTATGCAAATACACCAAAGGTGAGTCTTAGTAACTGACACTGCAGCAAGCTGGGGCTTACCACCAGTCTATTTCCCACCAGCACTGGGGTATCTGTTCTCAAACTGTTTTAGGTTGTAGGTTACCATCTTGAGAATGTGTTCTGAGGTGTCATCTAACTGTCATAGCTTAGCCTCTTTGAAAGCAGAGTACAAAGTGGCCTCATTGAGAATCCCAAAAATGCAGAGACCAGGAAGCTGGAAAAAATGAAGGAAAGAAAGCATTATGGAGACTTCCATGGGCTAGGGGAGCTTGATTCCAGTGAAACTTCCTGAGGCATACAGGATGCCTTGCAGGGTTGTCAGTGGTAAGCTTGGCAAGCTGGGGCATTTATCTAATGGACTTTTATATTCAGTTGGTAGATTATCAGCCTGACAGCTACTAGGCTGCTCTTACTGGAACTAAATCTAGAACAAATGTGGAAAACTACCCCAATCATGTTCCTGCATATCTCAGCTTCTGTGGAACTACAGCTGAAACTGGACAGAGGGTATATACAGATACTAGAAGCATCTTTTATAGCAAAGCATTTAAAAAATACTTTAAAGACTACCTCTAAGTATAACCTTATTACTTTCTCATGACCTTTATTAGGCTAACATTGATAGGAATGTTCTCAACCATTAACAATATGTAAGCCATTCACAGAAGAAATTAAGTTGGTTATTAGGATGCTGTAAACATTACAATAGAAAGTATTTAAAGCCAAGGATTTCAGTTTTAGCAGAGTCGAGTCACGAGGGACTCTACCAAAACTGATTTGAGACAGGGCAGCCTTATTAAAGAATTGAAGCAGCCCCATTTACATGTTCCCAACCTCTACATGAACATGTCAATTCAACAAATGTAGAAATGAGACAATTCACTGTGTTTTGCACCAGGAGTGCAAGGAACTCCCTAGACAACTCAGGGAATGGAAGTACACTGAGGGCCAGTGTGTAAGGGGGAGGATTTATCAACAGATCAAGGAGGGTTCTTGGCTCCTTGCAGGCTTATTAGAGGATGGGAGAAGCTATGAGCCTTTGGGTTTCCCCAGCTTCTGCTGTTATGGCCACATATAAATAATTCATCTGGTTTAAGACTACAGTTAGAGGCCTTACAAATTAAGTGGAGAGAAATAGCCAAGATCCTTAGTGATCCCAGTGCCTTTGCTCACTTCCATGGGAGGATTGTTGGCGGGGGGGGGGGAGAAATGTGAAAAGGACCTTGGTGCCAGCAACCAGGACAGAGGTTCCTTGCTCTGCTTCCCAAGCTGTGTATAAGGTGGGCTCACGTTAGGGGATGCAGAGAGGCCAAAGGGCTAGAGTTGAGAAGATCCTCCTGACTCCCACCTGCTCAGTTTCAGCTCCAAGCTCTGTTCATTCATTCTGAGCCTTGCTGAGCTACCACAGACTAGTCAGAATATCAGTGGAAGGGCTGCCCTTGAATATAGTATCTCTATCTGGCCAATGCCCCTGCTTATCTGGGACCATACTTCCTTGGCATTTGTTGCTCGCTCTGTCAGGGTCTTGGTCTTCCCAGAAGCTTATGGAGAGGCTGCAATTGAAGCCCCCACCCTGTCCCTGGGCTCTGAAGTGGTAGAAGCACAGTAAAGTGGTTTGGGAACCTCCAACTGCATTTCTTCCCCTCAGTCCACTGGGGCAGAGGCTGTGGGTAGAACTCAAGTCAACCCTGCCTTGCCTGCTCACTTCCATAGAGGAGAAAACATTTGTACATGTAGATGCAAATACTACATACAAATCTCCTTGCCTTATTACATTAGCTATGACCTCTCTAATATGGTCTTAGGGAGAAATGGTAAGCTTGTTGCCTTCTTCCTATTTAGAAGTAATAGTTCAAAATCAAGGGCAATAAATGATAGTTACAACTTCAGGCCATTTTCTTCTATTCCCAGTTTCAATTATATAAACAGGTATTACTTTACCATGCTGCTTCTGTATTTATTGATGACTTTCCATTTTGCTAATGTAATAAATTAATGATTTAATGTTTAACCTGGCATTCCTGCAATAAATTCTACATGGTCATAGTATTATTGCTTTCACATTTCCTGAGTGACTTTTTTCTAAAAGTGTAAAGACTTACAGTATCCAGGTTTGAGAGAGATGCACCTATGGTCTTCTGCAGCTATAATAACAGGGTTATTCCAGCCTCAACCTGGGAAATGTTCTCTTCTGAAATCTTTTATATAAGATCACTTAAGTGTCAGATGATAGTGAATTCTATAAGTTTAGGAAGTATGGTAGCCCAGGTCCTGCAAGAAAGATACCAAAACTGTATTAAATATGCAACACACTATGAGATACACCTGCAAAAATGGTGAGGGCCCAAAGAGGTTGCGAGGGGAGCTGTCAGATTACAATGTAGCTCTAAAACAAGAGGAACAAAAGTTGGGTGGAATTATCTTGGCTTACAATGCAGCTGTAAGGAGAATCTTCTAGCCAAAAATGCATGTTAGAAGTCTCACACCTCCCAAGAACAGACTGCCTTAGTCTTATAGCCAATGACTGATCATGGCAGGGAGTAGCTGTGAGAAGTATGGTCTTGGTACAATATAACAATTGATTTTAAAGCATAACAGTGGGGGACAATGCTTGATCATACTCCCTGCAGTCAGATCTGTGTTCCCGTGGTTCCCACAGAAGACTATACTACCTATGTCATACCTGTCTGTCATGGCCTAGGAGTTGAAGAGCAAATCAGAATGGTGCGCTAATTCTCTAGACCACCTCTCCCTGCCCTACACTATTGAACTGGAGCAGATGCTTGGGCAGCGAGACAGAATTGAATGAGTACAGCAGGCTGACTAGCACCAACTTGCAAAATGATACCACAGCCCTGAAACACCAGATCTCCAGAGTTCTAGATAGTTGGTGTGTTGTTCCACGATCAGGCCTGGGTGATTGTACTGATCTGGCAGCAAGAAAAAAGTGGAAAGGTGGTGGATGGTGACTTAGGACATTGCTGGAGCCTTGGCACTGAGGTAGGCTCAGGCAAAGTTACCATTGATGGCAGGCCCAGTGTGGGTTTCCCTGTACCTGAAACCGATCATCTGCTATAGTTCATCTGGCAGATAGGCATGGGATTTTTGGACCTTGAAGCCAGTTCATTGTTTCTGGTCTTGAGCAGTGTGAACTAGACAGCAGCTGTCTACAGCTCAGATGGTAGGTCTGGTTCATGTGGCTCCAGGTGCCCAAAAGGCCTGCATGATAAATAGAAAGGCAGCAGCCACAGACTACATGCAACCCTTACCCTGCTGACTGGCTGCTGGTTCTTGTTTTATCACAAGGAAAAGCTGTTCTTTCATTGTTCTGGCTTCCTCTGGTGTTACCCTATGGATCTTCTGGCATAGACCACCCAAGGCCTCTTGCCAGCTCTACTTGCAGACATTAAACTTGAACACAGTGAAGTGCTTGCCACAATTCTCAGCCAGGGGTTGGCTTGGCTTGGCTTGTAGACTCCTACATTGAAAGATAAGTAGAATCCTTCATAATAGTTGGAAGTCAATTTCAAAGATAAGACATGTTCATCCCCCTTCAGGCACTGCTTCATACTGACTTATAGATGACATGTCAATGTGAAGAGTACCTGATGTTGAAACACATACTGGGTATATCCTTGTGTATCTAGTCCATCTTTCTGCCATGTCAGGATTATCATACTATGTGCCCTGACTTATCCGTCTTGGTCATGATGATGGTGGAAGGTAACAGAAGCACTTAGAATGTGTCTTGTCTATGCACTGCTAGGTGCTGCTGTGGTTGCAAAGAAGCTATTCTCCAAGGCCATGTAGTTGCATTTTGACTCTTATAGGTAAAATCAGTGGATAGCAGGCTGCACTTCTGGAAGAAGGCTGTCACTGCCAGGATAGACTTGGGATAAGAGTGCTTTTTTTTGATCTGGTCTTTGCCTGGTGTAAAAGATGTAGTCCCTGTTCCAGGAGCTATTTCTTAGTTATATTGGTTCAGATCACAGGACTTACCCCATATTGGTTCAGGGCCCCCTAAACTCTCAGAGCACTTAGCAATTTGTGCCAGCCACTTTAGAAACTAGAGAACTGTACTCATGGTTGAAACCTGGTCCCATTGGCTTACCCAGCCAAAGTGAGTAGCTTGGAAGCATCCCAAGTCACAGATAAAGCTTGGAGGTTGAACTCTGGGGATTCTAGGATGATGACCATGAGCTGCTTCCTGCTTGTGCACTGCCTTTTGCTTTCAAGTTGTGATGGTAAAGCCCTGCTTGGGCATAGAACCAGTACCTTTTGTCTTGGTTATTTGTGGTGGGAGAGACTGTTGGCCTGACCTAGAACTACATGGGACCTCAAGAACTCCAGTTACTGAATAGAGTGGCACTGGAGCTGAGATGCTAGGTCTGTAGCTTTAGCCACTAATTTGGTCCTCTGGACCATATCTTTGTGTCAACAGGCATAAAACCTTCACATGTCATTCTACATCAGGGGCTGCAAAAGCCATGTTTTCTTTGTCCCACAGACTAAATTTTCATACTGAGGCATATCATGTTCTGCCTTTCTAAAACTAAGACAAAATCCCAAATAACAAACCCCAGTACAGTAGCAATGGAAGTTAATTCAGTCTGAGGATGACTAGGCTGACATAATTGAATCTCAAGTTTGAAAGGATACCTTCTAGCTCCCAAGTATTAGGAAAAGCATTTTGGCTCTGAACTAATGGGACTAAGCAAGTGTCCACATTTGAGGGGACTTTATCAAATAAAGGTGAGTCACTGTCTAACCTGAATTTATGCAGCAGTGTTTCTGTATCTTAAGTGATACACCAACAACTCTTGTAATTCAAGAAGGCCAATGAGAAGCAGTAGGTATCCATTACCTTTTCTTAAGGGACCGGAATTGACTTTAACAGGTACTAGTCTGTGACAATGACTTAGTTCTAGGGAGTCAAAGGCAGGGAGAAATCAGTCACAAACAACTAGAAACCATAGGGGAAAGTGCTGTGAGATGACAACCTTATCTAGAGGGGTTAGAAGTGAAACTTCAGAGGTGTACTATTAAGTAAATTTTGGCCTTTCCAGCTCATATCTATGGACTGGAAGTTGTCTGGCTAAGAGGCCAGTAATATGTTAGATACCTTGCTCTTACGGCTGGGATTTCCCTGGATTCAGATTATAACAAACTGGGCATCCTTAAGTCAAGAGGCAGATTCATAGAATTGTTCTGACCAATGCTCAAGATTCCAGGGGTGGAAAATGGTTTAGGACCTATTTTCTGTATTTCTTCACCCTTCTAGAATCTTACCAGGGCAGAATACCATTGTTTCCAATACCCACAAGTCAACTCATCTTCCAGTCCTTGCAATATCTAGCACACACCCTGCACTCCCAACATTTGTATCTAGCCTTAATAGCCTAAGTCGCTTTCTACCTACCCTTGCCAAAACATACAAAGTGAGAGCTGCTGAAGTAGTCCATCTTGGCACCAAGAGCCATTTGTTCAAGTACTTTTGTATACCAGTGCAGGTTTAGTATTCACCAACTAAGTTGCTCAAATCCTGTGGACTTGAAAGTACAAGAGACTTATTGGGGTTATGGGGTTATGGTTTTGAAAGCCCAGGTGGGAAAGGGAGCCAGAAATAGGCAGGGAATGGCTTCAAACTAAATGCAGTCCTGATGCCTATTAAAGGAGAAGACTGGGTGGGAATCAGCTCAGACCACAGGGGAGCATCACCTCAAGTGTGAGTTCGCCCACACTGAGCAGAGGTAGCTTGGCTCTAAGGCCCCTGCTGTTCTTCTGGCAAATTACTGGGGAAAACATGGTCTTAGCTCAAATGCTGCTTTGGCTCCCAAAGGTGGTATAGCTAGAAGCTGTCAGATGACTGCATTCCCCACAGGTATTGGACCCTTCCTGGGAGGGAGACCTAGATGGCCTGCCGCTATGGCTGTCACAGACCACTCCTTGAACCACGTGGATCTGGCTCTACAGCATGCTCAGAGAAAATGTTGGTCCTCCAGGGTTGCAGTGGGCCTCTGGTACTAAAAGCTTGGAGAAAAGTTAAATGAACTAGATCCCTTATTACCATCGTCCTAAGGGCTACAACTAATGCTCATCTCCTCATTACTCAATATTCTCATTGCCCTCAGATACCACCTCTGGTATCCATGCTTTGCCTAGTAATATGACTGAAATTGACTTCTGATAAGTCTGAGCCTATAGTAGCCATACTTTTCAAACTTGGGTGGCTGTATTTTACTGAGTTTCAATTTGTCAGTGGCACCAAGAAGTGCCCGAATGGGTCAGGTAAGTTCCATACTTTTCTTCCTGCCCCTACTGTGTAACCAGGGCCCCACAACCTCCTGATAAGCTAGGTGTCTTTTCTCACCTGCTAGTCCCTAGGCAGAGTCCAGAGTGTCCTGGAAACACCAGTAGCTTCACTGAGACTCTTGCTGCTTCCCCTGTGAAAGGTACCCCCTACGGGCCCAGGGCCCCTAACACTACAGAGTCCAGACTTTTAAAGATATGAAGTCCCTCAGTTCTTCACTGGGAGTAAAGTTAAGTGGGGACATTTCTTCTTGTACCTCTTGTTCCCAGGTCCGAGATCTTCCTATTGTAGCAAGGTCTGACTTATGCATACAATGCATCTTTAGAGATGGTTTCCTGTTCTTAGAGTAATGCCTCTGACCTAATGCATCAGATGTGTGTCATTCCTCCTCTATCAGGCAGGCAACCCTTGGATGGTGTGGTACATGATACAAGTGGGTCACAGTCATGAGCTGTCTTCCATACCTTCAATACATAATAGGTCCTCTAGTCAGATGCCATATTGCATGGGATTATATGGCTGTAGGATAAAGCAGTCTCTGAGTCCCCAGAGACAGAAGACCTGGCTGAGGCTCTGAGCAGGGCAGTCAAACCCATACCGGAAATACGTATCTATGCCATTAGAATCTATTCCTGGCCCTTCTAAGATGGAAGGGGCCTAACAGTTAACTTTCTGCCAAGCAACTGGCCTTCTTGAGTTATACCATATCAGAGGCTCACTATCAGTCTCTATTGCTGGCAGATTAAACATTCATAACTGGTATCTAGATTGGCCTTGGTATGTGGGAACCCATGCTTTTAGGCCCTTGCATAGCCACCATTGTTGCTATTCTGCCCAATCCACATATTGGACCACAGCCTTTCTTGGATGGTAACATCAACTGGTTAAGTTATTTTGCCTGGCTACTTGCATGCCTATTCCATGGTGAAGCACTCTGGTAGGCATAAACATGTGATATGTTAACACTTCATTACTACTCCCAAATGTTTTTCCACAAGCATCTACCCCAGACATCCTTATGTTCCAGTCCGTTTCCTTCCAAGTTCCTGATAGGCTGGCCAAGGCACTTACTGCCCTGCACTTACTGCCCTGCACTTACTTCTTGGCACTCACTGCCAAGAAGCTTAGTATGGATTCTCACTTTGGGTTACTTTTCCCATGATGTACTCTCATTTTCTCACTGGGAAAGCTTTGTCTTGCCACTGCATTTCAAAGCCATCCTGAACGCATCTATTAAAGAGTTGCCATTCACCTTAGCTTTCACACATTGGACCAACACATCTATAAGTCAAACTGCCTTCTATTCCTTCCGTTGGCCATAATGGCCTCTATATCCATAGGCGTGAACCTAAAAAAAGGTTCTGAGGCAAACCAATATGGGGTGCCCGGGAGGCTTGGGCCATCCACATATCCACTTTGCTTGTGCCCTCTGGTATTACTTGGGCTCAATCCTGGGCTGAACCATTTTAATCTCTTGAAGAATTGATGCTGATGTGGCCAAACTTGATCTAATGGGTCTAACTGACCCCCTAGCACATAATGGGCAGTTCCAGGTATATGGTCACATGATGGCTCGTGGTTAAGGTTTCCCCCTCTACCAGAGCCTGGTAGCACATGAACCATTTTTAAAATGACAACTGTCTGCTACAGATAATATGGCCTTGCTCTTGAACTCTAGGGGGCTGCATTGATTCTCCCGCTGGGGCTTGACAGCTTGACATAAATTCCATACTACTTCCCACTAATCATTCTTCTAGTTCATGATCTGTTTTAACAGCTTAAAGATATTAATAGCTTCATATAATACAATTCAAATTAAAACATGTATTGCATACATGCATGAAACCACTGCAATCAAGGTAATAAGACATATCTGTCACCTTGCTGGATTGTGGCCCAAGGGGCAGGGCTGATTGTATCACAGTCTAGACCTATGGAGCCCTTTCCTACTCTGGGTTCATCTTAGGGCTGATAGCCTTTTGTGCTATCTGTGGGCTAAAGCAGTATTCCTAGGGTTTGAAGGTGTTTCTAGATCACAATGCCTATTGGGCATTGTGCTTTCCCCTTTCCTGCAACTTGCATCCCCTACCACAACTTGCATCCCCTACCACAACTTGCATCCCCTACCACAACTTGCATCCCCTACCACAACTTGCATCCCCTACCACAACTTGCATCCCCTACCACAACTTGCATCCCCTACCACAACTTGTCTCCCCTACCACAACTTGTCATAATCTGGAGGGGTTTGTCACATTCTCCTTAACACTAGACTGCTAAGATCTTTCTTGAAGTGGCAGATCTGACTCTTCATTGGCTATAACTTCCATCCTCTAAAAGTGCCCAGTGCTCTGAAAGAGTGCTCCTAAGTTTTGCAGTCTGGCCTTTTGAGAGGAACACCCTCAAAATCAAAGCCTGGAGATATTCTCTGGGCTCCTGGTGCCACTTGCTTGTTAGTTCTTTCAGCTTCTTGGGATGTAATCACTTTTCTCCTATTCAGTGCTAGCACTGGGATTGAATCTTAGTTATCAGCCTGGCATCCAGAAAAGGATGCCTTCTTATAGGACAGCTGTTTGCATTGTAGGGTAGAAGCCTTGGCAGCATCTTCCTGCACGGGGGAAGTCTAGCTTCTAATAGAGGTGGATCACCTCTATAGGCTGATGCTTCAGGGCTGACAAGCTACAGTTCTTGGCTGTGTACACTTAGATGTCCCCAGGTTTTTCCAAGTGGGGCTTAAACACAGTAAGCAGATCTGCCTTCACTGGAGCATTCCACTGTCTTTTGAGCTTGGCAAGTCTACCAATCCTAAATTTGCTTCTCAGCTGTATCCACTCTCCTACTGCAGGAGATAAAGACCTCTCAAGCTGGCTGCCAAAGACCCTTCAGCACTCTAACATAGTTAGAACTTGTTTCTTATCCTCCTTCAGTAAGGCATTACAGCAGTGTAATTCCACTTCCCCTATACTTAAAGGTCTAAATCATGGCATTGGCCAGGGAATTTTCCCTCAATAGAACATTCAAGTCACTATTGGTAAAACTTTAGCAATTATGTTGCCACCTTGTATCAAACTACTTATGCTATACATCAATTGAAGTTGAGATTGGATCTGCTCTGGACATTTGGAGTAAGGGGATTCAGTCCCCAAATCCTATTGTATCACTTTATCTCAAACTACTACGGTGATTTGAGTGTTCTGGTCCTCTGGAAAACTGCTTCCAAGCACATGTGGAAGCTTGATGCATTGGGTAATACCTATGAAAAAGGGAAGGAGCAGGAATAGGCAAGGAAAGTCTTTACATCATGAATGCTCATCTGACACCCGTGAAAGGAGAAGGGAAAGAAATTGGATGGGTAAAACCTCAGACTGCTGTGTGCCTCTGAGAAATCCTTGGCAATCCTGAGAAACTCTGGTGCAGATAATGCCTGCAGAGGAGTCACTCAGAAGCTTCCCGGTATTCCCCTGCCATGCCACATTAAAGTGCTTCACATTCCAGGAAGAGTATGACCTTAGCTCAAGTGCTATGGTAGATCCCAAAGGTTCTGCAGATAGAGGCTATCAGCTGATATACTCCCTGACGCTTGTTTTTCTTGGAGAAATCAGCCAGCATTCCTGTGTGCTGGAACGTAAGTCCAGTCAGATGAAGTATACAGAAATAGACTTGTGCCCCTAGGGGGGAGATGAAGTAAGAGTCAAGGTACTTCTGATTAGTAACAGGTTCCACAAAGGAAACGGAGTGAAGGATGATTTGGCAGGAATGGTGGAGGCAGTGACAACCTGGTCAAGAGTTTTGAGATGACACTTACATTGGCTCTCTTTTCTCTAAGCTTTAAACATGTTAGGGTCTTTCTAAATATGTTAAGAGAAAAAGGGTATGGAAATAAAATCCCTGAGGCAGGAAGCACCGTGGCATATTTGAAGGGCTGAAAGGAAGCAACATGGCTATAGTACTCACTGAAGGGGGAAAGTCCCAAGAGAGGCAGGAACAAATATCATGCAGAACTTTGACTCTGGTAAGGAGGGTGGGTTTTACACTCTAATGGAAAGCCACTAGGAAACCTTGAAGCAGTGGAGTAATCCTCGACTAATCGTTATCCTTGACGATCTGCTCACAAAGGAGACAATGTATATAGCTAGGACTGAGACAGGGCAGTAGAAATGGAAGAGTGAATAGATTCAGAATGTCTTAAATAGAATGAATGGATTGTTCTGACAAATTGGTATAGGGAATGAAGGGTAAGAAGAAACCTAGAATGATCCATGACTTTTCTGGCCAGATGGGTAGTTTTTTGGTGCCTCAGAATGGGAAAGACTAAAGCAAATAAGTTATCTTGTGCATGCTAAACTTGATATCTAAGACATCTGCATAGAAATGTTGTGTAGACACTTGGATATGAGCCAGGAGCCCAGGTAAGTATTCAAAGCAAGTAAAGTACTTAAGTTATATACTTGGGTCACATTTAATGTTCTCCGTGTAGATCTGTCTTGGAGCTGCAGACTGATTTCAAATCTCTAGATGTAGAGTAGCCACTGACTCCCAATAGCAGGGCTTGAAAATAACAGGTGGCAATTATGTCACTAAAAATTGATTTTGGTTGAGAGCAAAAACTCATTGCCAGTTACCATCCCAAGATCTGATATTCTGAGTTTGAGGCAAGGTAGAATGCTCAGAGCTTGAAGCATACAAAACCCCTAGACAACATGTGAATTATCTTATGTAAAACAAAACTCAAATACATGTTCTCATCCAAGTAGGAGTTAAATAATATGTACCCATGGACATAGTATGGTACAGACACTGGAGACTGGGAGGGGTAGGGAGTAAAGGATGAGAAACTACCTAATGGGTAGAATGTACACTATTTGGTGATGAGTACACCAAAAGCCCAGACCTGACAACTACACAATATATCCATGTAACAACTTGTGTTCCTTAAGTTTATACAAAAATATACCAAGGTGAGCATGAACCCTCTAGACTTGTGGCTTGACTTGGGGTGACCAAGGATCTGATACATTACAAAGCAAAAACAAGCTGGGTTGACAACTGTTAAGATAGTTTCATAGGTAGGCTTTGTCTCTTAGACAACTCCACTGTGAAGTCTTACTGGAATAAAAAACCAGAGTCGGCACAGATGCCCAAACATGGATAGACTAGGAAGTCCTCAAGGAAGAACTATCCTGAGAATGACTGGTAGAAAAGCAGGTCTAGGGTAAGGAAACTGTACACAGGGCCAGACTTGGAAGAAGGTGCTATGACTTGAGAAAAGTCATGTTTTTGTCTGGTGCTTTCTTCCCTATGAGAACAGTGGGACATTTCTGACCCACTTCCCCTGAGGATGCTCTATTTGTAGGTAGTATGACTATGTGTGACTTGCAGTTTGTAGAAGACAAGGGGAGAGGGCTATATCCTTTAAGCATCTGTGTCTCAATTCCTGGTCTCTAGCAAAGACAATCTTGGAGCATCTTGGAAACTTCCATGACCAGAATTCTGGACTTCCCCATTTACTATTGCATACCTAGGGCATAGGGTAGCATTGAGTTACATGGCGAGTAGTGAAGTTAGTGCAATGGGTAAAACTAGGGGACTTAAAGATTAGAGTTCATGACATTCTTATGACAACATATGTCATCTGGTTTCCTGAAAGGACAATCAGAAATATTGGTTAGTTATGCCTTAGCCTTCTGGAGCATGGCTTCCATGGAGACCTGCTGGCAGCTTGTACTAGAGCCTAGAGTTCTACAGGGAGGTTTGAGGATTAATCTAGTATATTCAGAGCTTAACTAAGTGTCCCTCAAACTGGAAATTAAACTGTTCAGCATTTTTGAAACACTGCTGGAGAAAGCTGATTTCTAAAAGTATCTTGTGCTTCTGGAAGCTGATTTTGACCCCTTTTAATGCCTTTGTGCCAAGTGGCCCTTTGTCCAGGGATACTCCTGTTGTATGGTACAACTAAATAAGAGTGACAGATCAACTTGCTCCGTTTGCTTCTAGATATACTACTTGCTGCTTGATTAATGGGTCATGTATTAAGATGCTTCTAAATACTTCATGCCCTAAGCATTAACCCATGCCAGCCAAAAGAGAGAGAAATTTAATGGCTTACTCCTGAAAGAAATCAAGTATAACAGTCCAGGTCCACTAAGAGAACCAGAGCACAAGCTAAATAGCTCAATGGAAAGAATTTAATATGGGAAATGAGCTATAAAAATATCCTAAGAGTTGAAAGCCAAACATGGACTGCTGAAGAAATCCAGACTAACAGAAGCCACTTCTCCTTTTAGACCTCAAAGGACAAAGGAAAGAGCGTTACTGTAGCCTTGTAGAGAATGCCCAGAGGGGGCTAAAGCCACAGTAAGGAATACTTAGAGAAAGCTGGGAGATGGGAGGGGCTGACTCCAGAAGACTAGAAATGAAATAGCCACTCCCACAGATTCTACTGAAGTGGAAGGAGAGGGTAAAATACCCTGGCTGCTTTTACATGCCCTCAATCTCATCAGGGCTTTTCATTGGCCAAGCCCAGCTGGAAGCCAAAAGGCCAAAACCTAGTTTCCACAATTATCAATTGAACGGACACTGGGGCTGGGACTGCTGGCATTAAAAACAGTTCTGACTCCTTCCTCAACCATCAACCCTGAAGAAAAGCAAACATGCAATCCAGGAATTAAGAGGCTTTGGACATGCTTAAGAGGGGCTTGATCTAGTGTATGGAATGGATATAGATCAGATGCCGGTCAGTCAAAGTCTATCAGGAAGACACCCAAACTGCAGTCCAGTCCTAGAGTCTCAGCTCCCTTAACAAGGATCCCTAGCATAAAGAATGCTTGGTCCTCCATTGGGCAGGACTGGCCAGGGCCTGGTGTGCCCTGCCCTGCCCTGCCCTGCCCTGCCCAGTTGTTGGCAGGAATCTACCTGGGTAAAATGCATCCTTAGTTCTAACACTGGCAGATCCCAGGGATACTACAGCTGGAGGCTAACTGCACTCCAAGGCATATTCTTCAGAGGGAGATTGGAATAGTACATTTCCATGGCTGCCACAAGGACTACATGACTTCCCAAACTAGGACACTTAAGAGTAAAGAGCATTGTTCATCACACTAGGGCAACAGGCAAAAACTCCAACTGTCTGGACAAGTTGGTATATGTGGTCCCTGAGTGTAATGGGTGTGATCTGGAACAAAGGGCAACTGATAGTGCTGTGAGGGTAATTAAGGTGAATTTATCTCTGCTTTTTGCCTCTTTAGCATAATTGCTTGTTGAGATAGGCATTGTCTGGCTGAAACTGGTAACCCTGTGTGCTAATGCACTGGACAAAATCAGGTTAGCATGAAAACCCTGTGAGGTAAGGAGTTGATGAAGGCAAGTAGAGGTTGAACTTTGGCCATTTATACCTCCATCCTGCCCCATGTGGGGCTGGTGGATTCCAATCTGGGGAGCCTGCCTCCTACCAGTGCTGCTCCTCTCAAGAATGGAGACCCTGGCCTAATAGGCTTCTTTGTAGAAACGACAGTAACTTAGGGTTTTTCTTTCTGTAAACTTGGGTTGAAACAAGCTAAAACTGTGCCTTTTGATCTTGAACTAACAATGCATTACTAGATAAATCATATTCCTCTGGTACTAGATATTCTCAGACTAAAATAAGTTGCTGGAAGAATATACCTATTTCAAAATGGAAACATTGAAAGCCTAAATATTAGGACACTCAGACTGAGACTATCAAGTACAATAGTTACCTAAGATTAAGACACTAACATTCAAATGAGAACAAAAATGAAGTATAAGCTGATACAACACAAGTGGATATAGCTGAAGAACAAATTAGTGAATTGGAAGATCAGATTGAATCACAAAATAGTCTACATCTTCCATCTCATTTTCTATCTACATGTTTACAATGAACAATAATGAAGGTAAAACTCCTGAAATGACTAAGAACCACATTTTGAAAGGCTTCATGAAATGTATGGAGAAACTCCACAACTAGATTCAATATGTTAAACTTCAAAATTCAGCTATGAAAGCTTCCAAGGGATCATCTACAAAACAATCATTATATTCAAGAAAAATGGTGGATGAAATCTAAAGAATTAAACTTGTAGAAGTCCTCAAATATACATAAGTAGAAAATCATAATGTACCTGTTACTCAGATTAAACTCAGTATTTCCATCTTCATTTATCCCCCTAGGTGTATCTATCTTATTCTGCTTTGCTGGAATTCTTTAAACACTAGGCATCCTGTCCTTTTAGTCAGAAAACTGATTAACAAGGTCCCTCTTTAAAATCACTGTCACACATAGCACAATCAACACTCCTTAATGTCCAATAGTCCTATCAAATTTCACAGCCTGCTTTAAATGTCCTATATCTGGCTTACTCAAATCAAGCTCCAAACAAGTTTGATTGCATTTAGTTGTTGGCTTAACCTGAGTTCACTAGAAGACAGAACTGAAGCAAGACTTCATTGCTAATGCTTACTTGAGGGATACAATCCTGGAGAAACAACAAAAGGAATATAGGATGGAAGACTGGGAAATATGCATAAGCTTATACTACCAAGCCACTACTTCACAAAGTTCACAGCTGATTGTGAGGCCTGGCCAGTGACCAGTAAAGATGGTAGATGTCACCTGTGGGCTCCCATCTTCCAGTACTTGCTGGTCAGTTTCTTGGAGTAAACTTCTGAGGGTCTAGTTAGCCTGTCAGCCAGAGGGAAATACAAATCCATCTAAGCAGTGTGGCACTTTATCTGAGCCCAGAAGGCCCTGAAAGGAGCTGAAAGCTCTGACATGCAGCTAAGCAGCATGACGTTTAGGTCAGCATGTTGTTGGCCAGTGTCCACTGCATCTGAAAAACAAGTGACACTGAGAATCTGAAAGGATTTCTAAAATGTCTGCTAGTACTTAAGCTTCTTAAGTCTTCTATAACGGTCCCCTCCCCACCTAGTATCATTGAAACACTGGAGAAATTGTCATGTCTTATAGAATGTCCTGTATTTAGGTTTGGCTAACTGCTTCTGTGTCTAACTTGTTCCTTTCCCCTGTTCCTACAGGTTGACTAGATTACTGACAAAGTCTTAGCCAACAAAAGCTATCTATACTTTCCATTGCAACACATTCAAGGACACTATACCTGGCTGTTCCTTTTACAGTGGTGCTAAGTCTAGTGAATAGCTCAGCCTGATGCCATATGAAACCACTGAATTTCTCATCACCCTTTCACTGAAGGATTTTAGTTCATATTGATTACAAAAAACCAATTCTTCTCCCCCTGTCGATACCCTTTACAATGTGACTTCACCATTCTTCCAATCAAGAAATGGATTATTTGCCCACCCCCTTGAATCTGAGCTGTCCTTGTGGCTTGCTTGGAAAATAGCAGGTGGTAGAAAGGAAACTGCCAATTTCAAGCCTGTGCCTTAAGGGTCCTTGTGTCTTCCTCTTTATTGCCACTGTAATGAGAATGAGCCTAGGCTAGGATGAGTCTGATTAGACTGAGGGTGAAAGTCCCATTGTCCCAACTGAGGTCATTCTAGACCAGTCTGAGCTCACCTCTAAATGCGAGTGTAGCCTCCTACCCACAGTTTGCTACATACTTTGACTTACTGTAAAGGGTACTTGTAACTGGAAGGTAGCCCAGGGGGCCAGAAGGGTACCCCTTTAAAGTAGTTATAACTTGACAAACTCAACCACTTTGTCCCCATATACCTGAAAACTTCCTATTCTTGCTTATCCTCAAATAGGATAATACACGGGAAAGGATATATGAGGGATGGCGGCTACCTTTACAAAATAAGGCCAGGACTATTACAAACATCAAGGGGTGGGGTCTCAGGGCTATTGGAATCTTTCTCGATGTTCAAAATACTCTCCCTGGCCATGTTTCCTAGGCCTTTCTACTAGGCAGGAATGCTAGCCCTAAGATTCAATGCAGAATGATAAGGTTAGAATCTATGATCAGATGCTGTAGAAAAAAGTGTGCCAGTGATTGCTACGGGGCATGTGTCCTCAGCCTCTAAATTTTTGCAAATGTTATCAAAAGTTCCAACAGAAATCTGGTTTTGAACCAACCCAAATGTCTAACAATGATAGACTGGATTAAGAAAATGTGGCACATATACACCATCGAATACTATGCAGCCATAAAAAATGATGAGTTCATGTCCTTTGTAGGGACATGGATGAAATTGGAAATCATCATTCTCAGTAAACTATCGCAAGAACAAAAAAACACCGCATATTCTCACTCATAGGTGGGAATTGAACAATGAGAACACATGGACACAGGAAGGGGAACATCACACTCTGGGGACTGTTGTGGGGTGGGGGGAGGGGGGAGGGATAGCACTGGGAGAGATCTAATGCTAGATGACGAGTTACTGGGTGCAGCGCACCAGCATGGCACACGTATACATATGTAACTAACCTGCACATTGTGCACATGTACCCTAAAACTTAAAGTATAATAATAAAATCTGGTTTTGAGTTACATGCATATAATATTACCTGAAGGGAACACAGTATAGCAACTTGCCACTTTACCATCCTTCTCCCAACAATCACAACATTGTACAGAATACTATTGAGAGAATCTAATTTTAAACCACAACATTCAATGATACCTCCCACCAAAATTTTCAGAGCGTGAATAATAGGTGCTGGAGCTGGTCTTCTGCTAGCCCTGTCAACTCCATGATGTCTGACATGGTGTTGTACAAGAATTGGGAAAGGGTTTAGAGGTCCCAAAGCATAATGGGTTTAGTTAACATGTACAGATCCTGATCCATATTTGCACATACTTACTGGCCTTGGTAAGCCAGTCTCACTTCAGGTACTGTCACTTGGTGGCCAGGGCCCCTAATAACCAGCCAGACTTCTTCCAAGGCAGCTTCCTTTTGGTGTTAAGGATGGTATTTCAGAAATCAATCCCCTTCAATTGGCTCAATGGGTTTATAATATCCCATTCCCACCCAAATGCTGGGTCAAGTCCCCCTGATGATAAATTGGCAGGAATTCCAGGAGAAATAGAATCACCTGTTTGTCTGACTTCTTGGAAGCTACTGAGGTGTATAGTAAGTGGAGTTAGGCCTGAGATAAGTGATAGCTCAAACACAAGCTTTGAGGTTCCTTGAACTCTATTCTATACTTAAAAGGAAGCATGTTATCTTCGTAGGAAAGCAAGGGGAGTTCTTTGTTACACTTTCAAGGGATGAGCATAGCAATCTGGAATCCTACTGCGTATTGATGGATGCTATAAGCCTGCAAGGGTCAGGGAAAGAAGTTCACTGGGCTGGTTCAGCAAAAGTCCTCTCCTAAATGTCTCCTTTCCTTGAAGTGTTTAGATTGGCAAGTAACATGCATTATTGGAAGAAGTGAAGGTTCTGAAATCAGGCCCAGGTGTTAACACCCATCTCAGCTTCCTTACTATATGACCTCTAACTTAATCTGTGAGCCTCTCCAACACATTTTATAGATGCTGTCATCCTGAATCGAACCTTACTTTATCTTCAGATGGTATTAAGGTAACATACAAAATCCCAAGATGATTAATTGTAAGTATAAACTATACTGGAATTGTGTGGATTCACTTATAAAGGTAATTAACTATGCTGAAAATTAGTTGAAAAGACAAACCCTATCCTGGTACCATTATCCTAAGGGTTTCAGCCTCAAAGATCAATAAAACAGTAGGCCAGAAACTACTCCTGTCACCTAAATTGTGATGTGAGAGGTACCACAGATCAATGGGCAATGTAAGAATGTGATTAGGTACAACTGGTGAACAATTTAGAAAATGGTTAGATCATGTTTCATATCTCAAAACTTCAGAATGGAATGATGTATAAAAATCAGAATAGAGAAACTAAAACTGAATAGTAATGCTTATCACACTCTTGGAGGTAGAAGTAGTTTTTGTTCTGTCTTCTGAACTTGAACAAAGGCAACTTAAGAGAATATTGGCATTCACGTGTATACACTAGACATATCAAGAAATACAGCAAATATACTGTGGACAAGCCATGACCTACCATAGTGTTAACATTTCTCCAGGAATGGGGCCTTGAAGTAGTTCTAATCCCATTCTGCCCACTCTGATTACCAGAGTAGTTACAAATATTCCCCGAATCTCAGTAACTTAGCACAAATGTGTTTTACTCGTGCTGGAGTGAAGGTTAGGTGGCTCACCTATAAGCAATGGCTTAGAGCTGAGATGAAAGGAGCATGAACTCCTATATATGTCTCTCCAAAGTCTTCATAGACATGGAAAAATCAATGACCTTCATGGGATTGGTGACCAGACCTGGAAAATTGTTGTCCAGCACGTTTAACAGTATGTACAAATGTCCACTTGCCATTGAAACAAATGTTCACTGAAATATAAATCAACCATATCACTAGGCACTATTCAGTTGGGATTATATCCTTAAGACTTCTCTATGGAAGACAACATAGGTTTATATTCTGGTACAAGGTTATTTAATCACTATGGACTGACAGTAGTTCAGATTGGTGCCAATGTGGCCCCCCAGATTGGTAGCTCTGATATACAGTCTTTCCACGGTATGAGCAGAATCCAGTCCCACTCCAACTTCAAGAGAACCTAGAAAATAGAATTGTCAGACAATGCTATAGTCTCCCAAGTTTGTTTTCCCCTTTGTGGACACAAGGAAAGCTATGCTGGGTCAATGTTAAGTTATGACTGGTTATCTAAAAGCCACCAGGTAACTGGGGATGACATCAGTGAAAGTGGCAGAATAAGGACCTTTCACTAATAAGACAGTGAAAACACTATCTTCATAAAAGCAATGAGAACACTAGGCAAAATCAAGTTGAGCACTTTTAGAACTTTAACCAAACTTATAGCAATCCAGGGAAAAAAACCAAATCCAGGTAATAGCAAGCTTTGTGGTATTTTTAAATTCTGTTTCCTCCATCACTACCCCAGCTCTCTGGTAGCCTTAAAAACCAACACCTTGCAAACAGTGAAAATCAGCAGCCTGGAGGAGTTGGCAGAATAGGATTAGAGCTGCTTCAAAGCCCCATTCCTGGAGAAATGTTAACACTTTAACCTGTCTGGCCTTATTGGAAGACTCCATTCACAAGGCTGTTCTTGTGACTGGGATCACCTAATGCAAAAAGCCTCTTCCATAGGGGCATTTTATCAAGAACAATTAAAAGCTACTGTTTAACACTGCAGCTGCCTAAGGCATAGTGGGTAATACTTGGAGCAAACAATAAGCTAAATGAAAAGCTGGAAATGATATGTCCACAGGGACTCTGAAAAGCTCCAACATATTCCTATGAATCTGGAAGGCCAAGTGCATATGTAGGACTGTATGTGGTGGGGAAGGACCCTAGAAGGCCCTGTGTGTTCACCTCTGGATGACCTTGGGGCTCTGCATACGGGGGAAATAAAGGCCAAGGCAAAGTTTCAACTGCCTGGCTGAGTGTTGAAGGCATGTCCTAATACATACAGGAAAGCCCTCAATAAGGACTGGGAAACTTGGTAGTTCCAGGCATTTAAGGAAATCTGTCTAAGCAGTAGTAGCTGACCACTTAACCAAATAAACTCCAGTGGTCTCACATAAGACTATAGACCTTACAGAACTGTTACTAAATAAGCAAAGAACAAATGGCAACAAGCCCTGGGAGAACTTGATATCCCGAGTTGCCATAGTAAGATTTCCAGTTTCCAACAAAGGTAAATTATAGCTGATATACAAAAAAGCAATTAGTCTCTGAGAAAACCCAGATTTTAGACTTACTAGATGAAGACTTTAAATCCACCATTAAAAATCTTCAAATAAAGGCTGTGTCTAAAGTATGAGAAATGTCTTGCCAAACAGCCTATCAATAGACAAACTTTTTAAAAGAGCCAAATAGAAATTCTCAAACTCCACTAGGAGAATGACACAATGGACTTTGGGGACTCAGGGAAAGGGTGGGAACGGGTGAAGGATAAGACTACAAATTGGGTGCAGTGTACACAGCTCAGGTGATGGGTACACCAAAATCTCACAAATCACCACTAAAGAACTTATGTAACAAAGCACCACCTGTTCCTCAATAACCTGGGGAAATAAAAAATTAAACTCCACTAGAGAGGTGCAAGAGACTTGATACAGAAGAATCAGTGAGCTTGATTTATACTGTGGGGAATCTAGGGTATGGTGTTACTATATTCAATCAACTTGAAGATAGATCAAAATGTCCTAAAGTTAGACAGGGGGTGTGGTCATACAACCTTGTGAATATACTAAAAAGTACCGAATTAGTTTCAAAAAGTAAACTTGATCATATGTAGATTAAACTCAGTAAAAAAAAAAAAAAAAAGAGAGAGAACTATAGGCCTGGGACCACTACCTCAAACTACAACCAACAAATCCTCAGCTGCATGAGAACAGAGGTGAAAACTAAAGTGAAATATGGTTATCCTACTAGAGTGCTTCTATTTCACGTTAGGGTATACTGTAATTGTGATCACCCAACAGGTTCTTCCTGCCCACTGCACAAGCAACTGACTCACCAGGAAAATGGTATTGCAATAAAGAACTTAATTAACACGAGGCCAGCTTCTCTATGAGAGACAGTCACTACTCAAATCAATCACCCTGAGAATTTTGGGATTAGGATTTTTAAGGATAACTTGGTGTGTAGGGACTTGGGAAATAGGGAGTGCTGATAAGATTGGGTTGGAGATGAAATCAGAGTTGAAGTTGTCCTCTTGCCACTGAATCAGTTCCTGGGTAAGATGAGAGGCACAAGACCAGATGAGCAAGTTTATCCATTTGGGTGGTGCCAGCTGATCCATCGAGTACAGGGTCTGCAGAATATCTTAAGCACTAATCTTAGGTTTTACAATAGTGATGTTATCCCTGGGAGCAATTTGGGGAGATTCAGAATCTTGCAGCCTCTAGCTGTATGACTCCTAAACCACAGTTTCTAATTTTGTGGCTAATTTGTTAGTCCTGCAAGAGTAGTCAAGTGCCCAGGCAGGAAGGGTCTGTGTTGGGCAAGGGTTGTTAGCATCTTTATTTCAACTATAAATTCTTCCCAAATTCAGCCTATACCCAGGAATGAACAATGACAGCTTGGAGGTTAGCAGGATGGAGTCAGGTCAGATATTGCATTGTCATAATTTTTCTGTTATAACTTTTGCAAAGGTAGTTTCATAATTGGTCTCACCACATGCAATGTGTGTTGACTACGTGGATAGGATGTTTGAGAGGCAGTATCAACAACTAGCAGGCTTGTTCTCAGTTGATTCAGTAACTTGACCTCTATTGCTTGTTTAAAAAGACCAAATATAAGCTATTAAGTTGTACATATAGCTTGGAAAAACAAGATACTAAATATTTGTTTCTATTGAATAAATCACAGTATAGACTGTAGGTAGAACATTAACTTAAGTAACCATAAGCTTGGTTGGAAAGCATAATGTGAAGAGGTGTATACCTATTATAATTTACACAATTAGAATAGAACACAAATGCTGATTTATAAAATGTGGATAGTATATAACATAACTTTCCATATCTTTAATGCAAGTACTTACTTTAAAATGAAGAAAATAAAAACAGGGTTTAAGTATAATCTAGTCATGCCACATTACTAAATCACAACTTTCACTGCCAGTCTGGCTATCCTGTTACCTAAATACAAAATACTTATATGTTAAAAGTTCCTGGATGAACCTGACATACATGTTCTGATGCTGCTATGAAACTCTCTGGAAAGCCATGCTTGTTCTAAAACAATCAGATGATGAACTTAAGATGTGATGCCTTGGATTGCCTTCCTCATGAAAGGGCCTTGCAAAAGCAGGTTTCACGCTTGGCAAATTGGTTCTCCACGTGGTAGATATAGCACCACCAAAACCTGAGACAAAGGGACTAATGATTGAGGCATTCGGAGTCTAGAATATTCCACTTGGCCCTACAGGTAAAGAAAAGCCTAACATGGAAGCTGCATCAAAATGAGCTTTCATTTCAGCTTTCACTAACAAGATGGCCAAGGTCTTACAAGAAGTTAACATGCTTGGACTTCCAGAGTAAATGCATTTGTTCAACTGAGTCCCAGGTGGAAGTCCCAGTTGGTGGTAAATACAGCCTGTCACACTTGCCTTTCATCAGGCTGTCCTGTATTGAAGGTCCACATTTTATACTGTGGGGAATCTAGGGTCTGGTGTTATCATCTTTAAAGATGGCTATAAATACGACTTTCTTTTTATTATACTTTAAGTTCTGGGATACATGTACAGAATATACAGGTTTGTTACATGGGTATACATGAGCCATGGTGGTTTGCTGCACCCATCAACCCGTCGTCTACATTAGATATTTCTCCTAATGCTATCCCTCCCCTTGCCCCCAATCCCCTGACAGGCCCTGGTGTGTGATGTTCCCCTCCCTATGCCCACATGTTCTCATTGTTCAACTCCCACTTATGAGTGAGAACATACAGTGGTTTTCAGTTCCTGTGTTAGTTTGCTGAGAATGGTTTCCTGCTTTATCCATGTCCCTGCAAAGGACACAAACTCATTCTTTTTTATGGCTGCACAATATTCCATGGTGTATATGTGCCACATTTTCTTAATCCAGTCTATCATTGATGGACATTTGGGTTGGTTCCAAGTCTTTGATATTATGAATAGTGCTGCAGTAAACATACATGTACATATGCCTTTATAGTAGGATGATGTATAATCCTTTGGGTACATACCCAGTAATGGGATTTCTGGGTCAAATGGAAATACCACTAACTTTCTTGACTGCTTTCAGTGACTAGAAGAGCCATTTAGGGATAGGACTACTTGAATTGACTTCTTGCCATAATTAGGCACTTATATGTACTTTTCTTCTAATCCTTCTTCTTCAGGACCCCTTTCTAGCCTGTTAATGCTCTGCAAAGAATGGAATCTAATGAAAGGTTGATGTCTCTAAGTATTACATTGATAGCCTTGATGTGCTGCTTTACAGGAGAAAACTGCAGCCCAAGCCACCAAACTCCATATCCCCTTCTAAAGTTGGAATGGTGGCAATGTATCCTGCCTCTAAGGAGTTTGAGGCTTTCAGAACAGGAAGGTTGGCTATAGGAGGGACTTGCCGTTGGAGGATAGGCTTGACTTCTCAAGGGTAAGACCTCTTAGGTCTGCTATAGGAAGATAACAATGCCCTAGAAACTTGGTCTTCAGTGACAAGTAGACCCAGAGATAAACAACTCGAAATCCCTGATAGCTATTAAATCTAGTTGAGCTCCACAATGTGTGAAGAACAGACTTAAACTACTCTCTCCCCAACCACTCCCCACCTTGGAGATTAAAAGGAATAACATGCCCTCCAGACTTGCTTGGGTACTGTCAAGTGGTCCGTTCCCATTATAAGACAGAAAGCTGCTGCAGTCACCCAGCTTCATGGTTCAATGGATGTGACCAAGCCCTTGCCTGGTAGCTCCAGTCTTTTAACATCCTATCATCAGTACTCAGATTCTATAAGGACCCAGTAGCACCCCAGGGACTGCTTTTCTGTTGCAGATGGTATAATCTTGCTCAGAACCTTAGAGATCTGTGCTGCAAGTCTATTATTGGGGCCTACCAAAGACTAAAAAAAGGATGCTTATCTGCCCTTGATACCTCTGACTTGTTAACATGGCCTGATGTAATACATCATGGACCTTAGTAGAGTACTCTATTTCTTTGGGCCTCACTTGAAACTGATTTTCAAGGACCCAAGAAATCCACTAAAGCAGCATTCCTGCTGGGTATGTTAGCTCAAGCCTGTAATCCCAGTACTTCGGGAGGCCGAGACGGGTGGATCACTTGAGGTCAGGAGTTCAAGACCAGCCTGGTCAACATATGGTGAAACCCTGTCTCTACTAAAAATACAAAAATTAGCCAGGCATGGTGGCAGGCACCTGCAATCCCAGTTACTCAGGAGGGTGAGGCACGAGAATCGCTTGAACCCAGGATAGGGTGGTAGGGGGAGGTTGCAGTGAGCTGACATCATGCCACTGCACTCCAGCCTGGGCAGCAGAGCAAAACTCAGTCGGGAAAAAAATTTCCTGAGGCTGGCACATGCAATTTTACACTCACAAAAATGGAATAAAAAAGCCAAGAATATAGTGTATGCTGTCTCCCAAATCAACATGCTCTTTTAGTGGTAGGTAGTCAATTATGCCTTAGAAGGGGATGTTTTCATATGCCCCAGACCAGACCTCCCATTTGGGAGATTACCACAATGAAGGTAAATTACCACAATGAAGGTAATTCATGCAGGTTTTTTAACTTAGACTTTCAGAAAACTATCCACTCTTATTCAGTGGGTCCAATTAGCATGATGTCACTGAGATAGTAGACCACAGTGGTGTTCAGAATGTCAAGATGATTTGTGTCCTCCCAGACTAGAACAGAGGAAAAAGAAAGACAGTTGCCTTGTAGCAAAATGAAAGTTTCAGTCGTCCTTACTGTGATAGTACTCAAATGTTTTCCTAATTGCTCTAAGACTACTACGTAGCTATGTCAATATGTTCCAATAATAAGCATCTGGCACAGCAGCTGTGATTAGGGCTACTGAGTGAAGTTGGAGATGGTCCATTGTCAGTCCCATCTATCTTAGGGATTAGACCAGTGAAGTGTCAGCTACAACCACCACCACCCCTGGATCTTTTAAGTATTTGGTACTAATTTCTGCAATCCTTCCAAGGCAGCTGTATTGCCTTTGATATACAGTTGGAGATAGAAATAAATGACATTAAGGTAGAGAGTGCCAAGTTAGAACCACCTGAAACTGCATCATCCTATTCTACCCAAGCCAATGAACCAATGTGACCTAACAAATTGCTTAAGTATATCAAACTTCTTACTTCCAGAACTAGAGGGAAATGACAGGATGGATTTACTGAACCATTGGATTCACTGTGGCATGAACTTCGACCAGGACTTCACTTATCACTTTGTCTCAGGAACCTGATTCTGGCATTAAGTTCACAATAGTATGGTGGGCTTTCTGATAGAGATATTGCTTTAGGATCTATATATCCAGTAGACTTCAAATCTGAGAGTTCCTAACCTAGTATAATTACTCTAAAGTAATTTTCTGCCAAAGGATTGGGGAAATACTCCTGGTATTACAGGCTCTTTCTCAAGGAAATCCATTCCCCCTCAATAAGACAACTGGCTCAGATCTGGAAACTTCAGAGATTGTGTTCATTGCAATTACATCAGGCTTTTTGGTCAGTCTTTGTATCTCTTCTAGTTGTACAAGTTAAGAAATCCTAACTGCCCACCGCAACCCTAGAACAGAATATGTTAGTCAATGCCACAGGTCTCTGAAGGTCAAGGCACGCTGGTGGCCATACAGACCCTTGATGCCTCTTATAGTAACTATTAAGATATAAGATGAAGTGCTATACCAGCTGACCCTGCATATACATTCTTTCCTGATCAGCTATGGGAACCTAATCTCATGAGTAACTCCTAGTGTTAAATCTGGCCCGTAAAGGACAGTTCCTCAATGTTGCTGCCCTCATGAATGCATTATTCATTACTTTTGTCCCCTAGAAGGTCCCAGAAGATATTCCCTTAAGTGTCACATCCTCTGGTATTAGGAAAAAAATCTACTGTAACATCCTCCCTGTACCTTCTGACCCCTTCCTCAATACTCCATTTGATCAGCTCAAGCATCTCTCACTTATTAAAGGTTGTCATGATTTCCAAGCTTCAAAGATTTTCCAGCAGTGTCTAAGCTCATCTCCAGGTGTCCTAGCCAGGAAATTAGATCCTGAATCCTGGGGAGGTGCCAAACTCTTAACCTCATGATCTAACCACCTTCAAGATACACGGCCATGCATGTTCTCACAGGTGACACAGTATGTGTTTACCAAGCATTACAACCCTTTCAGTGCAGAAGCTTTTCTCCCAGGAAAGATGATTTCTGACTTGGGAGTATCTGATGTCAGTTATATTATGGAGATAAGTGGAAAAGACAGGGTTGGTTTTTCGTTTTTTGAGGAAGGAATATAACATCTTTTGACACGTCTGCCTGAGATGTAATGTTGTCATGGTCTTTAGGCAATAGGAAGCTGTCTCTTATTTGGGTTTTTCTTTTTAAACATGGGGAAGAATAACTTCTTCTCCAAACCCAGAAAGTTTCTGGGAAGAATCTGGGAATTCGAGGCACTCAAGTGTTCACCAAACTGTACCTATCCTGAGTCTTAGGGTCTTACCTTCTCTCTGTTGAGATGACAGTATCTCCTAATGTCAAATACGCAGTCTGAATATGCAGCCTTGACAAGTCTCTCATGCTAGATACAATGTCTTTTGTTTTTCTGCCATCTTTACAGTCAAGTCTTCAGCCTGATGTTTCAGTCTGATCTGTCACTTAGCCATGGGCAATGAAACTCCTTAAAGTCGCTGAGAATTTCTGGCTTTCACTGCAGGTCCTAAGTTGGTAGTTGGCTAACTTGAGCCTGCTGTTCTTTCTTCAAGTTTTCTAAGTCAGTTTAAGAAGTCAAGCTCTTCTATGCTTTTCATTGCCCCATATCATTCAGATGCTAGAGCCACTGTGTTATCCTGTGCTTCCCTTTATACCTGTACCTCAATACAGAATGGTGAGAGTCTAGGAAGTAATACAAGGTTTTGCTTCTGGGATATTTGAGAAATGGAAGAGATGTCTTGATTTTTCATGTGAAGAATGAACACTTGTGCATTTATCCATCAACTCCCACTCCCCACTGGTAGAGAGATGCCCTGAAGGTATTAAGACTCCTCACTTCCAGGCTGTGAGTGCGTATGTGCTGATCTGACCTCTGGCTTCAGAGGACCCTGAGGTAGAAAGCACAGACATACATAGCTTACTTGAGGCCAGACACAGTCAGCATGAGTCTACGCCTGCATACACCTATCCAAAGCATCTGCCACTGGAAATGGCAGTGAGTAAGGGGGATGGGAGGGGAGTTGGTCAGACTGAAACATGCCTGTAACAGGGAAAGAAGTAACGATGCAACTGGCTCAATATTGCCAAACCCTTCCCTGAAACTCTGTAATCCATGCCTCTGATACTTTATTCAAGAAGAGGGAAGAAATGATCTGCCAGTTCCCCTCTTCCATAAATCAGACACTAACTCCATGCAAAATTATCTTTCCTATACATCCCACTTACAGACATGGGCACTGAGCAGCGATCTGGAGCATCCTATGCCCTAGTCTGAATTAGGGAAATCCAGGGCAGGAGTTGAGGCACCAGCACAAATACAATGCAACCTGCTACTCAGAAAGGGATCTGAAATGTCACAGGTGTCAGATACATGCTGCATGTACATTAAGGGGCAAACATAGATAAGAATATTGAAGACTTGAACAAAAACAAGCATGATCTAAGAAGGAAAAAATGTTAAGTGCAGCCAGAGAGAAAGGTTGGGTTACCCACAAAGGTAAGCCCATCATACTAACAGCTGATCTCTCAACAGAAACTCTACAAACCAGAAGAGAGTAGGGGCCAATATTCAACATTCTTAAAGAATCTTCAACCCAGAATTTCATATCCAGCCAAACTAAGCTTCATAGGTGAAGGAGAAATAAAATCCTTTACAGACAAACAAATGCTGAGAGATTTTGTCACCACCAGGCCTGCCCTACAAGAGCTCCTGAAGGAAGCACTAAACACATGGAAAGGAACAACTAGTACCAGCCACTGCAAAAACATGCCAAATTTTAAAGACCATCAGTGCTAGGAAGAAACTGCATCAACTAATGAGCAAAATAACCAGCTAACATCATACTGACAGGATCAAATTCACACACAACAATATTAACCTTAAATGTAAATGGGCTAAATGCTCCAATTAAAAGACACAGACTGGCAAATTGGATAAAGAGTCAAGACCCATCAGTGTGCTGTATTCAGGAGACCCATCTCACATGCAGAGACACATAGGCTCAAAATAAAGGGATGGAGGAAGGACCTACCAAGCAAATGGAAAACAAAAAAAAAGCAGGGGTTGCAATCCTAGTCTCTGATAAAAACATACTTTAAACCAACAAAGACCAAGAGACAAAGAAGGCCATTACATGATGGTAAAGGGATCAATTCAACAAGAAGAACTAACTATCCTAAATATGCACCCAATACAGGAGCACCCAGATTCATAAAGCGAGTCCTTAGAGACCTACAAAGAGACCTAGACTCCCACACAATAAAAATGGGAGACTAACACCCCACTGTCAACATTAGACAGATCAATGAGACACAAAGTTAACAAGGATATCCAGGAATTGAACTCAGCTCTGCACCAAGCAGACCTAATAGACATCTACAGAACTCTCCACCCCAAATCAACAGAATATACATTCTTCTCAGCACCACATCACACTTATTCCAAAATTGACCACATAGTTGGAAGTAAAGCACTCCTCAGCAAATGTAAAAGAATAGAAATTATAACAAACTGTCTCTCAGATCACAGTGCAATCAAACTAGAACTCAGGATTCAGAAACTTACTCAAAACCACTCAACTACATGGAAACTGAACAACCTGCTCCTGAATGACTACTGGGTCCATAACGAAATGAAGGCAGAAATAAAGATGTTCTTTGAAACCAATGAGAACAAAGACACAACATACTAGAATCTCTGGGGCACATTTAAAGCAGTGTGTAGAGGGAAATTTATAGCACTAAATGCCCACAAGAGAAAGCAGGAAATATCTAAAATTGACACCCTAACATCACAATTAAAAGAACTAGAGAAGCAAGAGGAAACACACTTAAAAGCTAGCAGAAGGCAAGAAATAAGATCAAAGCAGAACTGAAGGAGGTAAGAGACACAAAAAAATCAATGAATCCAGGAGGTGGTTTTTTGAAAAGATCAACAAAATTGATAGACTGCTAGCAAGACTAATAAAGAAGAAAAGAGAAGAATCAAATAGACGCAATAAAAAATGATAAAGGGGATATCACCACCGATCCCACAGAAATACAAACTACCATCAGAGAATACTATAAACACCTCTATGCAAATAAACTAGAAAATCTAGAAGAAATGGATAAATTTCTGGACACATACACTCTGCCAAGACTAAACCAGGAAGAAGTTGAATCCCTGAATAGACCAATAACAGGTTCTGAAATTGAGGCAATAATTAATAGCCTACCAACCAAAGAAAGTCCAGGACCAGATGGATTCACAGCTAAATTCTACAAGAGATACAAAGAGGAGCTGGTGCCATTCCTTCTGAAACTATTCCAATCAATAGAAAAAGAGAGAATCCTTTCTAATTTCATTTTATGAGGCCAACATCATCCTGATACCAAAGCCTGGCAGAGACACACAAAAAAAATTTAGACCAATATCCCTGATAAACATCATGCAAAAGTCAATAAAATACTGGCAAACCGAATCCAGCAGCACATCAAAAAGCTTATCCACCATAATCAAGTGGGCCTTATCCCTGGGATGCAAGGCTGGTTCAACATATGCAAATCAGTAAATGTAATCCAGCATATAAATAGAACCAAAGACAAAAGCCACGTGATTATCTCAATAGATGCAGAAAAGGCCTTTGGCAAAATTCAGCAGCCCTTCATGCTAAAAACTCAATAAACTAGGTATTGATGGGGGACTTATCTCAAAATAAGAGCTATTTATGACAAATCCACAGCCAATATACTGAATGGGCAAAAACTGGAAGCATTCCCTTTGAAAACTGGCACAAGACATGGAGGCCCTCTCACCACTCCTATTCAACATAATGTTGGAATTTCTGGCCAGGGCAATCAGGCAGGAGAAAGAAATAAAGGGTATTCAATTAGGAAAAGAAGAAGTCAAATTGTCCCTGTTTGCAGATGACATGGTTGTATATTTAGAAAACCCCATTGTCTCAGCCTAAAATCTCCTTAAGCTGATAAGCAACTTCAGCAAAGTCTCAGGATACAAAATCAATGTGCAAAAATCACAAGCATTCTTATACACCAATAACAGAGCCAAATCATGAGTGAGCTCGCATTCACAATTGCTTCAGAGAATAAAATACCTAGGAATCCACCTTACAAGGGATGTGAAGGACTCTTCAAGGAGAACTACAAACCACTGCTCAATGAAATAAAAGAGGACACAAACAAATGGAACATTCCATGCTCATGGATAGGAAGAATCAATATCATGAAAATGGCCATACTGCCCAAGGTAATTTATAGATTCAATGCCATCCCCATCAAGCTACCAATGACTTTCTTCACAGAATTGGAAAAAACTACTTTAAAGTTCATATAGAACCAAAAAAGAGCCTGCATTGCCAAGACAATCCTAAGCCCCTAAAAGAACAAAGCTGGAGGCATCATGCTACCTGACTTCAAACTATACTACAAGGCTACAGTAACCAAAACAGCATGGTACTTAGTATCAAAACAGAGATAGACAAATGGAACAGAATAGAGCCCTTGGAAATAATACCATACAATCTACAACCATCTGATCTTTGACAAACCTGACAAAAACAAGAAATGGGGAAAGGATTCCCTATTTAATAAATGGTGCTGGGAAAACTGGCTAGCCATATGTAGAAAGCTGAAATTTGGATCCCTTCCTTACACCTTACACAAAAATTAATTCAAGATGGATTAAAGACTTAAATGTTAGACCTAAAAGCATAAAAAGCCTAGAAGAAAACCTAGGCAATACCATTCAGGCCTCAGGCATGGACAAGGACTTCATGACTAAAACACCAAAAGCAATGGCAACAAAAGCCAAAATTGACAAATGGGATCTAATTAAACTAAGGAGTTTCTGCACAGCAAAAAAACTACCATCAGAGTGAACAGGCAACCTACAGAATGGGAGAAAATTTTTACAATCTACCTATCTGACAAAGGGCTAATATCCAGAATCTACAAATAACTTAAACAAATTTACAAGAAAAAATCAACCCCATCAAACAGTGGGCAAAGGACATGAACAGACACTTCTCAAAAGAAGACATTTATGCAGCCAACAGACACATGAAAAATTACTCATCACTGGCCGTCAGAGAAATGCAAATCAAAACCACAATGAGATACCATCTCACACCAGTCAGAATGGCAATCATTA
Organism: Homo sapiens; assembly: GCF_000001405.40. NCBI lineage: Eukaryota > Metazoa > Chordata > Mammalia > Primates > Hominidae > Homo > Homo sapiens. The sequence goes on along the minus strand of NC_000006.12, from coordinate 40,091,063 downwards.
AAAAGTCAGGAAACAACAGGTGCTGGAGAGGATGTGGAGAAATAGGAACACTTTTACACTGTTGGTGGGACTGTAAACTAGTTCAACCATTGTGGAAGACAGTGTGGTGACTCCTCAAGGATCTAGAACTAGAAATACCATTTGACCCAGCCATCCCATTACTGGGCATATACCCAAAGGATTATAAATCATGCTGCTATAAGGACACATGTACACATGTTTATTGCGGCACTATTCACAGTAGCAAAGACTTGGAACCAACCCAAATGTCCATCAGTGATAGACTGGATTAGGAAAATGTGGCGCATATACACCACGGAATACTATGCAGCCACAAAAAGGATGAGTTCGTCATTCTGAGCAAACTATCGCAAGGACAGAAAACCAAACACCGCATGTTCTCACTCATAGGTGGGAATTGAACAATGAGAACACTGGGACACAGGAAGGGGAACATCACACACCAGGGCCTGTCATGGGGTAGGGGGAGGGATAGCATTAGGAGATATATCTAATGTAAATGACGAGTTAACAGGTGCAGCACACCAACATGGTGCATGTATACATATGTAACAAACCTGCACATTGTACACATGTACCCTAGAACTTAAAGTATAATTTAAAAATCATGTGTGAATTTTCAAGTTAAAAGCTTCTAGAACTTGACACAGGAAAACATTTACGAATGCTTGAGATCTGAGAGAACCTGGCTTTTCTCTAACACATTTATGCAGAGATTTTTGATTCCCATTCCCCATATTCATCTTTGCATTTCTGAGACAAATCCTACTTTGTCTCTTAATAAGTTGCTGTATTTGACTTTATCTTTAGGCCTACAGATGCAAGGAGACTAAAGAAAACTAAGCAAATATATAGAGTTTATTTGGGCCAACACTGAGGATTGCAACACAGGAACATAGATTGAAGTTGCCTTGAATGTACACTCCAATCAGCAGCAGTTACAAGTGGATTTTCAAAGGAAAAGAGAAGTTCCTAAGTTGTTTACCAAGAATTTAGATTAAAATAATGTAAGCTATTGATTATACACTTTTCTCTATACCATAAATTCCAGGAACATGAAGATAATGAGTGAGGCAGCTATTCGGGAACAAGATGCATTTACACAATTGCCCCCAGGTATTGGGGGTAGGGGAGTATGACTGAAGTCCCATACTCATGATTCTCTGGGCCTGAAGTTTTACCTATACGCCATAGCTCAGACTGCTCGGTTAATATATAGATTGCTTTTGTTCTATGGTATCAAAATTATGCTAGTTTCATAAAATAGGTCACCTTTTTGTTTAGGCATTTTCTTTATGCAGTGTATCCTCTTATCAGTCTGAGTCTAAACTGGGAAAACAAAGCACTTCAGGTATTCAAAATCTACGTTATCCTGAGGATGATGGTGGTGATGACAGAGTATAGATACGGTAAGGAAACTGATAAATTAATAGCTGCAGGGGACCCACTACTGCCCCTGGGCTTGGAAGAGAGGCAGCCTTAGAAAACACAGGGTTGGGTTTGCAAGGTGGCCTGAGTCCCAGAGAGAACTGCCTGAGCAAAGTGGTAAGAGAAAGAATACCCTGGCCTCTCCCTTTCTCTCCACCCATACCAGGCCTCTCCCTGAGCAAACCCAGCTGAGGACAAGCTGAATGAGGAACCTGGGAAGTGCAGCCTGCAAGTATTGAGCATCTGCCCCCATGGTACTGAGGAGAACAGAAGGGTAAAGACAAACTGGAAACGAGCATCAGACACTTGGATTAGCTCCAGGTTTTTGCTGTACAAACAATACTGCTCTGAGAATTCTTGAATCTGTCTCCTAGGACAGAGGTTTTATATTCTTCATGGTATATACCTAGGTATTTAGGCATGTAGACCTTACAGTTCACTAGAAACCACCACATTGCTTCCCTCAAACAGTTGTATGTTTTACGTTCCCACTAGCTATGTATGAAACTTCTCATAGCTCATCACTATGCTAGTGTTCCAGGAGTCTTCTGTCTGTGTCTCCAGACATACCCTCCTCCTTCATCTTGTTCTGTGTTCCCAGAGGTTGACCTGAGTGGACCTCATCACCCAGGCTGCCCGGCCCTCTTGTCTCTGGTTTGATTCCTCCAATGGGGAACACTACCAAGATGTCTAAGATTGTTACCAGATGGAGAATCTTGACTATGAATCATCCAGGTTATTGGCGCATTGAACAAAGAATTGGGCAAACACAAACCAACAGAAGAAAGTGTAAATTCATTGATGCAAAAGTACATTCTAGAGGGGGAGTGGGCTCAAGCAAGCAGCCTGAGAGCCCTGATTGTAATGTACCTTAGTTTTTATTAAACTAAAGGAATTTGGTAACCCTTCTAGGTACTCATTAGAGGCCTCCAATTGGTTATACCCTATGTGAGTGATGTCTTGTCCCATGGCCAATCAGAGGCGTTTCACCTTTGTGACATAAGAGAAAAGGGAGTTTTGTAGAGGGAAGGGTCTTTGGCCCCCTTAGCATTTGGGTGTGGAGGGGTGTGGTTTCTCTTCTGAATAACTTCCAAGAAGTCACCCTTAGATTGGCCTTAGACTCCTTGTCTCCAGACCGTCTTCTGCCTCAAGCTCTGAAGGGGGAGGGTAACTGCTCTGATACCGTTTGGCTGTGTCCCCACCCAAATCTCATCTTGAATTGTAACTCCCACTATTCCCACGTGGTATAGAAGGAACCTGGTGGGAGGTAATTGAATCATAGGGGCAGGTTTTTCCTGTGCTGTTCTCCTAATAGTGAATAAGTCTTATGAGATCTGATGGTTTTAAAAACAGGAGTTTCCCTGCACAAACTTGCTCTCCTTGCCTCCTGCCATCCATATAAGATGTGACTTGTTCCTTTTTGCTTCCTGCTGTGATTGAGTCCTCCCCAGCCATGTGGAACTGTAAGTCCATTAAACCTTTTTCTCTTGTAAATTGCCCAGTCTTGGGTATGTCTTTATCAGAAACATGAAAATGAACTAATACATGCTCCTTCCTCTTGTCCCTTTGGGGTAGATAACAGCTTCTCCCTTGCTTGCTGTGCTAACCAATGTGCTTTCCCTTCACACTAACACAACTGAAGAATCTCTGTAAATAAACCCTCTTCACACTCTCCTAACCTGAATGAACCATTTGTTTCCTGCAAGGAGCCAAACTGATAGAGCCAGATATTCTCTACCTTTAACTGTTGCCAATCTGTTGCTTCTGTAACCTTTAATTTCTTTCTTGATGATTATTATAGTATTGACTTTCACTCTAAACACTAGAGAATGTGTTTATTTGAGAATGAGAAACAAGGATATTACAATCTGGAAGGCATGGAATGGCAAGCCACTAGTGAATTTAGTGAGGGAAAGGGTAGAGAAGCACTTATTAGCAAAAAGACGTACATAAGCTGCTTAGAAACAGAGGTCATTGGTTCCAGAGGTTCAGAGCCAGAGTTGTCAGTTTATCAGTGGAGACGCAAGTGTTCTTCAAATATTTCATCTGAATTATTGCAGTCCTAAAGAATATCTAGTAATAAACCTAATCAAAGGAGATGTGTGAAGGATGCAAAAGGGTTTCTTGTGGGGTTTTTAGAAAGCACTTGGAAACAGGTTCTTATCTCAGACATGTTAAACCTGAGCCTTTCTCCTTTGTTCCTTCCCAGTTCTCTCTCTTTCTGCGTCTGATAAAAGTAGTTTGATACTTGTATCTGAGACTTTCATATTTCTCCCTTTGATCAAGTTCTTTCTCCAAAAGCATTGTTGATAAGCTAGCTTTAGTCAGGTTGTAAGTGTCCCTCAGCATTGGGAAGGACCTTTCCAAGTTGGTCTAGTCCCATGCTAGAGGGGACAAACAGCTGAAAGTCAGTGATGTGTTTTAGACAGATTCGAGAAACAAGGAGGCCAGTTGCTCTCAGGTTTACTTTGTCTGAATTTCATTGTTTAAATTTTTACTTTGTACCATAGGCATTGGCTATTATCTTAAGGCACTGGGCCAATATTTTGTCAGGAGTTGTATTTCTATAAACACCTGAGAGATAACAGGTACATAGCTTATAAGGGGAAATACAAAGCAAAAATAACAGCAATATGACAATTCCAGTTTATATGGCTTTAAGCCATGAACCTAGACTTAAAAGGCAACCAATTGAACAGATCAAATGACCATGGGGACCTGGGTGAGACTTGTAGCCAGGTAGTTTGTTCTCACTTCATGTTAGCCTCAGCTTCGCTAGTGGAGTTTACCCAGGTACCAGCATGCGGTATTAGCAATAACACAGACATCGGCAATAACACAGACAATCACCTTGTTCAGCTAATAGATAATCAAGCAATTTTATCTAAAACCACCTGGGCAAGAAAAGCTAATGAATATGGCTTTTAATAGAGTAGCAGACAAATTTGTCACTTATTAGCAGTTACACCATACCGTGGTACAAAAGATCTGCCAAAAGAAGCTAAGTCTTGTGACCTACAACGTAACTCTCAGTTCTCTGAAGTGAGAGAGGAGGCTTGTCCAGTGATTATTCTAATGATGAGTTTCAGATCTCATGTACTGATAGCAGTCAAATAATCCCAACTCACATGGCCTCCTGTTATCCAAATATCTAAACATCTGGAGGCCCATGTTAATATCCTACCCATGAATGTTAAATATATCTGATAGGAGCATAGACATTCCTTCAATCTGAATTTTCTATACATGGTAGAATTAAACCAGGGGTCAGTTGTATTACTACATATTGCTAACGGCCTTCCTCGCAAAATTGGCCCCAATAATTTCTTGCCTATGTTAAAGACTTAAGGAATGTTTTAAGAGGGATAACTCATTGCACGTTTCTCAGGTCCAACTAAGAAACCATCTTTTTGAGTAGGTAAGGAATTGGACAAGAGTTGAAGGTAGATGAGAAAGTTTAACCTATAAGGATCCAGGGCTATAACTTGTACAGGTAGTTGGACCTGGGACGTTAGTCAAAAAAAACCTGTATCAAGTTTTACCGAGCCAACAATCACTAAGGCTTCTCCCTACTTCAACAGACTGGGAAATGCAGGTAAGAGCGTTGTTTTTTCATGGAAAAGGAGAAATAAAGAATCAGAAATGAGGAAAGGACATATAGGCCTGGTTTTGCACTCCTTGGTGAGGGGGATGTCATCTCCTCAGATGCTATCTGCTTTAAATCCTAGAAACCTTTAGCTTTAATTCACTGATACGAGTAGAGGTACTCAGGAGTCAGTTTTTAGATAAGACCCATGCATCCAGGAGTCAATTATTCTAAGCCTAGCAGCACAGGAGTTGGTTAACAGGATCTGAAATGGACCTTTCCAGCAAGGTTGGAGAGAATCTTTGTAGGTGTCTTTTCTAGTAGGCAAAAATTTCCTGGTTATGTTTTAGGTCTTTGCCTCCCAGGAGCACTCGATGGAAAGATTATTCTACCAGAATGTAACTGTTATCCATAGCTTTGATTATACCGTTACAATATTGAAGCATTTCATCTTCTAAATTTTGGGCCAAAAGAACTCAGGGCCAGATGCATGGGTATCCAGTAATTATCCAAAATGGTGAGAGCTTATGTAACCCAAAGAGTTGCCCTTAAGCTCAGAAGCACTATAGGTAGGGCTTTTGGCCAGGGGAAAAGTATAAGGTTTCCACAAACTGTCAGTTGGATCTTAAAAGCACTATTTGTGCAGTTAGTCCAGAGGATTGGATGATAAACACAATGAAAGTGCTACCCAACTGGTCAGATAGTGCATACTTGTTTTATAGCTTGTCCTATAAAAACAAGTTCCTTGGTAGCTCTGGAGCTGGTTGAGGGATCTCAGGGATTCTTTTCTAGTAGAACTGTAGCCACTGCTGGAGGAGGTGGCCCTTCTGCAAGAGAAGGCTTCAATCCAATGAGAGAATATACATATCAAAACTAACATCCATGTGAAGGAGGATAGCTTGATGATTATCTGCCAAACCTCAAATGCCACATCACGGAGGTCAAAACTGCCAGAGGCTATGTGCAGTGGCTTTCCGGGATTGAATTTAGGAGAGGTGTGGCAGGCTAAGTAATCATTTTTGGCCACTTTATTGATGTTACCCCACCAGTATTTCACAAAAGTAATTGCCTTTTCTGTAGCCGAATGACTTAAATCGTGTATAATGTCGATAACAGGAATTTCATGAAGTCTAGCAGGATGGGCTTTTCACTTGGTCCAAACCAGAGTTCTTTATCAAACCAACAGCCATTATTTTGTTCAGTTTTGTATTTTGGCCTGTGCTCAGTTCTGTGCATCCTTAGTAATTCTATGATCATCTTTTGGGAACCTTTCTAGCTGGGCCAACAGATTTGATCAGTAGGACCTTTAAGTGCAGCATTCTTCGCTGTGTTATCAGCAAGGTGATTTTTCTCTAGCTTCCACAGAATGCAGCTTCAAATGGCTTAACTCTGATAATGGCTAGAACAGATCAGAAGTAGGCACAGTTTTCCATTCTATATGGATTCTCTCGACAAGCTGGAAGAGTTCTCAAGGCCATTCACAACACAGAATTAAAGGCTACTCAAGTTGTTTTGCATCTAATTCTTGTACATACAGCCAATTATTTGGTCTCCATTTTAAGTAAGGGAAACCCTTTTGCCTCCGACATTCCAAAGTCCTGAGGAAGTCGAGGCACACCTACTGTGTATACAAATACCAGGTTTTTCCCTTAGCAAGGAGACAGACTTGAGTGAGGACAAACCGCTCTGCCTGCTGAGCTGAAGTGGCTAAGGGCAAAGGAGTTCTTCCACCATCTCAAAGTAGTGACAGCAGAGCCTGCAGAGTATGTACCAGAGTCACTTTAAAATATGAGCCATCTGTTAACCAGGACAACTCAGCCTTGTCCTGGGGACTTTCTCGTAGATCCTGCTGAGGGGTTAAAAGCTGGTCTGTCAGTTAAGCAGTCCTGTGGTGGTCCCTCTAAAGGCAAGGTCAGGAGAGTCACAGGGTTAAGGTATTATAGTGTGAAATAGTGGCTTATAAAGTAAGTTGGCTGGCAGGAAGATGCTGAGTGAGTTAAGCTTCCATGGCATGAGGAATCCCATGACTCTCAGTTGCCTCAGCTAACATGGTTGACTACCGTATTGTAGAGAAGAGTGTGGGCCTCCATGCTTTTAGATTAAGACTCCCAAAGTGTTTCCTTCCTTTTCATATACAAAGAATACTTGATTATGACCTATAGCTGGAAGATTTATCAATTTCCCCTTTAAGAATTTGCTGTTTAGATTCTGCCTAAATAAAGGAGTCAGGCTTGGTAACTTACCAGACCAGAAGTGAAACGTTAGGAATCCAACAACCACAGCAACCAGAAAGCACAAAAATCCATGGAATTGGTGTTTGGTTTTTGGCTCAGGTAATTGCAAAATGTCTTGAGTCTGTTCTTGGGTCTAAAATACAGGCCATTGTCTCAAGTTAAATAGCCCAAATATTTCACTTGAGTCTTTACTAGCTGTAGTTTTTCTTTAGAAATTTTGACCTTGAACATCCGGCTGCTTTAATGGATGTATACTGTCTTTTTTTCACAGGATACCTGTGGGAGAGGACAAAGAAGGTCATCTACATATTGTAGTAAAATGGAGCCTTGGGGGAAAAAGCTACAACCTCCAAGTCTGCCTTTTCTTTCTATTTGAGGAAAATAGGGTTTTCAGTAAAATCCTGGGTAATTACTATCCAGGTGATTAGCTTTCTCAGATAAAGAGAAAAGGAATGCTGGCTGGCCTGATCCACTGGAATAGTGAGGAATGCACTACAGATTGACTAGAAAACCTGCTACCAATGAATATTGAGTCTAATTAATGTATGATACTTGGAACCACTGGATGCCTTAGCATAATGATATGCCTTATTGCTTAGAGGTCCTGAACAAATCTCTACCGATGGTGGTTTGGTCTCTTTAATAGGTAGAATTGTGATATTATAAGAACTAGTATATAAAATAAGGCCTTGTTTCTTTTATACTTCTATAATAGGCTTAATACTCTATAATGCCATCCAATTTAGTGGGTATTGTCAAATATTATACAAACGTTTTGACCAATCTGAGTTAATGCCAGCATCAGTGCATGATTTTGCCCATCAAGAGAGATTTGATTCAGCAGTGAAGGAGTTGCATTTATTAGTCCTCTTCTGAACAAGCAATGACATAACAAGAGAGGAAACTTGGAGTTGATAGACTCCACGGTTGAGTCAGTGCATCTTGTGTAATTCTAAAATTACACAATTCTAAAATCCCCCTTTTGGGGGGAAAAATGTTTCTAGAAAATAATGTCCAAGGAAGTAGACTGAGAAGAACTAAGCAAAAAAAGGGGTGGATATTTTTGAAAGGGCCAAGAAGGAAAGAAATGAGATGTGAGACAAAAGCAGACAAAGGCTTGTTAAACTATCACTTGATTCTTACTACTCAGAGGCAGGGGCTGATTAAGGCAGGGGTGGTAAGGACTGATAGTGACGTTCCAGTGACTATGTGAACAGTTAAGACTTTGGTTCCCGATTTGAAGGGTAGTTTCACCCAGATGACTAAGTGAAAACTGGGAAGACCCATCCCACAACCCAGCCCAACCCATACTGTAAATCCTTGGAGCCCCTTGAGAGTGGTCCCAGGTGGAGGAGGGGGGTGAGATGGGTAGAAAGATTCTTCTCTGGCAATTTTTCGGTGGCCTGGCCTCTCACAGTGGCACATTCCAGGAGGTCTCCCAGTGTTGTCCAGGAGCCTCCATCTGCTAAAATTGGAGATTACTAAAAAGAAAATCACAAATTCATAGTGTTCTCGAGGGTGCATCAAGCTGGTTTGCCAAACTAAATGATCAAAAGTAGGCATAGCTTTCCATTCTGTCAAGATTCTCTTGACAAGCTGGGAGAGTTCTTAGCGGTGTGATTCTTAAAAAGCCCTTCTCTCAGATGTGAGCATGAGCCGCCTCTCCCTAGTGCCTTCCTAGTGCTGTGCTCTGTGTCTATGACTTTGTCCTGGCACTATAACTTTCACGTGGTGACCTTCACACTTACTTGTTTTCTATTATGTAAAGTCTGTTTACAACTTACCTATTGGGTTGTTCTTTATTTATGGATGTTCATATCTAAAGACTAGTCACTATTTACATGGATGGTACAAATGCTTTCCACCATTCACAATTTTTCCCTCTGATTTCTGAGAAATTCTTAAGTTTAATATAGTAAAAATACTCTTTAAAGGTATGCTTTTTACATAAAATATTTCTTCTACTTCTCCCCTTAAGGAGAAAAAGCATAATTTTTTTTCTTTACCCTCATAAGTTTGTGACTGGGACAAACGTGTGTAACAAGACAGATTAACAAGAGAAGCAAGTTTAACATGTGCAGTATATATCACATGGTAGAAACCTCAGTTGAAAAATGACTAAAAAGTGGTGGCTAAGAGTCCTGGCTGATTAAAATCTTCCATGAACAATAAATTTTAGGAGTGGCAAGATGAGTAAGAAGCAGTGCCAGGCTCCCCAAAAGCAGGAAAACTGGGAAGGAATAGTGTGTTTTCAAATCTTGCTGGCAAAGTGTGAGCTGATGAGGAATGTCTGCAGTAAATGGAGACTTCCAGCCTATCTTCAGGTGGGGATGACGGGAAAGGATAGAAAGACCTTCTGACTCTATATATCTCTGCCTGCCACCTTGTCCTAAAAGCAGGACAAAGTTCCCCATGTCTTAATTGCCTTTAGCTGAAACAATTTGTCAAAGGCATATTTTGGAAATAGTTTGGCTTTCTTCACCCAAATGTAAAATAGACAAGATAGGAGAATAAGTTGACTCTGCATCTAAATCTTTAATCTAGAGCTGATACACAAGTTGTACATAGTGAGAGGCAGAATCATACTCAAGTTTCTTTCTCATATGAATAGTAGCCTGCCCTAGACTCATTTGAGCATTCCTGTCCTCACCCTCCCTCCTACCCTTCCCTTGCTCTGCTAGGGCAAATATTTCAGACTTGATGTTTGAGTGTACCATGGGTTCTTCATTCTGTCTTGTTAGTCTCGATTACTACGTAAGTCTTTATCTGGTAGCACATGCCTCTACCTCACTGTTAAGTGCATTAGCTGGTTTTGTCCCTACACTTTTCCTCACATAAACTTTAGAGCCAACTTGTTAATTTCTAAGAAAAAACACTTAGAGTTTGGGATCATGCTGAATCTATAAGATTGGGTGTCTGTTTGTGTTTGAGGTTATAGGATCAGGGAAGTTTTAGCCTTGGTAGTTCTCAGCCTTTCTATCTCTTCCTTCTTTCATATACATCTTTCTTTAGAGGAGTTTTGGCTTACAGCAAAACTGAGCAGAAAGTAAAACCCCCTGCTTTTGCCTATCTTCAAATACCTCTTGCCTCTTTACCCTTTCTTCTTGGGCTCCAGTAGTGTTAAATCATGAGATATCATTGTACGTACTGTTTTGTAGCTCATAGGTCCTGTTTTGTAGCTTTTCTCTTCTTTTTTCCTCTTCATTTCAGTTTGGATTTCTATTGAACTATCTTCAAGTTTATTGATTAGCTTCTCAGCTATGTCCAGTGTTATGAGACACTTGAAGACATTTTTTTCTTCATCTCTTCTAGCTCGTCCACTTTTCTAACTTAGGAATTCAGAAATGAAAACAATCTGTGCGTGTTGTCCACCATTTCTGCTATATTTTTTATCTAATCATTTCAAGGTCCCTGCCTGATTCCAGCATCTGAGGGATCCCTGAGTTGATCTGTTCTCTTTATAGTAGGCTCTTTCTGTTAACTTGAGCACTGGCTATTATGAACAATATAGAATGAGATACTTACACTTGCAAGTGGGCTACCATATGTGTAGGGGGTGGGGTGGTGAGTCAATCTAGATGGCTTAATTGGCTCATGGATGTTTGATGCTGCTGATACTTCCATTGCTTCCAGTTTTTCCCAAGGGTCTGCTTTTTACCTTGTACCTATGGTGCCAGAGGGATTTTCCCCTTTAGTGTTCTCATTCATCTTCAGTTGGCCCTCCATGCCTATGCAGGAAGGTCTCTCCATGCTCTTTCCCTCTGTAGCAGTAGACTGTTATGCTAGTTACCAGTGCTGGGGTTATGGTTGGGGGCAGAGGGCTCCTCTGTTCTCTTGTCCAGCATTACTCTCGGGCTGCCCCTATGTCTGGGCCTCTGGGTGGCATTTCCTGAACAATTCTGCCCACCATCCTCATGGCAGCTGTACTCCATGTGGCCTGGACGTCAAAGCATATCTTGCTCCTGTCCCCAGCAGTAGCAGCACACCTGTTGGTGGAGGAATGGGGAAGACTAGGGGTTCCCTGCTCTTCTTCTCCCCCGCAGAAGCTGAGGGTTTTACCTTCAGAGGCAATGGAAGAGAGAACATATTTTACTCCTTACAAGTGCAGATGCCTTCTGCTTCTCTCCCTTCTCCGGAAGCTGTCTGGGTCTTTTGCAGTCCTTGGTGGAGTTTTCCACCCATCTTCCAGTGGTATAAGACTCTCGCTGTTCTTAAGAATCCAGGGAATGGAGAAGTCTGCCTGGCCACCAGCAGCTAGTCCTATCCTGCCAGGCACTCTGGTCTCTGCCTGTTGTCTTCATGCGCAGCCAGTGTGGGCTGTTGGCAAAGAGCTTGAGTGCAAACTCTTCATTTTTTGAGCCCCCGATTATTTCAAACTTTAGCCACAGGCTACCTTTAAGAATTCCGTCACATCTTCCCTGACTGCTACTTAGCTACCTCTGCTGCTGCCTCTCTTCCTCCTGTGTTCTGCCAAAGGTAATACCGTGCTGTTTCTGTCTGCTCAGAGGGGCTTAGCATTCTTCAGAACTTAATTCACTTGGTTGCCTTGCAACCTCAGTTCTGAGGACTCAAAAGATAGAATTGTGTAATTACCTGGCCCTTAAGGGACGAATGTTCTCTTCATTCTACAGACTACTTTCTAAACAGAAGCAATACCTCACCCCAAAACATTTTCTTTCACTAAGTTTCTTTTTGACCTATGGATTACTTTGTAAGTGGGACTCTTAATTCCCAAGTATAGGATGATTTTTTAATTACTTGCATTTCTAGACTATTTGCATTTAATCAGAGTTCACTTTGTATAACTTGCCTCTTGAAGTTTTATTTCTACCTGACCTTTTATTTTGGCAAAAGCTCCACATTTACTTGAACAGAACGTGGTGTGCATTTACCAAGTACAGTGTTCTATGTATTTGTCCATATTTATTCATTATGGTCTTCAAATCTTCAGTATCCACCTTAGAGGAAAGTATATTAGTGACCCAGTATGTTTAAGAATTTTTCACCTTAAGCTACACATTTTGGTTTGTATATCTTGATCAAGATATTACATGTATCCAAACTGAACAATTTATCATTTTGAGGGAACTATCTCTAATTTTCTGCCTCTGTATGTCACCTGACATGTTAATATAGCTATACTGTTTTTTGGTTTTGTTTTCCAACTTGTCATGTTTTGGATATCTTAGATAACTAGATTTTCTGAAGCCTGACAGTATCTTAACTAGCCCTTTATGTTTGAAGTTGTTACTGATACTTGGATTTAAGACTTAATTCCACATGGTCTACATTTTCTCCCCCCGCCTGCCTCCTTTGATTACATTTTTGTCCCATTTTATTTTAATGGGTTTGAATATTCCAGTAATGGAGAAATACAGTAAACACTAATGGTATCAGTACCTTAGAGCTCTATCTAAATCTAACATTTAAAGTTTGCCTCATAAGGTTTTAATATCAAGGTTATCTCTAGCCAGTGGGAGTCTCTGCAAGTAGACAAGATTCTGGAATCAGATTATTCACTCATCAGCTATCTATGGCAGCAAGACCACAATGCAGATGTCAAATGGAGTAATAACTCCCAGCATACTGTAGTGATCGTTCTTGAATTTTGGTACATATGAGAATCACCTGAAGAACTTGGTGAAAATATAAATCAGACACTGTTGCTTTACCCAGCCTGGGCCTCTGTCTTATTGGCACACCAGGTGACTGCTCGGAGTCTGAGAATGTCTGTATTAAAGCATCATGATTGAGATTTCTCCCCTGTGGAGAATGAGGATGACAGAGCTGGAAGAGGATGTACAATTTCTCTAGCATTTGGGAGAGAAGCAATGAATCAGGACTGAGAAGTTGGTTAACTGCCAGACTAGCACTAAAGAGAACATGGAAGCCCAGGCCAGCTACTTACAAGCTATGATGTCATTTAAAGGAGTTCTCATCACCTACAGCCAAAGTACAGATGGTGCTGAAAGTCGAGCCTAGTTATTACTAGAAAAATAGAGGCACAAGGAATATTAAATTCTCATACCTGGCAAGTCTCCTAAAGTCAGGATCTGATGTGGAAGGATTAGGGTGATATTGACATCTGGATAGATACTCTAGATCCTTGAGTCCCCCAGAATCTACTGTTCCTCTCCCCTTAAGGATAATACAGGCTTCACCTGAGACACATGCATTATCCTCTTGAGCTATGCCCCCATCTCCCTGTGGGGCTTTCAGGACAGTGGTGGCAAGTCACAGCATGACTCAATTGGGGCAATCTTCCTGCTACAGGAGGGGAAGGGATGATTCACCAACAGATCTATGGGACCTGGCTATTCTGAGTAGGAAGAGAGACCTAGGAATGAGCCTCGAGGGTGCTGGAGCAGGGAAGGCAGAATATAAGGCTTAGACAGTGGATAGCCTAACATAGGGACCCTCATGGGATTGATGGTCTAGAGAGGATACATGGAACTAGTCCTAAAATGCTGCCGGTATGGGAAACTTTAATTGACCCATACACTTTAGTAAGAATAAAGTCCTCACCCAAGTTAGTCTTAGTCCAGTGAGTCTCTGGGTCTACTCTGAACACTTCACTGGTCTCTGAATGCCTGAAATGAATGGACCTACTTAGTAAAGCCCTCAATTTGTTTCCTTTTCTGAAGACTAAGGGTTGTAATGGTTGCAAAGACTATAAAACTGCTCTAGGGCCAAGATAGTAACTCAGAATTAATATCACAACTGGGTTGGGTGGTAGAGATGAATGTTCCTTAATAGTCTCAAAGGATGCAGAAGTAGTGGTCCCAATCAATAATATCCCTGTTCAGTTTTCCTGTACAGCCCCTGCAAAAGTCAGATGGGCTCATTGTAGATGATGGAAGAGAACAATGAACAATAAATGATTAGATTACTATGGTATACTGCAGAGCTCAGAGGCAGCTGGTCTGACAACCTCTTGTCCAAAGTTGATGAATTAGTTTTAGTGCCTCTGATACCAGCTGTCTTGAAAAATGTATGTCTAACTTGAACCAATAGCCATTACTTGCTGTGAACAATAGGCACAATAAAAGGGTATTCCATGACTAAGGTGCTATAAACAGGAGGGGCTACCCTCTATCCCTTTTGGGGACCACTTGGAACATGTATTTCACCTTGCCACAGCTTTATGCTTTAGACTAGACTGTTACTGGAAAGGGACAGAAAGAAACTTTCCTACCATGGGAGACACAAGAGCTCCAAACTCAGCTATGGGTGCCACAAGGTCATTTTGGACCAACAGGTAAAAGATTGATCATGAGAGCAAGGGCAGTTGCTCCATAACACAGCCAGGAGGTGGCTTCTATGGGATTCACTGCACATCCCTTGGTGATCCCATGGCTAGCGACAATCAGTAATGTCAGTAACCATGGCCTGATAACCAGTTTGTAATCTTAGATGGACTCAGAGCCTCTAAGGATGAATGTATGAATTACCCCTCTTTGCAAGTACCCTAGACCACACAAGTAAGGGTTTAGGGTGAATGATTTCTAATATAGGTGGTCGATAAAGAATATATTATCAGCACTGACTTGTTGCAGGTTTTGGGCCTCCTAAAGCAGCAGGTACCCATCTAGTTTGGGGTATAAGACATTTATACAATCCTCAGATTGGGTAGATGAGCAAAGTCAAACACTGAAGCAGACCAGAGAGCCTCAATCAACATGAAATGGGGAAGCCGTAGTATGAGTGTTGCTCATCAGTGTCCCATGCTGGGCCCACAGGACCAGCCTTGTTTCTCGCTTCACTCAGTTACAGGATACGGGCAGCCTCAGGAACATACCTAAGACATAGGAGATTCTAACAAAGCTAGTGACCTTGTACATCCCAGGCTAGGTGATAGGTGGAAATAGCCACGTCTGCCAGTTTGGGTTGCCAGAGAGTAGATGTATGGATCCCAGGGTTGCAGAAGCTGAAGCCATGTGGAAAGCCTAAGAGGCATTCCATCAGCAGCCTTGGCCATGTCCTTACACTTATTTGCCTGATTTCCTGTTTGCTCATGTGGCCTCTCTCCTGGGACACCAAGATTGCCAGGTTATTGCTCTACTTTTTAAATAATTTGAGTGAAATCACCTACTGCTTCTCCTTTGAAGTCAGTATTTGGTATTTTTGTCCATTCTGCAGCTCATCTCATTCGTTGGTATGGCCTGTGGTTTCCTATTGCTATTTTCTCACCTGATAATGGTGGTCCTATTCATGCTACCACATGTGTTCACTCCAGTGCCCAGAGTTAGAATTCCTGGACCCATCTGCAGTTGGTCTTCCTGATCAGTGTGGGGGGAGGGGAATGACTGGTAGGTGGCTTAGGTAGCTGACGTAAGTAGGGACTAGGGTTCATGCTTCCTCTGCCAGGGCTATTCAGAATTGAGGGGTAAATATCAACCCAGGCACCCTGAGGCCTAGGGAAGGCTGAGATAAGCACTGAATGAACTATAAGCATTGTGAACCCTGTGGAGAAACCTTAAGGCAGACTTAGTGGAATCTCTGTACCACAAATGAGTGATTGGTTCTAGAGAATGATCATCAGTCTTCTGACCTCAGAGTCATCCTGGTGCTATGTGTCTGAACAAGTTCACATAGCAGTTCTGGATTCAGGTATGTTTTAGATTTGCCTGCCTTGAGTTGTGGCTCTGGTGGCTCTAATATTATTTTGTACCTTTTCTGCAGCCTTGGGAGAAAAGCTGCTACTTCAGCTAGTACCACAGAACAAGGGAACTGCAGGGCTTGCCTGGGAAGCCTCCAGTTTCCTCACGACATTGCCCAGTAATGTTCCACCCTGTGGACGTGTGGTCTTCGGAGACCCTCTAAATGCTTGCCAAATGTACAGGAGAGTTAACCTTCTCCAGGGCAGACTTTCCCAATGAGAAAGTGGCTAGCGGATGAACTTTGACTCATTCAGGATTATTGGAGATGACTTTGGCCTCTATAAAGACTTCTGGGCAGACTGAGCAATCAGCTTGCTAGGAAGCAATGGCTCACTCATGATACCCTTTCTTTTATTTACTATTCCTCCTTAACTGCTGCCTCTTGTTTTTGTTTGGATTCTTCACTATGTTCAAATGTCAGCAAACGTGTTTTTGACTCAGGATCTATATTCTAGGATACCTGGCCTGAAATAGTCTCCTATTAACTATGCTTGCCAAAATTTAGATTTTGAAATGAATCTGAATCTTAGGAGATAAAAGAAACAACATGGGGGAATAGGAAAATGACAGATAGGAGGCAGGACTAACTTGCAGCTCCCACTCGGACAGAGAGCAGCATGTAGAGACTCGCATTGTGAACTTTTGCTCCAAGAACTGTCGCAAGAACATACCAGGCAAGCTGAACATATCAGACAAGTCTGAAAGAAGCAGCTTGCCACTGCAGACTCTGTGAGATAGCTGAAAAACTGTGTGCCCAAAGTGTGAGGGGAAACATCCACCCCTGAACACACATCCTCACTGGGGAACCTGAAGGTCTAGATCATGGGAGGAGGATTTGACCTTACCTGGAGCTGAGATGAATTTAGAGACCCTAGTGAAATATAGGGGTAAAGGAAGTAGCAGGAAGAGCCCTGTGGGCACTCTCTATCCCCAGGGAAGCCATTTGACTTTGTCTTGCAGGGGTCCTTGGGGAAGGCTGCCAGTGGAATTGGGGAAAGACACAGAGGGAGAACTTCCAGCTGAACTGTGTAACAATTTCAACTAAAGGTGAAATTTCCTGGACAGAATTGGGGGAAGGGGCAAGCAGGGAATATGGATATGAGCACAGAAGCTGTGGCAGGTGGGGGGAGGCATGAAACCTTGAAAGCCCTGCTTGCTTTCTCAGCTGGGAAGCTCGTAGTCTGGGGAAAGTTCTCAGCCCTGCTCACCGGCTGCCTGGAAATAAACTCAGTGCTGTTAGCGGTGGGCATAGTGGGAGTGGGACTGGCATTTCTGGCTGCTTGGGAGCTGGGTGAGGCCTGTCACTGCTGGCTTTCCCCCATTTCCCTGGTGATCTGTATGAAGCAGCAGAGACAGCCATAATTCCCCTAGGAACATAACTTCTTTGACCTTAGAACCACCCCCCGCCTCTCCATTCTCTGCAGCAGCAGCAAGCTTCACCCACGGAGAGTCTGAGGTCAGACACTCCTAACCCTTGCCCCCACCTGATGGTCTTTCTCTACCAGCCCTGGTAGCTAAAGACAAAGGATTTAATCTCTTGGATCCAAATGGGTAAAGAGGAAGTCAAACTGTCACTGTTTGCCAATATGATCGTATACCTAGAAAACCCTAAAAATTCATCTCTAAAAAGCTCCTAAAACTAATAGATGATTTCAGTAAAGTTTCAGGATGCAAAACTGATGTACATAAATCATTAGCACTGCTGTACACCAACAACCAAGCTGAGAAATCATAGATCTCAACCCCTTATACAATAGCTGCTAAAATAAAATACTTAGGAATATAGCTAACCATGGAAGTGAAAGACCTCCACAAGGAAAATTACAAAACACTGTTGAAAGAAATCATAGATGATGCAAATGGAAACATATCCCATGCTCATAGGTGGGTAGAGTCATTATTGTGAAAATGACCACACTGCCAAAAGCAATCTAAAATTCCTTGCAATTCCTATCCAAATACCACCATCATCCTTCACAGAACTAGCAAAAACAATCATAAAATTCATATGGAACCAAAAAAGCTCACATAGCCAAAGCAAGACTAAGCAAAACGAACAAATCTGGAGACATCACATTAACCAACTTTAGACTGTAAGGCTATAGTCACCAAAACAGTATGATACTGATATAAAAATAAGCACACAGACCAACAGAACAGATAGAGAACCCAGAAATAAAGCCAAATACTTGCAGCCAACTGATCTTAGAAAAAGTAGGGAAAGGACACCCTATCCAACAAATGGTGCTGGGAAAATTGGCAAGCCACATGTGGAAGAATGAAGCTGAATCCTCATCTCTCTTCTACAAAAATCAACTGAAGATGGATCAAAGACTTAAATCTAAGACCTAAAACCACAAAGTCTAGAAGATAACATCAGAAAAACCCCTCTAGACATTTGGCTTAGGCAAAGACTTCATGACCAAGAACGCAAAAGCAAATGCAACAAAAACAAATATGTGGCACTTAAACTAAAAAGCTTCTGCACAGCTAAAGAAATAATCAGCAGAGTAAACGAGACTACCCACAGAGTGGGAGAAAATCTTTATATATCTGGCAAAGCACTAATGTCCAGAATCTACAAGGAACTCAAATCAGCAAGAAAACACAAATCCCATCAAAAGGTGGGTTAAGGACATGAATAGGCAATTCTCAAAACATGATGTACTAACGACCAACAAACATTATGAAAAAATCCTCAGTATCACTAATTATCAGGGAAATGCAAATCTAAACTACAATGTGATACCGCCTTACTCCTGCATGAATGGCCATTAAAATAAAAAAATAAAAAAAATAAAAAAAAACTGCGTGCGGTGGCTCACACTTGTAATCCCAGCACTTTGGGAGGCTGAAGTGGGTGGATCACCTGAGATCAGGAGTTCGAGACCAGCCTGGCTAACAGTGAAACCCCATCTCAACCAAAAATACGAAAATTAGCTGGACATGGTGGCAGTTGCCTATAGACCCAGCTATTTGGGAGGCTGAGGCAGCAGAATCACTTGAACCCAGGAGGCGGAGGTTGCAGTGACCCGAGATCACGCCACTGCACTGCAGCCTGGGTGACAGTGAGACTGTCTCAAAAAATAAAAAATGTTGGTATGGATGTGGTAAAAAGGGAACACTTCTACATTGCTTGTGGGAATGTAAACTAGTATAACCACTGTGGAAAACAGTGTGGAGATTCCTTAAAGAACTAAAAATAGATTTATCATTTGATCCAGAAATCCCACTACTGGGTATCTACCCAGAGGAAAACTCATTATACAAAAAAAAAACTTGCACATGCCTGTTCATAACAGCACAATTCATGATTGCAAAAATATAAAACCAGCCCAAATGCCCATCACCAAGTGGGTAAAGAAAATGTAGTGTATATATACACCACCAAATACTACTCAGCCATAAAAAGGAATGAAATAATGGAAACTGCAGCAACCTGGATGCAATTGGAGACCATTATCCTAAGTGAAGTAACTCAGGAATGGAAAACCAGACCTATGTTCCCACTCACAAGTGGGAGCTTAAGCTATGAGGATGCAAAGGCATAAGAATGATACCATGGACTTTGGGGACTAGGGAAGGGTGGGAGCGGCATGAGGGATAAGACTCCACACGGAGTTCAGTGTACACTGCTCAAGGGAATGGGTGCACCAAAATCTCAGAAATCACTAAATAAAACTTAATACCACTTGTTCACCATAAACCTATTGAAATGATTTTAAAAAGATAAACACGACAGACTATTATACCATGGAAACAAAATTTGTAATAGAAAATCCATTTTTGTTTTTATTTATAACTGTTTACAGAGCAGATGACCAAATCTCAAGGAACTGAGTAAAAGGAAACTGGGGGGGTTGAATTTTTGGATCCTGATTCCAAAAGTAGGGGCTCCAAAAGTAAAAACTCCATTTTTTAAAACCAAAACAAAAAACTCTGTTTATTAATGAATTGTTTAAACACAGGGGTTTATTTATTCAAAATCGTGCTTTGAATACTTTCTATAAGAAAATTAACAGACTAAATAATTGGATGAACAAAATCAGATGGGGCAGTACTTTTGGGGTCTTACAGTATATCCTCAGGAAGATTCAAAGTAAGATTCCAGGGGTTGGGAGAAATATATAAAACTGGCAAGTGGTTAAGAGGTGACCTGTGGAATATTAGCAAAAATGCTCACTTCAAGAGTGACTCCAAGGGCCACAGAAGTGCTCAGGTGATACTTATTAAAATAAGGGCAAGATAAGGGGAAGAAAGTTCATTCTGTTGGAGCTTGAGATTCCTTATGGGTCAATCAGGTGGAAGTAGATACTAGCAATTAGAGGCTGCATAGAGATGTAAAGATAGGGCATATGTAGGTAAGGAGGGTATATAAAGTGGTTCATGATTGAGATGACCCCATGTCTTCAGACCCTGCTTTTGGGGAAAGTGAGGCTGAGGCTAGCATGCAGGTAGTCTATTAGGAACACAACAAGAGTGAGGGAGCAAGAAATAAGGAAAGACAAAGGTGCTTTGAGTTAGCCTCCACTGTGACAACTGCCTGCCTCATCCCACAGAAACTCCAGGAAAGGTCTTGAGAAAAACTTGAGGAAAGGTCTCAAAGCTATGCAACAAGAAGAAAAGAAGCATTTACCCAGAGGCTTTATTGCCCTCCCCCCGGATCAAGTGTTTTCAAGTGTGACTCCTTGGGCTTTCTGGTTTATACATGGGAGTGCAGTGCAGGTTGCCACGGGCATCTATGCAGCAATGTCAGAGGGTCCAGAAGAAGGTGCTGCATGGGGAAGAGATTGTATGCTCCTGGGTGAAACTGGTCCCAGTATGGCTCAAAGGAAGGGTGAGGTCAAAGGGTTTGATTTGGAGTAGTACTGAAATGTTTCCAATACATTTGAAGGCAACATAGAAAATACAGTTGAGCCCCTGGGGAACAAGTTGCCACAAGCCTCAGAGAAGAGCTCTCAAAAAGGAAGGATTCGAAAATAAACACAGCAAAAATCAAGAGATCAATTGTGACCAATAGATTTGAGAAGTCACTAAAGTCAGGTCCCTAGGATGAGAAAAACAAGTTTGCAAAATACTAAGTAGTAAATGAATTGTGATCTGGGTAGACCAGTGACATTAGTATTTGTATACTTCTGCCACATATATATACAATATTGCAATATATGTTAAACATTCTCAAACAAATGTCACAAAATAATGTTTGCAAACCTTTTTCCTCAGTAATTTTAGTGCTGTGAATAAAAATGCTGTTCTAAAGTTTAACATCCTGTGAAACAGCATTTTTGAAGATCATCTAAGTTTGTTTTGATTCTTGGTCTTAAGGGTTGTCATAGCTGAGAAATATTTTGTGAAGATTGGTAGCTCCAGATGAAAAAACTGCACCATTGGCTGTTCTTATTAAATCATAAAACTCAGTGTGTAGTACCATTTTATTACACAAAACTGAGACTCTTCTGAAATTCCCATGGTGTCACTGTTGTTGCAAACTAATTGGAAGGTGTTGCACTTCTACACTTTTAACCAATTAGTCCAAAACCTCCTGAAATTTTGAAAGCCACTTTCTAACCTGCTTAAAACATCTAGATCTTAACATGCAGACATGAGACTCTTTAGACACTGTTCTCCAGAACACAGTTGCAATATTGGAAACATTTGAAAATCTGCTTTTATAATCTCTTCATAGTATGAATTTATTCTCAAAGCAGTTTCTTGCTTTATTGTTACTTTGCTTTTATCTTGAAGGGAAAGATTTCTCCAAGGGTATCCAATTGTGTTAAGGTTAGCAAATATGGAACATTTGACACTTGAAAAGATAAATGCTTAACTTACCTTAATCTTTATTTTTGAGATAGGCCATAATGAAAAATTCTCATACCACAGATATTCATTCTAATTGCAAAGAATCACAAGGCTTCTATGGTCTAAAAATCTTTTTTTCACTAAATTAGTCCCCTCAATGACAACATCTAGTACAATGTACACTGTTTTCAACTTCTTCCTGGCAACTTCCTGTTTGTGAATGACACAATGGATGAATTGCACATCCTGATACATCTGTAAACTCACCCTGGTATCAATAGTGATTACTTACATTTTCCTTGAAGGGGTTATATTTAATGTTGAATATGGCTTACAGAAGTAATTTTAGGTTTATATCATTTTCAAAGTAGAAACTGGCAGATACCACAATCTGAGACATGTTCAAAACATTTATACTTTCTTCCAACTGTATAGCAACCTCCCACACTATAATTTGTTCTAAACCTCATTTCTTCAAATCTTCAGTATTTGCTGTTTATCTGCCAACAGTGTTTGATACGTATGGTTCTATTGTTCCCAGTGTATTGTAGCAATTTCTATCATAGAACCAAGTGTTTCCTCAGTGGTAAACGGATCTTTATCTTTCACTCCTCAACATATCATTGCTAAATTAGTGAAGTCTTAGAGTGTTGGAGTAAGAATTACATGACTCTACAAGACACTGACAGAATTGTAGATACATGCTCTGTGTACTTAGTATGAAGTTATCAGGATTAGCAAGACATCAAAAACATTAACATATCAAGTCATTGTGTATATACTTATGGAAGTAATTTCTATGCTAATCTAGAAAATCTTACCCTAATAGTCTTTATAATTTCAATTAGTCCCTTGGCAGATTTATTGGGAGAGCTAATGTTTTACCTTATATGGCTATTGAAGAAACATACTAGAAGTAATTTGTCAGCTCTTGCTCTCAGGTGCTTATACCAGCTTCTTCAATCTGTAGTTTCACTGTAGCAGTATGTTTTCTGAGACAGGGGTCTCACTCTTGCCCAGGCTGGAGTGCAGTAGCATGGTCATAGCTCACTGCAGCCTCAAACTCCTGGGCAGAAGTGATCCTCCCACCTCAGTCTCCCAAGTAGCTGGAACTACAGGTCCATGCCACCACACCTGGCTTCCCTGTAACAATCTTTCAATCTCATGCTTTATTAGTCTGTTCTTACATTGCTATAAAGAAATACCTGAAACTGGGTAATTTATAAAAGAGGTTTAATTGACTCACAGTTCTGCTGCAGGCTGTTCTGTAAAGGAAGTTCTGTAGAAGTAATAGTAGCTTCTATTTCTGGGGAGGCCTCAGGAAGCTTCCAATCATTACATCGTTGGAGCAGGAGAAAGGGGGGAGGTGCTATATATACATTTAGAGGACCAGATCTCATGAGAACTCACTATCACAAGGATGGTACAAAGAGGACGGTGCAACACTTATTCATGAGAAACTTCTCCCATGATCCAATCACCTCCCGCTAGGTTCCACCTCCAATATTAGGGATTACAATGGGACATAAGATTTGCACAGGGACACAGATCTAAACCATATTCTGCCCCTGGCCCCTCCCAAATCTCATGTCCCTCTCACATTACAAAGTACAATAATCCTTTCTCAACAGTCCCCCAAAGTCTTAACTCATTCCAGCATTAACTCAGAAGTCCACAGTCCAAAGTCTCATCTGAAACAAAACAAGTCCTTTCACCTATGAGCCTGTAAAATCAAAAACAAATCAGTTACACTCAAGATACAATGGGGGTATACGCATTAGGTAAATAGTCCAGTTCCAAAAGGGAGAAATCAGCCAAAAGAAGGGGGTTACAGGCCCCATGCAAGTCAAACCCAGCAGGGAAGCCATTAAATCTTTTTTTGTTTTGTTTTGTTTTAAAATTTAGCTTTTATTTAATTTGGAAAATATGTAATACTTTCATATCTTTAACATGTGTAAGGCACAAAGGCCAGGCAGAGAAAAACCTCCCTGTAATATCTGTCCTCCATCTACCCATATTCCTTCTAGGATAATATTATTAGTATAATATTAATTCCTTAGCTGTTCATGCAGAGACATTCTATACAATATATGCTTGTATTTATTCCATATGCAAGGGAATAGAAGCCCCCTATACCCTTTTTATGCCAATACTCCAAAATCTCCTTTGACTCCTTGTCCCACATCCAAGGCACACTGGTGTAAGGAGTGGGCTCCCAAGACCTTGGACATCTCCACCCCTGTGGCTTTGCAGGTTTGATCTCTATAGCTGCTCTCATAGGCTGCTGTTGAGTATTTATGGTTTTTCCAAGCTCATGGTGCAAGCTTTCAGTGTGGATCTATCATTCCGGGATCTGGAGGACAGTGGCCCTCTTTTTACAACTCCATTAGGCAGTACCCCAGTGGGTACCTGGGGGGAGGCAGGGCTCCAACCCCACATTTCCCCTCCACAGTGTCCTAGTCAGATATTCATGAGGTCTCTGCTCCTGCAACAGGCTTCTGCCTGGACACCCAGACATTTCCATACATCCTCTGAAATCTAGGAGGAGGATTTCAAGCCTCAACTCTTGTAGTTTGTTCACCTGCAGGCTTAACAGTACATGGAAGCCACCAAGGATTAAGGCTACAGCCTGTGAAGCAGCAGTACAAACTGTACCTGGGACCCTTTGAACCATGGCTGGGGCTGGAGCAGCTGGGACACAGGGAGCAGTGTCTGAGAACTGTGCAGGGTGACAGGGCCCTAGGTCTGGCCCAGAAAACCATTCAGTACTCCCAGGCCTCTGGGCCTATGATGGGAGGGGCTGTTGGTCTTCAGAGGCAGCTGACAGTGTAGCCTGCCCCAGCCTAAGCTCTGTGTCAAATCTTGAGTCTATGTGTATTTCAAAGTCTAATAGTTGAGGGTCAGTAACTCATATATGGAGTCTAAGAGGTAACCTCACACTCATGAGGGGAGGGGGAGTTCACTCCAAGTTCTCAGTGGAGTCTGAGACCTCACCTTCCCAAGGTGGGTGGGGAATACACTCCAAGTTCTTACTACAGCAAAACATACATTTGCTTAAATTGTTTGGCATCCCTTCAAAGCTACATAACAGCCCATTCCCTCTGAAGCCAGAGGCAGGGATCTATGCTGATAAAAGAGCTGATATAGATTTGTTGTGGGGGGTCTGCAACAGCTGCTGTCTACAATAACATCATTAACAAAGGGTAAAAGTTTCCCTTCTGTTGCAAGATATTCACTTTGTCCCTCCTAAGAAACAACTGGTTCATGGAAATCTGTTTGGAGAAGTCAAGAGGTCCTGAAACCAGGAAAGAATGGCAGAGGAAGGCTCTAGGCTCAATACAGGCAAACAGGTGCCCTCTTGCCCGAATACGATACCAAAGGCAAGGCACTTCCATCTTCCACTGAAGTTGCAAATGTTCTTTGCATATCTTAAATATACAAACTTTCAGGGCTAAAGAAAAACTGTCAAATGTCTCCCAACTGGATTAGTTATATATACATTTTTAAATGTCTTCATGATTTTAAAACTTGTGGTTTCATTTTATACAATTATTCACACATTTATATATAGCTTCAACATTGGCATTGTCATAGCTAGTGACAAGCTGAGTCACCTAAGTTTTCCAGAGCTTGTGTGCTCTTAGTCATATAACAGTTAAATTGGATACAACTGCAGGAAACTTGAACCCAAACCACAAGGACCTTTTTTATGATACGAGTATCAGTCTTTACCCCTATTCCTCCAATGGTCATGGGTTTGTTTCCTACAGTGTAACTCCATTGCTTTAAAAAACCTATAAAAGGCCTATTTGTAATAACATCTAAAATTTGACTGTGAGACATAGGGCATACCCTCAGAAACAACTACTGAGTTGGTGTTAATGTGAGAGAAACTGCTCACTTCCTGTATTAATGTGGTTGAGACCTATAGCACAGTCTTGAACCAGCATTGATTGAGGTCTTTTCCAGTTAACATATCTTCCCTTTCCCCATTGCTTGTTTTTCTCAGGTTTGTCAAAGATCAGATAGTTGTAGATATGTGGTGTTATTTCTGACGTCTCTGTTCTGTTCCATTGATCTATATCTCTGTTTTGGTACCAGTACCATGCTGTTTTGGTTACTGTAGCCCTGTAGTATAGTTTGAAGTCAGGTAGCGTGATGCCTCCAGCTTTGTTCTTTTGGCTTAGGATTGACTTGGTGATGCAGGCTCTTTTTTGGTTCCATATGAACTTTAAAGTAGTTTTTTCCAATTCTGTGAAGAAAGTCATTGGTAGCTTGATGGGGATGGCATTCGATCTATAAATTACCTTGGGCAGTATGGCCATTTTCATGATATTGATTCTTCCTACCCATGAGCATGGAATGTTCTTCCATTTGTTTGTATCCTCTTTTATTTCCTTGAGCAGTGGTTTGTAGTTCTCCTTGAAGAGGTCCTTCACGTCCCTTGTAAGTTGGATTCCTAGGTATTTTATTCTCTTTGAAGCAATTGTGAATGGGAGTTCACTCATGATTTTGCTCTCTGTTTGTCTGTTATTGGTGTATAAGAATGCTTGTGATTTTTGTACATTGATTTTGTATCCTGAGACTTTGCTGAAGTTGCTTATCAGCTTAAGGAGATTTTGGGCTCAGACAATGGAGTTTTCTAGATATACAATCATGTCATCTGCTAACAGGGACAATTTAATAAATGGTGCTGGGAAAACTGGCTAGCCATATGTAGAAAGCTGAAACTGGATCCCTTCCTTACACTGTATACAAAAATTAATTCAAGATGGATTAAAGACTTAAATGTTAGACCTAAAACCATAAAAACCCTAGAAGAAAACCTACGCATTACCATTCAGGACATAGGCATGGGCAAGGACTTCATGTCTAAAACACCAAAAGCAATGGCAACAAAAGCCAAAATTAATAAATGGGATCTAATTAAACTAAAGAGCTTCTGCACAGCAAAAGAAACTACCATCAGAGTGAACAGGCAACCTACAAAATGGGAGAAAATTTTCGCAACCTACTCATCTGACAAAGGGCTAATATGCAGAATCTACAATGAACTCAAACAAATTTACAAGAAAAAAACAACCCCATCAAAAAGTGGGCGAAGGACATGAACAGACACTTCTCAAAAGAAGACATTTATGCAGCAAAAAAACACATGAAAAAATGCTCACCATCACTGACCATCAGAGAAATGCAAATCAAAACCACAATGAGATACCATCTCACACCAGTTAGAATGGCAATCATTAAAAAGTCAGGAAACAACAGGTGCTGGAGAGGATGTGGAGAAATAGGAACACTTTTACACTGTTGGTGGGACTGTAAACTAGTTCAACCATTGTGGAAGTCAGTGTGGCGATTCCTCAGGGATCTAGAACTAGAAATACCATTTGACCCAGCCATCCCATTACTGGGTATATACCCAAAGGACTATAAATCATGCTGCTATAAAGACACATGCACATGTATGTTTATTGTGGCACTATTCACAATAGCAAAGACTTGGAACCAACCCAAACATCCAACAATGATAGACTGGATTAAGAAAATGTTGTACATATACACTATGGAATACTATGCAGCCATAAAAAATGATGAATTCATGTCCTTTGTAGGGACATGGATGAAATTGGAAATCATCATTCTCAGTAAACTATTGCAAGAACAAAAAACCAAACACCGCATATTCTCACTCATAGGTGGGAATTGAACAATGAGAACACATGGACACAGGAAGGGGAACATCACACTCTGGGGACTGTTGTGGGGTGGGGGGAGAGGGGAGGGATAGCATTAGGAGATATACCTAATGCTAAATGACGAGTTAATGGATGCAGCACACCAGCATGGCACATGTATACATATGTAACTAACCTGCACATTGTGCACATGTACCCTAAAACTTAAAGTATAATAATAATAATAAAAACTTATCTTCCCCAAATGGCATTTTGTATTCAAAATTTATTGAGACTATATCAAAATGGAGTTTTTGTAAAGACTTTCACTTAATTTGACTTTCTCTCTCCTGAGGGATGTTTTTTGAGGGAGAACTAATATCCAGGCCTATGCCACATATTCTTCATAATTCAGTCCAGGCAGCATGCTGCATGACACATGGCTAACTTTGAGCAATTAGTCACTACTCTAGTAGGGTCAAATGACAAATCCCTCCTTTATCTCTGCCATCCCCCAAGTTCCTGGGCCTATTCAGATTTGGGCATTCAGAAGAAAACACCAGAATGATGGAAGCTGTATTTAGAAAGAGAAGTTTGCAAGGAAAACTATTGTGGAATTTAAAAGGGGAAGAAATACTGGCAAGAATAAGTTTGAGGTAGAACTGAATTTCTGAGGAGCTTCTTCCTTTTGAAGAAAGGTGAAAGGGTATCAGTGGGGAGAATGGTTAAGGTCTTACTGAACAAAAGACTTGTTTACTCCTTGAGATCTTACTAAGTTAAGAAAGCATAGTACTTGTGATGACTTGTCAGATTCTGCTCCTTTGAAAAGGCTCAAGCAGAGATTGGACCCTGCAGGATTTATGTAACAGTAAGATTTATTGCCCATTAAACAGAAAGTCAATACACCAAAACACCAAGGTTGAAGCCAAGAAAACTTAATTGTAGAGCCACTAAATGAGGTGGGTGGAAACCTCAAATCTTACCTCCCCAAGAGGTTTGGAGAATAAGGTTAAGGAATCTAGAAGGATGGTGGGATGGATGGTGGGCTGAGGTGTGAGGGGATTGCTGATTGGCCCTAGACGTGAAAGGTAAAGTCATGGGACAGAAAGATGAAAAAATGGCATTCTTATGCTGAGTCAGTTCCTTGGGTGGATTTTCAGATTCATTGGCACCAGCCATCCTGCTGGAATTTGGAGGTCTCAAAAACCAAGCAATGTTTGAGCAAAAGTCTTATTCTAGCCTCAGCAAAGATGCTGTCTATAGGAACAATGAAGAAGCAAGTGATCAGCATATTACATGATTCTCGATTGGCAACTGCAAGGAAGAGGGTCAAAATACACCAGTGTGCCCTGGTTAATGCCTATAATTCTGCCTAAAGCCTGGCTTGTTAGTGCTAACCCTGTGAGGATGGTCTTGGTATCCCTTGACTCACTTATTTTCTGAATCCTGAGGCAGGGATCAATAAGGAAGGATTCAGGGTATGACTGCTGTCAGCTTCCTGCTGAATGGGGGTACATATGGAAGCACCATGATCAGGATTAGAGAAATGAAGCTGTTTTGCAATAGCCTATAGGTACTTATGCATGCCAGGCCTGGGGCTCCCACCCTGCATAATGAAAACATTAGTCCTCTCATCTATAGTTTCAGCACAACATTTAATGGAACACTGAATTATGAGGTAAATTATGAGCCCTATTAGTGAAAAGGAAAGCTCTAATTTCAGGAGCTCTTGTAAAACTGATCACAAGGCCTGGGGCATTCATGAGAAGTCCAGAAAATCAATCAGGTAATTCGGGGGCTTCTGGAAAGAACTGCTTTAGCCAAGTGGCCTCATGTCTAACCTTGTCCACATGGGTTTTGACTTCAGCTGAGGCATTGTATGTACACAAGTTGTATTAGCTATTGCAGACTCCACCCTGTCCTGCCAAGATAGTCAAGAGCAATCTCATCTAACAGAACCCAAGCCAATGGATTAACTTCTTTGGGTGGCTACTGCAGACGCAGTTTCATCAGCAAGAATTCCTGAGGTAAGGGAGAGGTTTCTAATCACATTTATGGAACACTACTCCATACCAGAGTAACAGTCTGCCCAAAGAAATACTCGGCTCCATCTTTGTACCCAGACAAGTTCTGGCTTATGAATCTCCAAAGTGAGTATGAGGAACCTTTTAGTTCTAACAAATTTCAGGGCTAGTCTAGTGCTTAGTCTCAGCAGATCTACCTATAGAAAGAAACTAGCCCAGTGGGCAAGTTCCACATATATACCAGCTGTCAATGCATTTGTAAGCCCAGGGAGGGGATTCTCTGGGAACCCCCACAAACAATAGGCATACTGTAAGCACACAGGACCCTAGACAAGTTGTATAGGTTAAGCCTGCAGTCTTAAGCAGGGCTTTGGGGATTGGACTAAACCAAAGATCTGTAGCTAGGGAGTTTATTTCCAAGCACTGCTTTGTAGTAAGGAGCTACTGAATTTGACAAGACCTAAGACAAGAGTTCAGAGGTATGACTGAGCAGGCCTTTAAGGGATGATAGAAATACAAGAATATGGGCTACTAATATTCCTGTCAAGCTGATAGTAAACTAAACAGTGGGGAAGGGTATAAGTATTTCCTTGGCAAAATTGATCAAGGTAGTTCCAAGAAACAGGGGCATATAATGGTGCCTTCTTTCATACAGTATTTCTTAGGTAGGTTAGAAAACAAAACAAACAGATGGCTAGTGATATCAACAGGCTTAGAACAGTTAATAACTTTGGGGTATAGAGAAAATCAACTCTTCAATAAAGGAGTTAGAAGCAATTGGAGAGAGAGTCTTGGATAGGTACCTTTACTAGATAGGTCACTTGGTGGGGGTCTCATATTCTGTGACAAAGTTGGGAAAAGCCATGAAATTACAGGCATGACTAAAGGATTATTATGTTCATGAATCAAAAGATTTGGGATGATATCCAGCAGTCAGATTTCCTAAAGAGGTCAAAGTCTGGGAAATTCTAGTCATGGGGTTATCTCCTCAAGCCAGCACAAGAGTCAAGAGTGATTAAAAACCAGAATCATATTGATCCTTTTCCAGAAAGACAAGATAAAAATGACATGTCCAATTCTATCCAGGCTATTAATAGAAGTTCTCATATCTTGAGTAAAATAAAGATAGCTAATGTGCTGAATGATTATTATAGCTCAGATACCAAAACATAATCCATAAAAGTTCAAAAAGTAACAAATTTTATTCCTAATAGCCATTTAAAAATTCAAACGAAGGGAGAAAGCATAAATCCAAATTCAGGGAAACTGCTGCTCAAGCTCTGGTGTTTGCCTTTAAGGTAGTAAAGTACTTGACTCATCAAAGTAAAATAGCAATGTCCTCTGAAGAAAGTCACAACATATGGATGTCTAAACATAGGAATACATGGAACTGCTTTAGCATGGCATAAAATATGTAAAATGCATAAGACTCCTGCCACCGTGATCAAAGGAATTATGAAATAAACATGCAATCTAGGCACTTAGCAAGGCAGAGATGGGTAACCTGTTTTTTTCCCCAAAGTCTAAAAATACTTTATTTTTTTACTTAAAGTTCAGGGGTACATGTGCAGGATATACAGGGTTTTTTTTACACAGGTAAATGGGTGTCATGGGGTTTTGTTATACAGAT